>NC_000001.11:67432622-67735653 GCF_000001405.40 Homo sapiens | reverse complement strand
TTGGTATTCTTTATAATCATTATAAGAGGTCACATTTATTGAATGTTTGGAGGCAGGCACAATTTTAAGCACTTTACATATGCATTTCATCCTCAGATAGTTCCATGAGATGTAGAGACTGTTGCCACTCCCATTTTTGCAGATGAGGACGCAGGCTCCAATTAAGCAACTCCAAAAGTCACACAGTTAAATGGCAAGAACCAGAACTTAAGCCCTGTTCCTAATAACTCCCTTTGCCAGCATTCACTCAAAGTGTGATCAGCAGAACAATGATCTCATGAGATGTTCCTCGGAAAATATTTTTATGTGCAAATAATTTGGGGAAATGCTGCAAGCCACAAGCCTCTTGCCAGATCATAAATGTATCTTAGTGCAGGAAAGACCCTGAGAAGTCTTGCGTGAAAGAAGTCTGCTTATCATTGTGTGAACTAGGGCTTTCCAAAATACATGGCATGGAACCCATTTCAATATATACCTATTAAATTGTAATACATCTGAGGCCAGGCGCGGTGGCTCATGCCTGTAATCCCAACATTTTGGAAGGCCAAGGAGGGTGGATCACCTGAGGTCAGGAGTTTGAGACCAGCCTGACCAACAAGATGGAACCCCATCTCTACTAAAAAAAATACAAAATTAGCCAGGCGTGGTGATGCATGCCTGTAATCCCAGCTACTCTGGAGGCTGAAGCAGGAGAATTGCTTGAAGTCAGGAGGCAGAGGTTACAGTGAGCCGAGATCACGCCATTGCACTACAACCTGGGTGACAGAGTGAGACGCTGTCTCAAAAAAGAAAATAAAAAGAATAAATAAATAAAAATTGTAATACATTTTAAGAAACACCATACTAGTCTAAGAAAGCAACTAGAGCCAGACCCTGTAGTGTGCCTGTAGTCCTAGCTACTCAGGAGGCTGAAGCTGGAGGATTGCTGGAGCTCAGGAGTTCAAGGCTGCAGTAAGCTACGATCCTGCAACTGTACTCCAGCCTGGGTGACAGAGCAAGGCCCCATCTCTACAAATCATAAAGAAGGCAACATAATGTGATGGCTAGATACAAGGGCTTTGGAGCCAGAGAGTACGTAGGTTCAAGTCCCATATCTGCTACTCCCTAGGTAAGTTATTTAGCTTCCTGTGCTTCACTTCCCCCATCTGTGTAGTGGGGAAAATATAGCACTCTTGCATAGGGTGACTGTGAGGGGTAAATTAGTGCGTCTAAAGGACCTGGAACACCGTTGTGCACATACAGAAGTAGTCAGTGTTCTAAATGTAGCAGAAGGAGTCAAAACATTTACCACTGTGGGGTCAGATCACAGCCAAAATGCTGTTTCCCCAGTCTTCAGAAAACCTATCAAAGAAGAAGCATGCCCTCACCCTCCTTTCCTCTAGCACTCTCTCTAGCTGCCCTGTGCTCTCTCTGCCTCTCACCATCTGCTTGTACTAGATAGCAGCCCAGACCTGGGCTCAGGTCTAGGCAGTAGGTCTCTGCCCTGCCCTTGAGTCAGGAATAACACACACTCCCGCTGGGACACAGGACAGCTATCAGGGTTAGCCACACACTGTGGGTGGCCCCGGCAGAATCTGCAAAAAGAACATTCTGGTGAGAAAGGAACTCAAGTTTCCTGCATTTGAGCAAGGCAGCTGCCTGTGCAAACCGTTGGCCCTAGATTTCCAGAAGGCAAAACTATCTTCAAGCATTGCACACTCACTGAACTTGCCACTGCCCCATTTCACCTGAGACTATCCTCCAAGGAGAATGGGTGCTGTATGAGGGGCCTTACGATTCTGCAGGCTCATCTTCTGGGCTGATCTCTCAGTACACAGCCTGCCTGGGCTATTTGTTGGAAAGTCCTGCAACAGGCAGATAACATTTGGTTGGGTTTTTCTCTTTCCCCTCCCCTGTGTGTTCTGAAGTTGGTCCTGCAATGACTCCCAGGAAGGTTTGGGGGAAGTCCACTGGGGAGAAGGAAAGAAATTGCAGAAATTTACAAATTTTCAAAATTGACTTTAGGTATTGTTTCATGTTGCCCTTTTTGGTTTTTTTCCTATAAATTTTAAGAATTTCAAAATGAAAAATTAAAATTATAAAAATACACTAACCCTCTGTATGGGCAAGGGTGGTTACTTGTGATATGTTTATTATTGAGTGAAAAATGCAATTGCAGAACCATATGCAAATATGATTCCATTTGTTTAAAAGATGCATGCACATCATATACGTGCACGTGTATATGATTGTATATTTGCAAAGGCCAGAAGAGGATATGGAAGTTTGAAAGAAAAAGACTATATTGACAATAGTTACCCCTTTAGAGTGAAATTTGAAGGCAAGAGTTTTAACTTTGTATTCTATACACATGCATATAGTTTGAATTTTCAACATTTTTTTCATTTAAAAAAAGAAGAAGAAAAGGCAAACACCCCAAACCAGCTCCAAAAATAGGGCTAGATTAAATACTGGTGGCTTGTGATACATGTTGTTGCCTAACTGACTGGAGGGCTTTGCAGTAAGAGGGAAGGAAACTCAGATCAGAAAATGGGCTGATTCCAGTCACAGTCAGCTCTGCACCATGCACACTAAACTGGGCTGTGCAGTGTGTGGCTTGGGAGCCTGTGCAGTTGCAAGTGGTGCTAAGTTTTGCTTTTCCTTTCCCACGCCCTCCCTCGGGTAAGCCACACCAGCTGCTCAGATCCTCCAAGGTTCAGCTTCCCATGTATTGCCCTTGGCCATGATAAAGCGCTTAATCACTCAGGCCTGGACCAAATGGAGGGGCCCACCCCAAGCACAACTGCCAGGAGGGCAGTAGCTATCACTGGTCACCCCTGCGGAAACTTGCTGCCCCTACAAAGGCCTTGAGATGAGTGGAGAGAGCCTCGTCTGAGGGTCAGGAACCCGGCTCCTTTCCCTAGTCCTGGGGGACCTTGGGCAAGTCATTAAATCTCCTTTTGCCTCAGTTTCCTCTTATGCTAGCCAGACAAAGTGATGAGGTGTGATAATAGACATGAAAGAGCTTCAAAAGCAAAGGCAGTGTTATACAAAGAAAACAAGCAGTGTGAACATTATTAGCTGTAGTGAGCTATGGGACCTGCCACTCGATTCCTGAACTGACTTCCCTCCCAATGGAGTGTTTTGTTCTTTCTTGATTTGGAGGCAGAGCCCCTTTCTTTGCAGTATTTAAAGTACTTAGTCCCCTCTTTTAAAATAAGAAACCCAAGGGCCTGAAAGGTTGAATGGTCTGTCTCTTTTCCCCACCTTCCAGATCCCATGGGAAGTCAGGGAACAAGGCCAAGGGTTAGGCTGGACTTTCTGATTTCATGTTCTAGGTGCTAAGCATTAAACAGGCCTCTCTTGATAATAATAGTCGCTTTATACTGGGGGTCCCCCGATAGTCAGTTCTTTTGAGAACATAGGATGTGGGACAATATTCCTCACGTACACTTCATATAGCATCTTAAGTAACTTTAAACATTCTCCTTTATGACTGCATTTTTTTCCTCTAGATGTCTGTCATTCAGAATAGTGAACACTTAGGCATAGACATAGAATCTAAAGGCTGAACGGAATACCTGAATTCATCCAGCTTATTTATATTACTCCTGTGTGTTTTTTCTTTTGCACCTTCCCACCTTCTTTCCTTATTCATTCATAAATGATTTTAAGTGGACATTGCATATTCATTAAGTAAATATCTATTGAATGCCACCGCATGTAAGACAGCATGCTCGCACTGAAACCATTTTTGTCTTCCATTAGGCCAAGTCAAGTTGGGGTGGAGAATATAAAAAAATAAGCATACAAAATAACCGTATTATGAAGCAAAAGGCAGTGAAATACCACAGAGGCAGAACAATGCATTTTACACCCTCGAAGGAGGAAGAGATCATCTTAATCCCTCTGAAATACTAAGGCACATATCTGATCATATCATGCCCCGCTTTAAATTTTTCAGTAGCTTTCAGTTGCCTCCAGCATAAAATTCAAAATCCAGAGCCTGAAAGCTAACCTTCTGATTCCAGTCTACACCCTTCCAGATCTTCATGGTGCCTCTGCTTCGGGTGAACCAAACTGCCTGCCCTTTCCTGCACATGCTCATGGCTTTCACAACACTTGCCTTTGTCCCTCACTTAGAATGCACTTTCCTTCTAGCTCCAGATCCTGCAGGGCAGTTCCACCTCCTCCGTGAAGCCTGCTGGAGTTTCCCCCAGCCAAAAGGAATCACTCTCCTCTGAACTCTCCTTGGCCTTATCTCTCTCTCTTCTTTCTGCTTAAAGTTACATGTGGATTTTATGTGTGCTTAAAGTTACACCTGTTTTCCTTCTACTGGATAGAAAGCTCCTTGAGAGCGGGGATTAGTATTTGTACATCCTCAGGGCCTACCAGAGCATCATAGCAGTCCACTGATAAATAGCTGTGACAGGGAGCGAAGGGGTAATTTTTGGTTGGGGAATCCAGAAACTTGGTGGTAGAGGTGACCTGACAGGCCCTAGAAGCATGGGTAGAATCTCAAGAGGGGGAAGTCAGAGAGGGGAGGGCTTTCTGGGGGGAAAAAATAAAAACAAAATAGGAATAAGTCACAGAGTTAAATTCCAGTGACCATTTGAGGAGCAGCAAGGAGAGTGATTGCTCTTTACTTTTTTGGTTTGCGGGGCCCCTTTGAAAAGCTGACAGATGTTCTGGATGAATGCTATGGAATACCATGAATGCCTCTCCCCAGAAAATGTATATTACCACAACATTTCATAGGAATATCTGGACCCCTTAGGGGTAAAGAATCCCCACAGTAAAAAGAGAAAAAGTACTCTGAAACAATAGATTACAGCCGTATTGAAAAGGGTTCCTGGGCCCCAGTGAAAGTTGCATTTAGTGCAACAGTTAATTGGGAATATTTGATGAATTGTTTGTTTTAAGCTTTTTATTGAAGTAAAATATTATACAGAAAAGTACCCAAATCATAATGATTTAACCATAAGTGAAATACACAGCCAGCACTTAGAAGCTGCTTTGTATTTCCTTTCCCACCTTTCCCTTCAAAGGAAACCAATATCCCAACTTCTAACAGCATAGATCAGTTTTGCCCGTTTTTAGTACCTAATGTAAATAGACTTATATGGTATGTACTCCTTTTTTTGGCGGGGGTCGGTGCGGGGGCGGTTGGGGGGTGGCGTCTTGCTCTGTTGACCAGGCTGGAGTGCAATGGCATGATCTCAGCTCACTGCAACCTCCGCCTCCTCCTGGGTTCAAGTGTTTTCTCATGCCTCAGCCTCCCGAGTAGCTGGAACTACAGATGTGCACCACCATGCCCAGCTAATTTTTTGTATTTTTAGTAGAGATGGAGTTTCGCCATGTTGGCGAGGCTGGTCTCGGACTCCTGGCCTCATGTAATCTGCCTGCCTTGACCTTGTAAAGTTCTGGGATTACAGGCGTAAGTCACCACACCCAGTCTCCTTTTTCACTCTTTTACATTTGGCTTCTTTCACTCAATTTTATGTTTGCGAGACTCATCCATATTATGTGTTTTTAAAGGTTGTTCATTGCCATTTGCTATATAATATTCTATTGAGTGACTCATTGTGTTCTCATTTTAGTCATTTGGGCAGTTTCCATTTGAATAGTGCTGCTGTGAACATTCCAATACCTGGTCTTTTGGTGAAAATAGGTACACATTTCTGTTGGGAATACACCTAGGACTAGAATGGCAATACCTAAGTCAGTACTGCCATAATTTACATTCCCACCAACCAGTTGTTGATTTTTGAGGAGGATAATATCATTAGAGCTGAATTTTAGGAAGATACATCTGGCTGTGGTATCTATGGTAGCTTGCAGCAGCAATTTCAAATTATCTCAGGAAGCCCTGGGAATCCACGGAGCCCCCTTGGAGGCTGCCACTGGGGAGGGAGAATGGAAAGCCAATTAGTAGTAGTGCTCTGAGCACCCCTTTCCCACACAACCTCCAACAGAGCAGGCTGGCTCATACCTGTTTAATTTGCTTTTGCCAACAGTCTGATGGATTAAAAGCCTTAGAATAGAGCACAAGGGAAACCAAGAAAACCAAGGCCATTGCCATCATCTCCCAACACATATCAAGGGAGGGCCTGAGTGAAAGGTTGATGCAGGGGACTCGGAAGGGAGGTGCTGATTAGAAAATAGAACCAATAGGGCTAATCACCTCTGGTTGCGAGTGGGCAAAGGTGGTGGTCTCAGAAACAGAACTAAAGTTTTGAGTCTAGATAACTGTAATAAAAGCTATTTTATTAGCAGAAAGAGAGAGAAGCTGAGTCCAAAGAACTGGCCTCCTGTGTAGAGGAAGGGCACTTTGACTTTTTCAGTTCCAGGACCTGGCAGGCCGTCTGGATGAAAGGATGGGGTCTCACAGACAGGTCCCCAGGACCATAGATAGATCTAAGAGTCCTCTGCAAGCCCTTGGAGGTGGATGAGAGGAGAGATGACAAAGTGAGGAAAAAACATGCACTCGGGCAAAATCTTCAAGGACAACTGAGTTGAGAGCACTCAGAGCAGGAAAGATGTCAGCCCGGAACATGGGGCAGCACCTGTCAGAAATGTGAAGAACGTGCCCAAGGGAGGGCCAGGATCTGAAATGAGAGCAGTCCAGGGTAGCAGTATCAGTGCCAAAAGATGGACTTGTTCAAAGAGTTCTTCAGCATTATCTAGAATCATGAAATTTCACAGAGGTACCTCTTAACTGTCACTTATGTTCCAGGTTTTCTGTGTATTTCTCTTTGAACTACCAACAGTGGTGCCTTTGCACATGGTAACTCAACCAGAAAACTTGCTGTCATACCCTTCCCCAAACCATTCTGGCTAAAGGAGGGGTTTCTGTGTGGGGGGGCCTATTTTCTTGAAACATTCATTAACACTATTTTCTCTCCTGAATGTGTTTCTGCTTTAGAGCTCCCTTGGTAAAGAAAGCTGTCCTGCCCTGCCTCTCTCCCATAAGCTGGTCCCCAATTGTGAAGTCTCCTGGGGCTTCAGAAGCTGCCAACTGCTGACCCGTCTCCCTTCCCCGTGTGCATATTTCTGTCAGGCACTAGATGCAGCTGTTGTGCCACCTCTAAGGTTCACCCTAGTGACATTTACAGTCCCCGTATTGATCATTATGATAACATATAAGTATCAAAAGCTTAAATTGGTGGCTTGAGTAGTTCTGAAGAGCAAGCAAGGGAGGGCTATCCAGAGAGAAGCAAACAAGGGGTGCAGAATATCTCTGTTGTTCTCCTTTGTTGGGGACGAGGAAGCTGAGACCCAGAAAAAGAAGTGACTCGAACAAGGCACCAGACAGAGCAATCAGGGAGACCATGCATTGTGACTGACAGTTCTGCTGTGTTCTAGTCCCATGGCTCTTAACTAGGAGTGCAGCTCACACTCATCCAGAGCTTTTCCAGAGTGCACTTTTGCCAAGTCCTACCCTGATACTCTGACTCTGGAGGTACGGGGTGAGGCTTGCACCTGGATGCATGAAAAGAGCTGCCCAGGTGATTCTGAAAGGCAGCCCTGTTAGGGATCCATCTTCTGGTGGCTTTGTGATTTCTGTCTTTCATTTTGCCCTACCTCTTAAGTGCAGGTATGATCTGCTTCTAAGAAAATGTCATTAAATGGTTCTGTTTAAAAGGGGAAAAACAATATTTTCCTCTGTTTAAGGTCCAGGGAATTATTAGAAGTGAAAATACACTAAAAAGAGGAGAAGCAACTGATAGGGCACTAAGAAACAGGATTCTTAATGAGGCAAAAGGTTCTGTTTTTTCCAATTAACTGCAAAAAAACTTATCACATAAATTTGCATGCTAAATTCAACAGGTTCATGCAAGACCACAAGTAGAAATGCAAATAAAATTAAGTAATTAATTAGCCCTATCTAATATAGATGGTATGAGAAAGCGCCTTGTAAATTGCTATCTTTTGATGGCATTATTATTATAGCAGGCTTACCACATTAGAAATACAATACCAGATTTCTACATTGGGTAAAGGCAGAAGGGACATACAAAGATGTGGCAGCATCTACATGGGACACATAGGTATGTTTTCCCAGAATTCAGCTGGGAATCGTTTTCAGTTATAAAGCCCTCCAGCTCATGAAGGCACATGCATCCAGAGATCATGCGAATGCCGGATCTGCTCATTTGTAAATGCTGACACTGACAGGTAATGGTTGTTTATAAGAATTATATGCATGTATTTATTCAATCTACCAAAATCAATCTTATAATTTCTACATGTAATATAAACACATGTCATTTATTTTGACTTACATTTTGCATAAAAGTGTTTCAAAGAATCTCACACACTTGTGAAAACATTCCAAGAACAGACTTTGTATAGAATTTGCTTCAACTTTCTGAAACTCTTATTTGGTCACAGACAACTAAATACTGGTCTCCTGTGATCTCTCCCAGGAGTTTAATCCCTGGACCCATTGAGTGCTAGAAAAGTTTAATTAACTTTGCAATTAAATAAGTAAGTAAATAAAAGGCATAATATTGTTGTATTACCTGTTAGGATTTGCTTTAAAGTGTATATTATGCCCAGTGCCACTCATAAGATGAATTACCCTTGGACGCAGCCCTATTTCCCTCCACTTTAAGTAATTGACCTGCACAGGCAGATTTAAGCAATGGAGGCACTTGGCGCACTTCTTTCTTTCCAAAGCTTGCAGGGTCACATGTATAATTTCCAGTATTTGTCCTTAATACACCAAGAACAGACATCAGAAGAGGAGCGGCTTTTGAAACCAAAGGTAGTGGGTAGCCTGAAACCAAAGGTAGTGGGTATCCTAAAACCAAAGTCTATATCACCCTCCCTTTCACAAGTACAAGAATGATGAGAACACATGCACTAGTAATGTACTTTGGGAACTTAAGTAGAGTTATACTCAGAACACACAAGATGTTGTGCAGAAATGTTATATTTTGATTTAGAGATGTGCATTACAGTTCCTAATTGATATTTAACTAGAAAAAAGCTAAACAATTAGTTTCTCTGACTTAACCTTTTCATTCAATAGATAATACATTTGGGAAAGTCTTAGGAGGAATCTTTTTGTAATGTGACATCATCTCATTTGTTTCATAAATTCTGGCTTTCACACATTGGGTTCAAGCCCTTATCACTCAACTAAAGCACTGCCACAGATTTCTGTGTCATCATTTCACTGGATGAAGTGTTTATTGAGTTCTCACTCTGTGCCCAACCCAAGGCATATGTTGTTCCTGTGTTTCCTGAATTATGAAAAAGAATGACAAAGCTGTCACTTCCTGCCAAGACCATCCATGTGACTCATGATAAATCAGCACATACTTATTCTTTGTGTATTGCATATGGAAGATATAAAGCACAATATAATATGAGGTGCCCACCATCAGATAGAGGATTCAACTTAAAGACTCTCATGGGTGAAGTAGATGTCAATATTTGTGAAAAGTCTGCTGACTATAGTTTTAAAAAGCCAATGCTTGGGACCCATGGCCTGGTCAGTTACTGATATACCAAAAGAAGCAGAATATTTCAAATAGGTCTGGCCCAAGAAACCTGAGGCTGAAATTAGCCGTGGAAGTTCTTTTAGGGGGATTACAGACAGGAATCCTCCTACTCCATTCCACTTCATGCTCTCATTTTGTGATATTCTTAAATTTGAGTGAGTAAAACTTAACAAGCAAGTTGTTTATAGTAACATGAGTATTTAAATTGGTGTCATCTTTTCATTTGTTGTAAGTGATGCTCCGTCATGTTTTGTTTGACTCAACCACATATGTTAAAAGTTCTGTACCTATTTAAAGAAAAATTTTAATGAACTTGAAATAATATTTCTGAGAAATTTTATGTCACTCCTTAAGATGAACTGGAGACATTCTGAAATACAAAACTCAGTGAACTAAAGTATAAACGTACTGTATGGGTGCCATGTTATGTAAATTGTATTGATGTTGCTGATTGGGTTTGGACTTTAAATGGCTTGCTTTGATTTCTGTCCCATGTTTTCCCTCAAGTAACACTTTTAAAAAGAAGCTGTTATCAAGTTTGCTTTTAGAGAGAGAGAATTCTAATCAATTTAGGGAATGAGTTAGAACTGTCAGAAGTTGACTTGGGAACATCTTGTATCATCAGTCCTTTCCCCTTTGAAAATATATAAACATTTAGATACTGTGAGTCTCAAAACAAGTACTTTAACCATGAGGGCCAACACAAAATGTTCACCTTGCTGGTCACCCCAGAAATTCCACAGACTTTGACCTTTTTCAAAGTACAGACATGTTTGACAGACATGTTTCCTCAAATCCAGACATGTTTAAAAGGTGGTGAGGGCATGTTTCCTTGCTAGCGTGTTATGGGAGAAGGTGAGATGAGGGAAGAAAGAAAAATTAAGTATCCTATTTTGCATTTTTTGGCATGTCAAAGTTAGGAGTATCTGCACCACAGTGTTGGGCCTTTCCTTTTTCATGCGTACCTCCAAGGAATGATGCTTCCTGGCAAGTAAAAATTGGATGTCTGTGACCCAGAGCCTGAGCATTGTGTGAAATGGGCAGAGGGCCCAGATTGTGGCTTTTTTAATCCTGTCCATGCTCCCTCAAAAGGCAGCTGCTTCCTTTGTGCTGTGGACATTGGACATACTTGTTAGATCATGATCTAAAGAAGGAAATTGTAGATAATAATTAACGTGTCTTCCATTCTTTCATGACAAATAATGATAAAAATAACTGATAATGTTAATTATCATATAATATGTTATGACATGTTTAGGACTATAGACTTTTAATTTTTTTAATTTTCAAACATATATAAAAGTAGAATGAACCTCATGCAG
Organism: Homo sapiens; assembly: GCF_000001405.40. Taxonomy (NCBI): domain Eukaryota; kingdom Metazoa; phylum Chordata; class Mammalia; order Primates; family Hominidae; genus Homo; species Homo sapiens. The sequence goes on along the minus strand of NC_000001.11, from coordinate 67,724,840 downwards.
TTTAATTGTTGAAGTGACCTGGCTGCAGCAGTTAACAACTAACTCATAGCCAGTCTTTCTTCATCCATATCCCCACCCACTCTGTACTCTTATAGTTTCTATCACTGTAGATGCATTTTGCCTGTTCCTGAACTTTATATGAATAGAATTGGGCCAGGCGCGGTGGCTGACACCTGTAATCCCAGCACTTTGGGAGGCCAAGGTGTGTGGATCTCCTGAGGTCAGGAGTTCGAGGCCAGCCTGGTGAACATGGTGAAACCCCATCTCTACTAAAAATACAAAAATTAGCCGGGCTTGGAAGCACATGCCCATAGTCCCAGCTACTCAGGAGGCTGAGGCAGGAGAATCACTTGAACCTGGGAAGCGGAGGTTGCAGTGAGCCAAGATCACGCCACTGCACTCCAGCCTGGCGACAGAGTGAGATTTCGTCTCGAATGAACGAATGGAATTGACAGTGCATGCTCTTCTATAACTGGCTTTTTTGTTCAATATAATATCTGAGAGATTCACCTGTATTGTATGAGCAGTTCATTCCTTCCTGCTTTTCCACCACTGTATCCTCCAGTTCTGGTTTATCAGCTCCTCTTTTGACCAATTTCTGAGCGCAGTCCTGAGCTCATCCCCTTCTGCCCTCTCAGTTACCCTCTTTGCACATCTTCACTCTCCCTAGTTTCTCAACTCTCCTCCTCTGTTTCTGGAAATGCTCCAGTGCCAACCATCTCTGAAACAACCCTCCTGCCCCTGAAAGTTTCGATACAATTCCTTGTCTTGACTACACTGCCAAATTTTTCTAAATATTCCTCTGTAGTCACTGCCTGGTCCCTGAATTAATAGTTCTGTGTTCAGCCCCTTATCATTTGACCTCCATTCCCTTCAAGCTGTGGAAACTACTCAGCAGTCCCCAGTAACTCCCAGTCATCTGTGAGCTGTTCTTGCCCTCTACTTCCTTTTACCCCGTAAAGTGACTAATAACTCCTCCCCCTGGTTTTGTGAATAACAATTACTAGGTGTTTTTCTTTTCTTAATCATAAAAGTATCATATGTGGTTAAAGAGCATAGAATCAGGAGCCAGGCTGCCAGGATTAGAGTGCTGACTCCTCCATTAACCTTCTTTCTGACCTTGGCCGTGTTCTAAGTGGCTGCCTCCCTCAGTTCCCTTAATTCTAAACTAGGAAGAACAATGGGAATAACCTCATAGCATTGTTTTGAAAATTAAGTTAATATCTGTAAAGCCCTTAGAACAATGCTTGGCAAGTGTAAGTGGTATATAAATATTAACTCTTAATTCCAAAAAATGAAAAACTCACAACTACCAGAGTACATAGAAAACAACACTAAAAATCCCCTAAAATTCATACAACCTGGCAATAGCTACATCTTGAAGTACATTCTTCTGTTTTCTTGGTATAATATGTTTTTAACTAAACGTATTTATACAGCATTAACTTACCCTTCCTCCCTAACACTCCCTCTGTTTCCCTACCTTTTGTGAGGATGTTGCCCTGTCCAGGGTGGCTTCCCTCAGCCTGTCTCTGCTCCTTTGAAACTGCCCTACTATCCCCATCCAAGTGAGAAAGGCTCAAAGCCATCCTCTGCACTTTTCTTCATGCACCCCTTGGAAATCAACAGCCATTTCTGGGCTGTCACTCCCATTCAGCCCCAAGAATGGAGTCTTATTCATTCTTACATTTTCACAGCTCTCACATCCAGCTTTTAAAAAATTTTTTGCATTGTAATTGCTTCCATCTGTTTGAAATCTCATGCACTAACTCCTAATAATAATGATGTTTGATAGATAGATGAACACTGGGTGGTTTCTATGTGCTGCCTCTTTATTATTTAATCATTACAGTCCTGTGAGATAGGCACTCTTGTTATCCTGTTTTACAGATAGAGAATCTGAGGGCTCAGGGAGAGTGATTTGTTCAATATTATACAACATTAAGTGGCAGAATCCCAATTGAACCCAGTTTCATCTGACCCCAAGCCCTGACCATGTTGCCTGCTCCTGAACCTTGTATGGAAATAGTCTACTTTGTCTTTCACTGTCTCCCATTTCTGTTCCACCCTGCATAGGAGGTTGCTCAATCATTTTCCCCACAGTGTTCCCTTATGCCTGCTTTTTCTGCTCAGAAACCTTTGGTGGCTCCCATTCCACATGAGAAAGTTAACTTTAATCTGCTGTCTACCACTCCCCTCAGTAACTGTTTTGAAATTCTCCCCACCCCCACCTGTCAAGTTCCTACCCTTCAAGGATTGACTCATTTAAGACCTCTCTCCTCCATCTGTCTTCTGGCTACTCAAGTCCTCACTGACCATCCTTTCTCTAAGCACCTACTGCTTGCCTTTGGCATGTTTTACTGACCCACTTACATTCCTTATTTATGTGCAGGACTCAGTCCATCGTGCTGGAGTTGTAAGCCCTTTAACCACCAGCCCAGTCGCCCACATTCATTGTTTGTTGGTGAAGCCCAGCCCCAGCTGGCGACTGCAAATGTCAGCGAGCTGTACACACTCTTCTCTGTCCTTTCTCAGCCTTTTTCTCTCCTGAATCCATTTCTCCTGCCCCTTCAAGAAGCTGACACAACTCAACACAGAGGAATGGCTCCCTAGGAATTTAATTTCTCTTCTCCTAAAATGGATGCAGCACCATGTGCCAGTTGCCTCATTTTCAACCCTCCCATCAGGTGTTTGGGCTTTTCGGTTTCTTTTTTTTTAAGTGCATTCTAAGGAAGTGGGTGAGCTCCTATTTGCTTAGCAATATTAGAAAGCATGCCCTCTTCTTAATGTGGGTCAGATGCTAGGGCTTTAAGACTAGAATCATAAATATCTCTGTTGTTCTTTCTGTGTTCTTCTGCTTTGTCAGCCCACCAAGAACTGGGGGTAGATTAGCTACATTGTGGGCAATATCCAGGGTAAAGGATTCCATTTCAGACAACCTCCAGCCCTGCTCAGCCAGGGGAGCAGAGAGCAGGAATGCTGATGGGAAGGAATCCCAGTTGGTCACGTAGGGAATTACAAGTTGTCTGGGTTTAGGTATCAAAAGGGCCACAGACCACTTCATCACAGATAAGAGGTAGAGCCCTCAACCAGGGAATTTGGAATATTCTGCCTCTTTTCTTAGGCAGATTGATATTATGTCCCTTGCCAGGAATAACCTTCTTAAGATGTAGGGTCTGTCTGTGTATCCCCCATTCTCAGCTTAGTCCTAGGATAATGCTAAGAATATGGATCAATCTTGGCTTAAATAGACTGATGCTAATTTACTTGATAGCTGGATCATCCTTCTGTTGAAAAGCTCTATCTAGAAATTACCTCCTTCTAGTGGGGTGGTCCTTAAGCTTTAGGGAGCATCAAAATCATTCATAAGGATTGTTAAAACAGACTGCCAGGCCCACTCCCAGAGTTTCTGATTCAGTAGATCTGGGATGAGTTTTGTGGATTTGCATTTCTAAGGGGCTCCCAGGCGATGCTCATGCTGCTGGCTGGTGTGACCACGCGTTTAGAACCATAGCTGTAGCGGACTTCCTTGCTGGAGTCACTCCACTCTGGGGCTCCTTCCTTCACACATGCTTAGCACCTTGGAGTACTGTGAACCTGTGTCCTGGATATATTCTTAAGTTGTTTGGAAATATTCTCTCACTTCATATAGTATTGTTTGCTCCTAAAAGCAGTGAGTTCTTTTAGGGCAGGAATTTTTTTCTTCTGCTTCCCTGATCATTCCCACTTCCTCTCTGCAGGCTCAGAAGCTTTCTGAGGGATGCAGGAGGCCTGCAGTGTGGAGTGATGGCTAGGAGCACCAGGCTTCATGTCAGCCCTGGAGCTTATTAACTAGGTATCTCTGAGAGCTTCACTTGGAAAATGGGTTAATAAAACTAACTTTACCATGGTCTTAAGAATATATTATTAATCAAAATAAAGACAAGGTTCAGAGCAATGTGTATAATATGCTCCCATTTCTATTTTTAAAGACAGATATAAGCATAATCATGTCTATATATGCATGGGATGTCAGAAGGAAACAGGAAAAGCTGATAACAGTTGTTGCCTGGGAAAGCCAGGAGTACCAGGAGACCTAGTTTTTGTCGTATAACCTTTTAGACTGTTTAAATTATTTGCTCATGTATATATTCTTTTAGAATTTGAAAACTAGTTAATGAATAATAGTAATGCCTTTATCAGGGATGTTGTGAAGAGTAAATAAAATAATTTTATCTAAAGCCCTTAACACAGTGCCTGGCACAGAAAAAGCACTCTAAATGTTAGCTTTTGTTTTCAATATTAAATAATTGCTGAATTTATCCATTCATCTATTCATTTATGGATAAGCACATGAGATATCTGGCTCTCCTAAGCCAGCCATGCAGATATCAGCAAATCTTTTGTCAGCCGTCTTGCTATACTAGTTAGAGAGTAAAACTTGTTTGTAAACGTCATTCTTAGTGTTGACTGTAAACACATGTCTGTGTGTTACTGGATTCTGGTCCAGCAGAGCACAGAAGGGGCTAAGTTCCACTCCTTCATGGGTCCCCATCCGAGGGCTACTCCCCATGGGCCCGCCTTCACCAGCTGAAAACTTATTTGGGGCACAGGATGAGTGTGCATGGTCCCTTGGAATCTTGGTGCCACACAAGTGGCCATCTCATGCTGGAGGTGAAAGTTCAGAGCACCAGCAACTGGCCCTAATCAAATGCATGGAAACATCAGAAGCTCCACCCAGGCTTCTCAGAGCTGTGCAGGCCACCAAGCAAGTGAGCATCTGTGGGCTCAGAACAGTCAGTATTTCACGGGATACTTGTAGGAAGGAGCAGCAAGGTGTATCCTGTTTCTAAGAAAACAAACACTGGGCACGCAAACACCCAGGGTGCGAGACTCAGGCTGGCTGATGTGTTGGTTGCTACATCGCATGTCTTAATCTAATCCAGTTTTAATTGAGGCCTCATTCTCCACATTAGTCAATATGAGAGAAGATGGCATGGGATAACTCAGCTGTCTGCTTAGGGCATGGCTTTAAAGTCAGATATCTGGGTTGAAATCCTCTTTCTGCCATGTAATAGCTGTATGATCTTGGGCAAATTATGCAACTGTCCTGAGCTTTTGATCTCAGTAGGTATGATAAACCCAACCTCCTATAGTTGCAGAAAATATCAAATGAATTAGTATCTGCACAGAGTACTTGACACAGTAGCTGGCATATAGTAATGAATAAGTGTAGTTGCTATATTATTACCAAGCCAACAGTGGGAAGACAATATTTATACACAGTAGGCACTAAATAACATACAATTAACCATTGAAATAAATGGTGTTATAGACCTTTTTGAAAGCTTGACGGTGGCTATAAATCTTGTCCTTCGGAAAACAAAAAAAAGCAAAACATAAGCACACACACCAGATTTTGCATACAGTTTTAGGGCATTAGTGCACAACTCCCCATGCCCACCTTTTGCATTCATGACCCACCCTCAGGAATCCTTGAACCCATAAGATGTAAGCATGTAGCAGGAATTCATGAAGGGAATTAATTACTATAAACAAAATTAATTAGGGAGACAGACCGTCCTTGGAAGAGGTGATGTGAACTAGGGCCTACAAAAGGAGAATTTAAATAGGTCAAGAGAAGAAGACAGAGAATTGGAGTGGAGGCTCGCAGGTGAGACTTTAAACACAGCCCATGAAGCCAGGAAATGGGGTAACACTCCCCTGATACTATGACAGTATAGCAATAGAGGTTCTGCACCGGGCCTCTGGAATCAGCCTGCCTGGTCTCAAATCCCAACCAAGCAGCTTGCTAGCTGTTTGACACAAGACACATATTTAACCTCTCTGTGCCTCAGTTTCTTCGTTTGTAAAATGGGCATGAAAATAGAGCTTACCTCACAGGGCCATTTGAGGATTCAGTAGGATAATGTATTGACATTGATGGGCATATAGTAAGCTCTGTGTAGAAATTAGCTGCTTTATTATTAGGATTTTTATTATGGTGGCAAAAACATTAGAGAGGATCTTGAGTGTGAAGCCAAGCCCTTTGGACTTTTCCTGGGGGTTCCTGGGAAAGCCAGAGAGGACCAAACTGAAAGGGGTACTATATCTGAGCATAGTGGTCAGGGTAGATCAGATTGAAGAAGGATTAGGGGCAGGAGTGCTGTTACAAGGCTCAGGCGGTAGCCCTGACCTGAGCTGCAGAGAGCCAAGACTCAGGTAAAATAGAAGACAGGAGAATGGGGAAAGTTAAAATGGGTTGGGGGTGGGGGTGGGTTGTCAAAGTGGAGAATTTAAGATTTTCAGAGTCCAGAGTTTCAGGTCACACTGTCTAGTAAGGCAGCCACTATCATGTCCAAATTGAGATGTGCTGCAAGTATAGAATATTTATCAGGTCTCATAGGTTTAGTACAAAAAACATTTCAATAATATTTACAATGATTACATATCAGTTTTTTCATATTGGGCTAAATAAAATTAATTTCACTTTTTTTTTTAATATGGCTACTAAAGAATTTTAAATCACATACGTGGCTCACATTTTTATAGGACAAAGATGGTCTGAGGAGTTAGAAAGAGGGCAGAAGCAAAAGGAGGCCTCTGTGACCAGGACAGTGGTGGTCAGGTTGAGGGTAGACGGTGGTGTTTCATTGGGTTTTACCTGTGTTGTGTTTGAAGCAACTGTGGACCATTCAAGCTTAAAATTAAACAGGCTGTCATTTACACATTGGAATTCAGGTGAAGGGTCAGGGCTGCATGTGAAGTGGGTTGGTCATAGCTGAAGTCATAGGGTGGAGAGAGCATCATCTGCCTTTCCTGAGGACCAGTGCATGTCAGGCACGTGCTGAGCAACTCATATGTGCTCTCTCAGTTCATCCTGTAACAACTCTTTAAGGTAAGTACTATTGTTATTCCTTCCCATTTTACAAATGAGCGAATGAGGCCCAGAGAAGTACAGCAACTTAGCGTAATAAGTGATGAGCCGGGATTTGAATTTATCTGGCTATAAAAGCACATGTTCACTGTGCTAGAGTTCCAGCCCCTGAGAATACCTACTCAGGAGAAGGAGCGAGAGCTGTACCAAAGGAATATCACTGGACAGGGCAAGAACAGGAGAGTCTAGCATCACTGATGCCAGGGAGGAGATGCTTTTCAGAAAGCAATGGCTGTTAACAAAATCAGGCTTTTGTAGCAAAGAAGTATGTTAAATGGTAAGAAAAATTTCAGTCTGAAGAACACTTAATCCTGTAGGTTAAGGTAATTAAAAGAAGTTAGAATTTTTGCTTATTCAGAGCTTTGAAAACTTAAGCACAGAAAAAAAGTAGTGTCCTTTTTTTTTTTTTTTGACAGAGTCTCACTTTGTCGCCCAGGCTGGAGTGCAATGGTGCAATCTTGGGTCACTGCAACCTCTGCCTCCTGAGTTCAAGGGATTCTCCTGCCTCAGCCTCCCCAGTAGCTGGGACTATAGGCATGCACCACCACGCCCGGCTGATTTTTCCTTTTTTTAGTAGAGACAGGGTTTGGCCATATTGGGCAGGCTGGTCTCAACTCCTGACCTCAAGTGATCTGCCTGCCTCGGCCTCCCAAAGTGCTGGGATTACAGGCATGAGCCACCATACCCGGCCGAGTAGTGTCCTTTTAAATTGACATTTTTTAATCCCCAGGCAGGAATAAACATGGGGAGGATCAAGAGGCGGAGACTCTGATCATACCATAAGCCATTTCTTCAGAGGACCTATATCAGAATCATCTAGGAGGCCTTTGAATACAGATCTGTGGGCCCTTCTCCAGCCCTACTGAATCAGACTTTCTTAAACAAGTGCCCCAGGTGTTCTAGACACACAGTGAAGTGAGGAACTCGCTGCCCAGGCTCTGCAGCTCACTCTCCTCTGGATTTATTGCCGAGGATTGGCTCATTCTCATGGATCCTTGCCAACTTCTCTTGGGCACAGGAGAATCATCTTGTGTCTTTAGCAATATTCCTATGTAGAATCTGGGGCAGTTGTTCTTAGAAATAAGAACAATTGATTCTCCTTCGCTTGGGTCTTCTGTCAAAGCCACTTGCCTTCACGCTTCCTGCTGATTTGCTATGGGGATAACCTGTCTGAATAACAGCAACCCCTGAATGGAGGCCATGTCTTCTGTATTCAGTGCTTCTGGCTGATACTTGGCCTCTCCTTTCTCCCAGCCCCTTCCTTGTATTCTTGCTGTTCAGAGGCAGGCAACAAAGGGTGGTAAGTAAGACCATGATCTTGAGAGCCAGGTAGCCCTGAGTCTCTGCCATGTAAATCTGTGTGATCTTGGGCAAGAATTTTTTAACCTCTCTCTGCTTCATCTGTCAAACAGAAATAATAGGATTCATCTCTTAGAGTTGTTGACAGACTTAAATGCAATGCTGCATGGAATTTACTTACCTGGCACAGACTCAGCACTCAGTAAATGGTGGTAATTGTCAAAATTAATCATTATAACTTATTATCTTTATTATTATTATTCAGGGACATGTACCCTGGATGGCAGATAAAATCAACTAATGAAAGACACCAGATAGGGACCTCAAAAGGATTTCCAAATCTGAAAGCCTGCTGTTTTTACAGAATGAGCTCTGTTGAGGTTTTCAGAGAGAGGTGTTCTCATTCTTTCTCATTCTGCTGATTGTGAACCTATGTAAACTTCTCTTTGTAAAGCTCTAGACACTCTGTCTTCCCTACCCGAAACCACATTTCCCACCTCTCTGTGCAGCCCCTCCTCATCTCTCCCTCTCATTTGCCTTGCCTGTAAGCCAGCAACATGTTCTCTTTTGCTCTTTGCTCTCATAACTATGCCAGACCAGGGCAGCACTTGCAGCTGACCGCAGGTTCAAGCACCCTGGCCTCATAACCTGCAACTTTGGGGAGAAAGAGAAAGAATTTTATGTCTTAACTCCTTCCTCCCTTCAAGTTTTAGAGTTTGGGATGTCCAGCAATGATGGCATGGTAATAATCCAAATAATAGCTAATATTTATAAGTTATTTGCAGTTTACAAAGCAACAGATTTAACAATTGTGAATCAGCCAAGGTTCAGTCACAGCAAACAGAAGGTGATCTTGGCAAAGTTAGCAGAATGAGCTTCAATAAAGAGAATTAGGTGCTTGTACAATCATTGGAAGGGGCTGGAGGAGCAGGCCCACGATACAGTCCCTGGGAACAACTCCAAGACACCACTGCAGAACTGCCCACGGGTGCCCAGTGGGGAGTAGAGACTCAAGAGGCTGCTGCAGCCATGCAGCTTCTCAGTCCTGTGTTGCTAGTGACTGGACACTATGATGCCTCCACTTGCCCTAAGAGCAGCTTGCCCACCACCCTGCTTGTCAGCAGAAATAACCCAAGCATCAAGAAACTGGCCTCCTCACTTCTACCTGCCAGATCGCTCCTAAACGCATTGAATTGACAGAGACTGTGTCATCTGGAGCTCTAACATCAAGAAAACCTGAGTGTGATAGTGTGCTAGGAACGCCATAACAAACTGCCACAGACCAGGGGGCTTAAACAACAGAAATGAATTTTCTCACATTTCTGGAAGCTAGACGTCTGAGATCAAGACATTGGCAGGGTTGGCCGCTTCTGAGGCCTCACTCTTGGCATTTATTAGTAGATGGTCGAGGCCAGGCACAGTGGCTCACGCCTGTAATCCCAACACTTTGAGAGGGTGAGGCGGGTGGATCACGAGGTCAGGAGTTCAAGACCAGCCTGGCCAACATGGTGAAACCCCATCTCTACTAAAAATACAAAAATTAGCCAGGTGTGGTGGCGGGTGCCTGTAATCCCAGCTACTCGGGAGGCTAAGGCAGGAGAACCGCTTGAAATAGGTGGAGGCTGCAGTGAGCCGAGATCGCGCCACTGCACTCCAGCCTGGGCAACAAGAGTGAAACTCCATCTCAAAAACAAACAAACAAACAAAAGATGGCCGTTTTCTCCCTCTGCGTTCACATGGTCTTCTCTCTGTCCCCATCTATGTCCAAATTTCTCGTTCTCATAAGGATGCCAATCATTTTGGATTAATGACCTCATTTTAAATTGATTGCCTCCTTAAAGACCCTGTCTCCGAGTACAGTCATGTTCTGAATTACTGGGGGTAAGGATTTCAACATATAAATTTTGGGGGACACAATTCAGCCCATCCCACTGGAAGATGTAGTTTTCCACTTTCCAGCCCCGCAGTCCAGTGAGGCATGCTAGGAGGAGGGTAGAACTGCTGCCTGGCTCCAGTCCATTGAGGAATGCAAAGTGCTGGGTGTACTTCACACAGTGTGTAAGAGGATGCAGATACTAAACACTCGGAAACCAAGTATCCTTTGTGTTTATTACACTCACATACTTATTTTATCTGATGCTCTTTAACAGTTCTTTGAGATAGGAAAGTATTGTTATCCCCATTTTTCCAATGAGAAAGCTGAGGCTTAAATACGTTATCAGTCCTCTCCCAAGGCCTTAGATCTGGGAAGTGGCAGGACGGGAGTGAGCCCAGATGCCCCCGGCGAATCCCTGAATGTGTCCCTGGAACTAAATATCCAAGGCATAGTGTAAAGGCAGTGCCACAAGTTCAAATAGAGGGCCTGGCAGGTGTACCAGCAAATGCTTGAAGGGGCAGCTGCTGCTCAGATCCAGCCCAGTTTTATAGGATTTTCTGATTTTTCCAGAAGTCTTCCTTTTAAAAGGAAATCTCTCCATTTTTCAAACGTTGACATTCAATTTAAAGTTAAAACACACACACACAATGGAGTTAACACTGTATGGGGCCCAACCAAACACATCTGCAGCCTGGATTTAGCCTGCAGGCTTTGATATAAATAAGAACTGCTCATGAAAATAGAGGAACTATTCTTAAGAACCTAACTCTGCCTACTCAGTAAGGCCACATTAGATAGCTGTTGCTACCTGGTCACATTACCTTGAAATTCTTCTGTTGTTTCTGGAATCTTTTTCATTTCCCACCAAGCACATGTTTTTCATCTTGTTAGTGAGCCTAGGGGCCGGCATTTAGTAAACATTTGTATGTGCAAGGGAAGGTGCTTCTGTTTCTCCCCTGACAACCCTATGAGGTCTGCATTGTAGTCCCTCTTTTACAGAAGAAGAGGCAGATAAAGAGCTAGAGAAAGACATTGAAAGTTGAAGGCAAGACCAGAGAGTAAGTGGGAGCCAGTGGCTTTTTTTTTTCTTTTAACCTGCTCTTTTATTACAGCCACATGGGTGTGTTTGCTCATGAAAGTTGGCTTCACTCCAGTGATTCAATTACTGGCCAGGCCATAATGGCTTGTGATTCAGACCCTGGGGCTTCCTGGTGCCTTCCTCCCAGAGTGTGCTCTGTGACACTCTTTCCATCCCCACCCTGCTCTCCCTGCTTCAGGCCCCTCTTGACAAAGATGAAAATACCCATATTTCCCTAATGGACCATCATGTTCCTAGGAATTTCTAGGAACCTGAGAATTCAGATGAAACACAGCATTAAAACCAATGCGAAGTATTTGAATAGCTAAATACTACATGTGTTTATTCAAATCTGTTACCCATATGCAAAAATGAAAGCAAGGCTGCAGAAGTGATAGCCAGAGTGTTATCCGACTGGCAGTCTGCACAGGCATGCACAGGCCTTGGCCCTTCTGGGTGGGATAGAATACTTGGTGGCTCAAGATCTGCAGATGCTAACTTCAGTCCTTGTCTAGGAGCCGAAACTGTCTTGTTTAGCTTGCATGCATGAGAAGGGAGGTGTTACACAAACACAAGGCAATCAGCAAGCCCCCTACTTTAGGTCACCGCGTGTCAGTCACCCCTGATTAAGAACCACATAGTGGGCCAGGCGTGGTGGCTCATGCCTGTAATCCCAGCACTTTGGGAGGCCAAGGCAGGCGGATCACCAGAGGTCAGGAGTTCGAGACCAGCCTGGTCAACGTGGTAAAACCCTATCTCTACTAAAAATACAAAAATTAGCCAGGCTTGGTGGCAGGTGCCTGACTCCATCTCAAAAAAAGAGGGGAAAAAAAAAAAAAAGAACCACATGGTAGAGCATTCACTGATGCCCTGAGTGTTTATGAATCAAACTAATTGGAATTAATCCTTTCCTTGGCGCAGTGGGAAGGGTGGCTTCTAGAATGAAAAGGCTTACGAACTGGGTTAACTTTTTTTTTTTAAATGGGGGTCTCGCTCTGTTACCCAGGCTGGGGTGCAATGGTATGATCACAGCTCACTGCAGCCTCAACCTCCTGGGCTCAAGCGATTCTCCCACTTCAGCCTCCTGAGTAGCTGGGACTACAGATATGTGCCACCACTCCTGGCAATTATTTTTGTTATTATTTGTAGAGACTAGTTTTTACTATGTTCCCAGGCTGGTCTCAAACTCTTGGACTCAAGTGTTCCTCCCACCTTGGCCTCCCAAAGTGTTGGGATTGCAGGTGTGAGCCATCGTGCCCAGCCTGGGTTAACTTTTGAAGCAAGATTTTCTAACTTTGATTGCCTCATCTAATAAGAAACCTTTCAGGATTATAGTGAGGCTTCATGGAATAATGCATATGCAAGCAACATGTGTGCTCACAGGTTCCATACAAATATCAGGTATTGTTTGCCTTGGAAGCTATTCTTGGTGTAAGAATAAAGCAAGCTTTTTATCTACCTAGTAGAAAAAACAGCCAGACATCCTCACCACTGAGGGAAGACCAAAGAAAACCCTCCAAAGGCACAGAGATATTTGGAGATATTTGTTTCCCCAGGCTTTCTATCTTGTTGTGCACAGCCCAGCTGTTGAGGAGCTGCAGAGCAGCTGCAAGTCGGAAGGAAGTCCTTAGCTAGAACTCCAGCTCCTGTAAACACCTCTGCCTCTCAGGGATCACACAGTGGCCCTCTTTGTGCAGCCATGTGGCAACTCAGCAAACCAGAGGCTCCTTAACTTGAAACGGTCTAATTTTGATCTGCTTTCTCCATAGGAAGAATGTTATGATCAGAAATTATCTTCCTTTCCAGTGGCCCAGTGTACAGCTTTTTCTAAGAATGACCATGAAGGAGTTCAGGAAATGCCACCCAAAATATAACACTTTGGTGTGCTGATTACTTTGAACTGAGGACACTTGGGGAACAGCAGATGTAGGCAGAGGCATTCTCTGAGCTCCCCTTATCGGCCTAAAGACAGATCCTCCAAAAGGAACTTAGTTGTCACAAATATTCTCCCAGAAATCTTATCAACTGGGAAAGATTAACTCGGATCCCAAGAGGGGAGACTGGAGGTGATACCACACCCAGACAGACTGTCACCTCTTCTTCCGAGGGCTGCTGTGAAACAACTTGTATTAACTGAGAATTTCTGTGTGCATGAGAAAACCACCTTTATTCACCATTTATCTCTTCCCCTTACCTCCCATAACTCGTTGCCACCACCCCCCCGAGAAACCCTGAACTCCCATTCTTTTCTGTAGCTCAGGATCCTATGTGAGCTTTCATCATCTGACCACTTTGAGTCTCATATTTGTGGCACTCCCGTGTGTACATACATAATTAAATACAGTTTTCCTCCTGTCAACCTGTTTATATGTCAGGTTAATTTGTAGCCCAGCCATAGAACTGAGAAAGGTAGAGGGAAGTCATTTTTCATTCCCCTGCAATCACAGTTACCCCCATTTAATCGACTTCCCAAAGCAATTGCTATACAATATTCATAGAAAGTTGTTTGTGTTTAATAAATCTATGAAGGTGTAAAAATTACCTATCTCCTAAACTTTAATTTGTATTCTGGGTGAGGCTATCCATGTTTGTACCAGCAGATGAGAAGGGACTTTCAGAAGAGAAATTGAGTTAGGAGCCTGAGAGGGGTAGCAGAGCAGGAGAAGGGGCTAGGCTATGCCTGAAGCAGAAGGGGTTGTCTAATGGCTTGTTTAACGTTTTCTCTGTGAGGGCAGGAGCTGTGTGCCTGTCCTACCCATTTATTCTCAACATATTGTACTTAGTAGCAGTAGTACTCAATTAAAAATGTGTTGCATGGACTTTGTCGAGCCTGGGACCAGCAGGAATACCCCATTGGAAGGGAGCAGGGAGCCTCTGAGTAACGAGGTTGGAGAAAGCCCTCTGAAGAAGCAGGTCTGAACGCAGATATCAGAATGAGGGAAAGCTGCAAGAAGCCTGAGCTGGCAAGTGTGAATCATGAATTGCTGGCTGTTTTTAGTCTTGACTATAATATAGTCAGGAAGTAAGAAAGACCTTCATGTACTAAATGCTGAGTGTCTCGCCAACTTTAGAGGGACCTACCCGAGCATTTTATAAATATTAATAGAGTCTGACTGTAGACTGCTTGCCAATGGCCATGCCGGGTGGGAGCAATTACTGGTCCAGTCCTGATATGTGTGAACTGTTCTGCAGTTACTGGAAAACTTGCTCAGGCCTTGGAAACTTTATGCCCTGGAGATTGGGAAGAAGAGAATGCTTGACCTTATCCTCATGCAAAGGGAACATTTAGAAAGTCCTTAGGGTGCAACATAGAAACCACAGGTCACTGAGAAAGGGTGTCATGTTCGCATTCTGGGGGCCTCAGAACCAGCGCCAGTTGGAAGGGGAGCCCAGTTTTACTTGCTGCAGGGAACTATATATATATATAACTATATATATAACTATATATATATAACTATATATATAACTATATATATATAACTATATATATAACTATATATATATAACTATATATATATAACTATATATATATAACTATATATATAACTATATATATAACTATATATATAACTATATATATAACTATATATATATAACTATATATATAACTATATATATATAACTATATATATAACTATATATATATAACTATATATATAACTATATATATAACTATATATATAACTATATATATATAACTATATATATAACTATATATATAACTATATATATATAACTATATATATAACTATATATATAACTATATAAAAATATATATATAACTATATATATAAATATATATATAACTATATATATATAAATATATATACAAATATATATATATTTATATATATATATATCTGCAACTTGCTGTGAGTCAGAGCACTGCACACTGTTCAGGGTGAGGTTGCCTACTTCCTCAGTTGCATTTCAGAGGCTCTGTTAGTAAGTGCTGGTCTGGGAGCACAGAAAGGGATTGGGCCAGGCCACTCGGTGTGAGCAGAATCAGAGAGACCCTAGGCCTCTCTTTTGGGTGGGGCAGGGATGACTGAGGAATCCGAGGAAGAGGTAGCTACTCTGGGAATGTGTTGAAATGAGCTTGTCCAAGGCTTAGCACAAGGCAAGCCCACCCTGCCCTGCCACATGCTTCATCCTCCTAGTTTTCTGTACTGCTAGAGCTTCCTTATTCCTAGGGAAATCCTCTGATGGCTGTCACTAGTCTTTGCATTGGGCTCTGACACTAGTGGCACAAATTGCCCAGGGACTCTAAAAAGGGCTGGTGCCGATAGCCCCACCCATACCCGCTCAATCAAAACCCTTGAGGCTCATTGACCACTTGTTGGGGAGGTGCAGAACAAACAGGTAAACAGGGAACTGCAATTCACTGTGCAGTATGTGACCCCCAAGGATAAAAATACTAGCAGCTGCAGTTCATGGAATGCCTTGGTCCTATGCAAAACACTTGATGTGCAACGGTAAATTGAATCCCCCCAAAAAATCCTTTGGAATGTGAAGGTTGCTTATTAGGCTGATTTCAAAATTTTGCACACAGTTAAAAGCACAATTTTATTTGTGCATTTGACCCAAAACTTCCTCTGACCACAGAGGCTACAAGCCCTACCCAAGTCGTAGAACTCGGCCTTTGGGAATATTCTAAGTCTGGTAGAACTCAGTGTGGAGCACCGTGGTGCCCACGTGATGGATGCCCTGGAGTCTGGGTTGCTAGTGTTTTTTTGCAGCTTTGTCTGGTCTCGGCCTTTATGGCAGAATTACATTATTCAGCTGTAGCCTCTCCAAAAGGTTGAGTCAGCCTGGGTTTGCTGCTGGCGCCACGGAGCCCTAAGACTTTGCTGAGCCCTCACATAGCGCCGGGGAGGCACACCTACTGTCCACCTGCTCCCATGAGTCATAAAACTGCCACACTGCTACCAGGCCTGCCAGCCCTGCGTTTTCCTTCAGTTGCCACCCTGATGAGAATGAACTTAGCCATATAGGTCAGGGCACCAGGCAACACTTTTCCCCCAGCCTGCCTTCCTCTTGAAATGTGCTATTGGACAACCAGTTTGTAAAGCAAGGGCCAGGATGTTTCTGTTTCCATTGCTTTACACCAGGTGGCTAAGGAGAGAGGGCAGCAGGGCAGCCTAGAGGCCAACAGCTCAGGCTAGAGAGGAGAATCAATCCACGAACATATGATGGAGTAATAGGATTAGCAAGTGCCCAGACCATCACGATGAGACCAGGGAGAGGTCAAAGGAGGGAATAATAACGTTTTATTAATTATTTCAGACTGTAGGCTACTCATATATCCCACCTGACATTTACAGTGGATCTATCACGGAGAGTCTCCACTGAAAGTTTTCACTCTTTCATGAATAAAGACTTCCTTATGTGCCTAACACTTTCAAAACGATTCCACATCATGATAGTGTCTAAAAATAAGCACCCTTTATTCAAAGTTCTCTAGAGGAGCTCTCTTCTC
This sequence comes from Homo sapiens, assembly GCF_000001405.40. Lineage (NCBI taxonomy): Eukaryota > Metazoa > Chordata > Mammalia > Primates > Hominidae > Homo > Homo sapiens. The sequence goes on along the minus strand of NC_000001.11, from coordinate 67,708,192 downwards.
ATTTTCTGTTGCCAAGTCTTTGATCAGCCTAATAGTTGGGGGCAAGAGCCCAAAAGAAATGAAATCAAACCTTCTGTGAAAGTAGGTAGCAGTAATATTAAACTGACATGTAATATGCCTCCCATAGCAAATGCTCACTTTTGCCACAGGTCCCCTAAGTGCTACAAGTGTTTGCGTATTTGTTTCCTCTTAGGAAATCCTAGAAAAGTCTAGTTTTGTGTTATATGTTGGGGTGCATCGATTAAACTGCTAGTGCTGGGTTTCTGCAAACTAAAGATTTATGTAGGTGCTCAAATGGATGACAAACTTAGATACCTAGGTCACCACTCGAATTTCTAAGGGGTGTTTTAGTAACTGCCTCCAAGAAGCTGTGATGACTAGGAAAATCCATCTATTTCCCTTTAAGTAGAACATATTATTATGAATGTTTAAATAACTTAAAGATGCCTGTTACTTGTCTTTAAAAAAAATTCTCCTCAGATTTCAGGTAAAAACAATAATTGAAGATGTCCAGCAAAACAGCAAGCACCAACAATATAGCCCAGGCAAGGAGAACTGTGCAGCAGTTAAGATTAGAAGCCTCCATTGAAAGAATAAAGGTAAGAAGCCCCGACTGGATAACATATGCTTTCTGCTCAGTTCCCCCTGTTCCTTGTGGCTGGACCACTTGTCAGAGAAGATAATACCATTTCATTCCGCTTGCTTCCAGGATTTTTCCAGAACAGGCTGAGAGTCTCAAAATCCTAACTTTCATTTTCCTATATAGCATGGGCCTCACTTCAAAAGTGTCTGCATTAGCCTCTCTGTTTGTAAAACTCTGGACAGGATTTCCTAAGGACCTGTCTCCCCTGAATGAACATGGTCAAGTCCGTTGATCCCTGTGTTCTAAAGTGGGACAGGGGTTCCAAGTAGACTTCATAAACACCCTAGTCATTCCTTTGGAATTTAAGTGTTCTAGAATTATCAGTGCAGCTGAGGCAGCTTCACGTAAGAAGTCAGCAGTCTAGGTTTCCTTTTTAGGGAAATGAAGCTTTTAAATGTGTTTGGCCCTCAGTGACCACTTTCTGTGCCCAGAGTAATAATGCGAGCTTTAGTTGAGATCCCATAGAGAAACTGGAATGCATTTCTTAGATCACCTGACTTCGAAGTCTTTTCCCCTAAATCCCAAGAGAGAACTAGGCAGTGAGTGCCCTGGAATGTTATGACTAGTTCTTCCTTGAAACTGAAGCAGTTGGCCAGGCGCGGTGGCTCACGCCTGTAATCCCAGCACTTTGGGAGGCCGAGGCGGGCAGATCACCTGAGGTTGGGAATTCGAGACCAGCCTGACCAACATGGAGAAACCCCTGTCTCTACTAAAAATACAAAATTAGCCAGGCACGGTGGCGTGCGCACGCCTATAATCCCAGCTACTCGGAAGGCTGAGGCAGGAGAATTGCTTGAATCTAGGAGGCAGAGGTTGCAGTGAACCAAGATCGCGCCATTGCACTCCAGCCTGGGCAACAAGAACAAAACTTCATCTCAAAAAAAAAAAAAAAAGAAAGAAAAGAAAAAAGAAACTGAAGCAATCACTTGATCCATTCCTCTGGGCCTGGAGATAGTCACCTGTCTTCCCAGCATGAGGCTATCTGGGCTGTGCTAGACAGGGCTCAGCTGCCCCATTGCTCTTTGCTTAGGGCAAAGAGATCCTATTCTGTAGGATCTCCCTCCCAGACTTCTGAAACAGGGCATGATATTTTCCGTGTTTAATTCATGCGGGAGTAAGGTACTGCCTCTTCCCATGCTGGTTTCGTCTCTCTTTTTACTTCCGCAAGCCCAATCTCTAACAGTAAATCCTGAAGCTCCACAACTTGGCTCCAGAGTTTTGGCTCCGAGCCCATCGTTCAGTTCTTAAAGTGTGTTCTGCATTCCAATCTGTTTTTTTCTGGGTAGAATTTAAGATACAACCTTCCCTTGATTCACATATGCTTTTTCTCACCTGGCCCCTAACTTTTTATTTTGAGACATTTCAAACCTGCTGAAGAGTTGTAACAACAAACATTTATAAACCGTTTACCAGGATTCACCAGTTTTTAACATTTGACCACATGTACTTGCTTGCACTGTCTCTCTCCCTCCTTCTGTCTGTACACACATACACACAAAACATATATAATGTCTTCTTTAAACCCTTGAAAGTTATTTGCAGTTCAGGATTATCTAATAAGAATACCTCACACACAGTCCATTTTTGAAGAATCCAGGCCACTTATTTTGCAGAATCACCCTCACTTCGGGTGTGATCGTTCGCTGATTGGACTCCAGTTCAATGTTGGACAGGAATGCTAGCTCATTAGCTGGCGGTGTGTCCTCAGCACTCCCATGAAGGGATACATGGTGCCAGTTTGTCTGACCATTGTTAAGTTGCTTGGTTAAGAAAGACCTTACCTGCCAAATTGCACCATTTTAAAGGTACCATTTCCTTTTTATACCTGACAAGAATCTGAGAGTGATGCTTTGAGACTCTGATTATCTTGTTCAAATCAGTCTTCCATTCAATAGCCTAGCATTCAAATACGCTCTGAAAGTGTGCAAGTAAAATATTTTCTTTCTTGTTTGTTTGATTTATCTCCATGTCAGGTTTCGAAGGCATCAGCGGACCTCATGTCCTACTGTGAGGAACATGCCAGGAGTGACCCTTTGCTGATAGGAATACCAACTTCAGAAAACCCTTTCAAGGATAAAAAAACTTGCATCATCTTATAGTGGAATAGAGAAACAGCTCCTCGCCTCTTCCCAACAACGCAAATTATGAGCAGCTCCTTGAAGAGATTTACCTTCAGCTTATTTGGTAACCACTGCTAATAACTAAAATGTTCTCAGCTTGGAATAATGGACTCTGAAGTCTCTATTTTCCAAGTTGTCCTTTCTCTTAAAATACCCTTTACTGATTTAATACAGAATAACAATCTTATTTTCCACTTGGTAACTATGGCTTTATGTTGGGTTACTGTTTAAGGAAAGTTGATCTGGGCCTTTTTAAAAACATAATTATATACTTTAGAAATACAAGGGATTCCGATATGTCAGGACCTAAATGGCCTAAGCACCTGTCAAATTAAAATTCCAAAATTCATTGAAATCCTAAAGCCTTGATATTATATTCTTTATAAGGCGTGTGCCAGCCTGTATAGTATATAAGAGAGAGGGGTGTTTGTGTGTATATATATATGCCTTTGTGTATACACTTATCAAAGCTATTTTCTTATGAAAACGTCCCTCTCTCCATACCATCAGTTTCTCAGTTCCAGAAGTTATACCTTTATTTTGAGCTGTGTATAGGTAGAATAAAAAATTCCTTTCATATCGTTATTGTACAAAAAGTAAAGAGTATCCTAAAGATTGTATTCATTGTAATCAAGTAATGCAATCATCTCTCCTCTCTTGAAATCTTGCTGGACCTCTTAGGCTACAATAAACTGTACCAAACTAAACTGACAGTCCTTCGATAATATGAAACATTAATTTACAAGGACCCGTTAGGGCTTCAATGATGCTGAGTCTGGAAAAGGGGAGGAGACCCTTGGGAGGACTCCAGGCAGCTGTGCTCCCAGGGCTCATGTTCTCTACTGGATTAGGGATAGGCACCTCTGAAATCTCCACCCTGATGATTGGAATGAAACGGAGTGAACATGAGCCCAGCTGAGAGAGGAGCAGGAATGTGTGAAAAACAGCTGCTCTCCTTGTCCCAGCTTTGTGATTGAGCCCTCTGTCTTGCTCTCTCTGCCTTCCCTGTGTCTTTCTTCTCTTACCAGAGCATCTGTTTGCAGAGGTAACATTACCTTCCCCAGCCACAGGTATGTGGAATACGGTGAGGAAAAAAAAAATTAAAAAAAAAATGCAAGCTGTCAGGATGCTTAAGCTCTTTTCAGACATCTGCAGTTTCATCCCTACCTTGTTCACATACCATCCAAGAGGCACATAGGCTACCCAAGAGAGCCTTGGATTCAGTGGTACACTCCTTGGGCCCAAGGGCTTTAGCAGCTGGATATGGGGTTCCTTGATTTTCCTCTGGGCCCAAATATAGCCCTCACACTCTTGGAATTTCCAGGTATGGGGGTAGCCCCAAAAGGAGGAATCTCCTATGGCCAATAAGGTATCTTGACTTTATCAAAGTAGAAGAGAGGGTCACTTCGGAGTCAAATCATACACTAGGCCTTTGATGCTTTAATTCTTCTTCAGTTCATTAAAAGTAACTACTAAGGAAAGGTTAAAAACTTCCCCTCAAAAAGGAATCAACCCCAGGAAGTAATTATTTACAACGATTTTCCCAAATTTTGTACAATCTGTCCTGGAAAGCAAACCCCTTTTAAAATCTAATGTCTGGGCTTTGAGTATTAGCTCATTTAGGGTGGACAAATGCATTACTGTTTTCAAACTGCTCACATTTATTCAGTATTTCTCCAAGTTGCTATCTACTCAGCCTTATGAATGCCCCTCGCTTTTCTAAGGCCATGTGAAAATCACGGCACTGCCCTTAGCCTTGTGTCATCTGCTTTTTCGTTCTGCGATATGCCCAGTTCCCAAATCAATTATAGGTACCTGTTTAGGAGAGAGGAAGATTTTACCTCTCAAAGGGTGAGATTTGAAATTTACACTAAAAAGACAACTTTACATTTAATGCTTCACTTAATGAGACATTCTTTTTTTTATAAGTCTATTTTTCTACTCAGTTTCAGAACACTAATCTGATTTTCACTCTGATTTTTAACGTTTCTTTAAATATTTATAATGTAGCTTCTTTCAAAATATTTTCATGAAAAATTACTTTTATTATACCATTATGTGCATGTTATTGGTAGCAGGCATAGTTTATTATTTAGTACTGAAACATGCTCTTTTACCTAACAGTAAACAAGTATGTTTTGATATATATCTGTTAATATGCTTATAGTGGTAAGAAATGGACTTGAGGTCCCAGGAGATTTCATTTTATTCACCCTGGTCAGATACAATAAAGGCTATGAGTATAAATACATAACTTCCTAACCAGGTGTAGGGCATGTTCATGAATATCAAATCTTTTGATGCTGGACCCAAGAGAGGAAAAGTTGTAGCTAAATGTTGATTTACTTATAACTAGACGTCTATGTGAGAAAATATATGTATACATATATATGATATGCAGAAGTCACTTTTTTTATCAGGCTTTATTCTCCTTACAAAGCCACAGTTTAACTGTCTGCAACAGTTGGTTTATGTTAATGATAGACAAATACCCAGTGTTTGTTACTTTTTCCAACTACCACTGTAATGATAATCTTTCTCACGTATATACATGCAACTTCTTGGCTTCATTTCCATGAAGCTGTTTCAATATATTCAGTATACTTTGTCCTTAATGCTGCTTCTGTTAACAGTGATCTCTTTCTTTTTTTCATTCTTATATCTTCATTAGTTCATCATAAATCTGTCCAGTTGAGGCCTCAGGACCACGGCATGATTTCATGACTCCGAAGTATTTTACAGAAACATTTTTTAAATAAGGGAAATATTTTATATACCAGATGGTTCACAAGTGATGGCTCATAGCTAGTTTTTTTTTTTCTTCTAAAAAATGTCAGGTTTTTAAAATCATTTACCTTATTAAAATGAAAAGTGCCATACTTAACTTTTAAAGGAAAGACCTGACTTGCTTTTTCTCTATTTAGACTGTTTTTGTACTTTACTAATCTTTAAACTATCAGGAAAAAAACCAAAACTTTATACCAATGATTTAGTAATTTTGAGGCATAGGGTAGCTTACGTAGTGGAGGATGTGCCAAATATTCTCTTCAAATGCCACCTTCTCAATTTATAACTAAAATAGTGTTATCTGACTAATTCCTCTGAATTTTGATGTAAGATCTATATAGGCCCCCAAAATGATCGTAGTACATGCCAGTCATTTCTCAGTGAAATAAATACAATACCAGAGTACATTATGGGTTTTATTGCTTTCTTTTATGGTAGACCTGTTAATGGGGAAAAAATACATCAAATCAAATAGAATCTTATATCTGTATGTTAAAATAGAGCACTTACCTGAAGTCAGTGGCCTGGATCATAGCCCTGGATCATTTCCCAGTCTGTCCTGTGCTGTGTGACCTTGGACAAGGCGCTTCATCTCTCTGGGCCTCTATTTCTCCATTTGTAAAACAAGTGGCTGCAGTAGATGATGGCTGAGAGCCCTTCCTGTTCCCAGATGCCTTGGTCCAAAGACCCCACCCCTCTGCTGGTCCTGCCAACGTGTTGGTGCTATAAGCTGCTTCAGATATAAAATTGGTTTATCTATAATGTTTGTTCATTTAATAGCTTCTAAAAGGCCTTTTTGTTATACAGTGCTTTTTTTCTAGTTTTATGGACTTGGTTACTGTAATAATGTCTTGTTTTTAGCCATGTAACTACAAACAGATATTCTCTTGATGTCTTAGTAAATTTGCATTTGATATATCATTGATGAGATTTTGTTGTTATGTAATATTCTTTGGCTACGCATCTGTCCAGCATCTTATTAACCATAATACTGTGATCATTATTTGGAAATATGTCCTATGGAAAGAATAAAAGCATGTACTTCACAGCTAGCATGTTCACAGATTTGAAAGAAGTTTCATTAAAAGCACCATTGCTTTCTGTACTGCGTCAGTGCCTCATTGTATCATCCTACTTGTGTTTTGCTCAATAAATGAATAAAAGACCATTTCTCTTCCCCTTTCCCTTCCTTCACTCAGTTAACATTTTCTGAGCACCTCCTGAGAGCAAGCTGCTGAGAGTCAGGCTCCCATGACACCCAAATGAATAAGACTTACACCAGCCCATGTCACAGTCTGAGCAAGGAGGATGGGAATGACAGATATGTAAACTAATCATCGTAGTATCATGTGGCAAGTGCTATAACTCAGGTGAACACAGAGTGCTGTGAGAGCCCAGAGGAAAGAGGGACTAGCTCCACATCAACAAAGACCTCTAAAAAGGCTTCCAAGGGTGGTGATGTTTGGGCTGAGTGAGAGAAGAACAGTATGCGTTGGAATGAGGTCCTGGGAGGAGATGAGAGGAGGAGAAAAGAGGACTGGAAGCCAGTGTGCAGAAGACCCCCGATCCCGCCCTCCTATCCTGCTTGCCTATCCTGAAACCAACAGGGGAGCTAGAGAGGCTGCTGAGGAGTGACGTAATGACTCTGACCTGTGGAGGGCTGTTTCCCATCCTGAGACTAGCTGAGGTAGTGGAAACTGATAACAAATGGAAAGGTCATTAGATGGTGGTGACTCATATTCACTATGTGTTTGCTGAAGGTGCCCTGCCTCCTCTTCTGCCCCTTCCCCCAGGGCTGGGATTCCCACAGAGATGAGGGGAGGGCAAAATCATCAAAGAACAAGGGCGGGAGGCAGCCAACAAGCCCCAGGCTATGAACCGGACACGCTGCAGAGATGGCCCCTGCTTCTGAGAGCCAGCACTCCACACTTACAAAAGGTAGGGGCAAAAGACAGTCCCTGGGCCCTTTCTAGTAAAAGACTGAAGGATTTAGATACATCGGTTTTGAAAAAGAGGCAACAACTAACAAGCACTTTTTACTGCTTCTGACCAAATTACAAAGTTCTTGTAACTCTCAGTGGAGGAGAGTTGGGGATGATGGATGGGATTGGGTAGGGGTGAGTTTTTAAAAGATGGGGGAAGGGAAGGTAATGAAGCTGGAAGAGGCAGATGAGATGTATACTTAGCCTTAACATGGACAAGAAACCCAGGCCTGCGGGTAGTGATTGGAACTCAGTGTGGAGATGCATGTCATGGGGCTTTCCACCTCTTCTGGATATGTGCCATGATCAGTTTTTCCCTGGCACGAGGGTCAGTTACACATAAACACATGGATATTCCCTCTAAACCTTTTTATTTGGGGCTCTATAATCCTTGTTTGGGGCTAGGCGACCGTCTTTTGAGTATTTGTCCCTCATTCCCTATGCCAGGATTATAATCTGTTGGCTTAAAACTCTGACCATGGCCGGGCGCGGTGGCTCATGCCTGTAATCCCAGCACTTTGGGAGGCCAAGACGGGCGGATCACGAGGTCAGGAGATCAAGACCATCCTGGCTAACACGGTGAAACCCCATCTCTACTAAAAATACAAAAAATTAGCCAGCCTGGTGGCGGGCGCGCCTGTAGTCCCAGTTACTCGGGAGGCTGAGGCAGGAGAATGGCATGAACCCGGGAGGCGGAGCTTGCAGTGAGCCGAGATCGCGCCACTGCACTCCAGCCTGGGCGACAGAGTGAGACTCCGTCTCAAAAAAAAAAAAAAAAAAAAAAAAAACCTCTGACCATCTTTGTGGAGCCTGGTCCCACCGTCAGTTCTAGCTGTCTTTGCACAGCCTGGCATGGCTAGGGCCTTGTGCTTGTTTTCAGAGCGTGACCATATTTGCTACTGTACCCCTTTACCACTGTGAGTAGCAAATAACTTTTGCCTTCAGATGAGCCCTCTGTTACCCTAATTACTTTCTCTTTATCTGAGTCATTTAAATCCATGAAGGTCGTTTAACTTTAGGCCAGCCCTGGGCGACGTGCAGTTAGTCAAAGGAACCCTCACCTCAATTGCCCATTTTTTTCAAAAACTTTTTCTGCCCTGGAGGAAAATGCAGTCCAAGTAAATTTATGCTAATGTGCAAATGAATTAATATATTGGCCTGTGGAGGACCACTGGCACTGTCAAATACAACTCTGGAGAGAGTGATACTTAGCACAAAGAAATGGAAGTTCATAGTAAAGTTTAGGCATCACTGAGAATTAATTGTACATATGAAGCATTCCTATACCCTTTAAATCCTCCTAGACAATCTATTGAATGATGAAAGCACTTAACTGAAATGGTTGACATCCATAATGGAAGATGCCAGGTTTGTAAGTCCAAGAGATTTGCAGCTGAGACATCTATGTGCACAATGATACTTTTTATTTTTATTTATTTATTTATTTATTTATTTATTTATTTATTTATTTATTTTTGAGACCGAGTCTCCCTCTGTCGCCCAAGCTGGAATGCAGTGGTGTGATCTCGGCTCACTGCAACCTCCCCCTCCCAAATTCAAGCAATTCTCCTGCCTCAGCCTCCTAAGTAGCTGGGATTACAGGCATGTGCCACCACGCCCGGCTAATTTTTTTGTATTTTTAGTAGAGACAGGGTTTCGCCATGTTAGTGAGACTGGTCTCAATCCCTTAACCTCAGGATATCCACCCACCTTGGCCTCCCAAAGTGCTGGGATTACAGGTGTGAGTCACTGCCCCGGCCCCACGTTACTACTTGTGATCTCTAGAGCCAACCACCTCCCACCCCTCCACACATACACCCTGCTTAGTGATAGGAGGGCATTATCCGCTAAATGACCTTAAATATGGTCCTAACAGAAGACATTCGCCAACTATGTGACATCACAAGGGCACTATGGATCCATAAATTTGTGTACTAGGGCAAGCCTAAAGCAGTCACTCCCTGAACAAATGTGGGCAGTGCTACCTCCTCTAAGCCAGGCACTGACGGACTTGTTCATTAATGTCCCCGACCTTAAGTAAAGGTTGGCATGTGAGATTTAGGTAATACACATGTTAATTTTTTAACATTTTACTAATTGTGTAGTTTTATATGTATTAGGAAAACCAGAACTAGCACAAGTTGTGATAGAAAGTTTCCTTCTAAAATAGATTTAAATAAAAAGTAAGCCAATTTGTATTTTTTAAAATATAAGTATGTAATAGCACGCCTTTGACTTGGATATGGAAAAAATTGTCATGAAGCCCTACAATACAAGCAAGTAAAAAGACAAGCATCCCCTTTGGGAATCAGCTCCAAGAATCACCCATGTAGGCCGGGCACGGTGGCTCATGCCTGTAATCCCAGCACTCTGGGAGGCCGAGGTGAGCGGATCACGAGGTCAGCAGATCAAGACCATCCTGGCTAACACGGTGAAACCCCATCTCTATTAAAAAATACAGAAAATTAGCCGGGCGTGGTGGCGGGCACCTGTAGTCCCAGCTACTCGGGAGGGTGAGGCAGGAGAATGGCGCGAACCTGGAGGCGGGGCTTGCAGTGAGCCGAGATTGCACCACTGCACTCCAGCCTGGCGACGGAGTGAGACTCTGTCTCAAGAAAAAAAAAAAATCACCCATGTAAAGCAGACAGGTTCACATTTCTACTTTTAACCTTGAAAAATTTTCCCATGGCCAATGCACTAGAAGTGCTTTGTTCTAAATAAACATTTTAGATCCGACCTTGGTGAGGTATGTACGTTTCAACACTGGCCATGCAACATCTGTCAACATTTGTAGACATCTGTGCAAGGCAATGAGGAACACTGAACTCCAGACACTAGGCTGGGCATTGTGCATGTGTTCTCCCATTGAAGCCTCAAAACAACTCTTTAAAGGAAAGTAGATGTGATTTAACCCCATCTTACAGATGAGGAAACTGAGGCTCAGAGAAGTTAAGAAAATTGTGCTAGATCCAACAACATAAAAGGGTGGGTCCTAAGAACATACACCCAGGCAGATTGTACAGCCCATGGACTATCTTAATATTTGTAGTATGGTTTGAATAAGGGAAAACAAACAAACAGTAACTTTGGTAATTGTTAGATTAAGTAAAAGGTAAGGTAAACAAGTAAGTCCTTTACTAATCATGAGTGTAATACCCTGGGCCTTAAGAATAAACAGTGCTATATTTCAGGCATTTACTATGACTAGGTACTGTTCTTAGCATTTTGCATCTGTTTATTTTTTTTTTGGTGGGGGTGTGGTGGTTGTTTTTTGTTTTTGTTTTTGTTTTGAGACAGAGTCTTGCTCTGTTGCCCAGCCTGGAGTGCAGTGGTAAGATCTGGGCTCACTGCAACCTCCGCATCCTAGGTTCAAGAGATTCTTCTCCCTCAGCCCCCCAAGTAGCTAGGATTACAGGCATGCACCACCATGCCCAGCTAATTTTTGTATTTTTTGTAGAGACAGGGTTTCACCATGTTGGCCAGGCTGGTCTCGAATTCCTGACCTCAGGTGATCCACCCGCCTTGGTCTCCCAAAGTGCTGGGATTACAGGCATGAGCCACCGCACCTGGCCTGCATCTGTTAATTCATTTAATTCTCACAACAAATCCAGGAAACAGCTACTCCTATTATTCCTACTTTACATATGAGGAAATAGAAGCCTGGAGAGATCCAAAAGTATATTGGATATGCTTTCAGAAAACCATTTTTCAGGGTAGCCAGTGTGACGTAAGAGAAAGAATACGTATCTTGGAATCAGGAAATGCATGTTCTGGACTGATTACTACTCATTTACTGTGCAACCTTAGGACACTTATGATCTCTGATTCTACTTCCCCATTCACTTTTAAAAAAAAGATTTAGGCTAGGTAATTTTTAACATTTCCTCTAGCTTTAAATTGTATATAAATCTGTAAATCTGAGAGGAGATCAACCCTCTTGCCATCTCCACCCCAAGTCATTGTACATTTTCCTCCTTGAATTGAAAATCAGGAGAAGAACCAAAGTCTAGCGTATGGAGCCAGAGGAGGGCACGTGGGTTTGTTGTGTATAATTATAGGTATTTAAAAGATATTTAAAGAATCACCTCCTGATACTTCAGCTACTGGCTCATCAACAGGTCTATAAAGAATTTTAAGGAAAAATGAATTATAGAAAAGCATTTTGAATATTGACAGCCTACCACTAATAGAATTAAGGAGCAAAGTTCTTTAACAAACTTAAAGTGTCAGTAGCACCTTATGAGTTCATAAAACATAACTACAAAAAGAAAAATAGCCCACTCAAACATTAAATATGAATGACAGTGCGTTTGGTTTATAGAAACAGAACAAAGAGAAATTTATTTATTTGTTGAGCTCCTACTAGCACTGTGGTAGGTATGTCCTAGGATAAACCCAGAAAACACAAGGATAGTGGGAGTGGGAGTAACAGGTGCAGGGGCAGTAGGAAATAAACAGATAAATTGCTATGCAATATGGTAAATGCTATCATAAGAAATTGTTCTGTCTGAATGAGTCAGAAAAGATTTCATAGAAGAGATAATATATTAGTTGAACTTTGAAGAACAAGTAGGAGTTTGTTGGTAAAGAATAGGGAAAGGATATTCTCAGCAGTGAAAAATAGTGTATGCAAAAGCCCCAAGATCTAAGGAAGCCTGGAGTGTTAGAGCAACAGAGATCTTTGCAACGGAAGTATGGGAATGAGAATGTGGACAAGGCTGGGAAGGAAAGTTGGGTCAAATAATCAAAGGCCAAGAGTTTGTACTGAATTATATGGGGGGAAGGGTAGTTGTTCAGAGATTTTTTTTTTTTTTTTTTGAGACGGAGTCTCACTCTGTCGCCCAGGCTGGAGTGCAGTAGCGGGATCTCGGCTCACTGCAAGCTCCGCCTCCCGGGTTCACGCCATTCTCCTGCCTCAGCCTCCCGAGTAGCTGGGACTACAGGCGCCCGCCACCACACCGGGCTAATTTTTTGTATTTTTAGTAGAGACGGGGTTTCACCGTGTTAGCCGGGATGGTCTCGATCTCCTGACCTCGTGATCCGCCCGCCTCGGCCTCCCAAAGTGCTGGGATTACAGGCATGAACCACCGTGCCCAGCCGGTAAGAGATTTTTAAGCATGGTCTTGACATGAAGATAATTAGAATGAACAAGGAAAATAAACTACTGAAGAAAAACTGGAGGTCGTGTTTCTAATTTCTGTGGGGAGTAGGGAGTGGAGGGTGGTATTCACTATTCTTTTATTAGTTCTTCAACTCCTTTCCATTCCAAACCCTTATCACTCTCCTCCAACCCCACCCCCTATTTACATCCTCTGTGATCTGTTTCTGTCTACCTCCTCAGCCTGCCTTTCTCCACTCCCTTCCTTAAATACTTAATCCCCTAACAAACACCACAGAGCCCCACACATGCCACACCCCTCACCCCAATGAGCTCCTAAATGCTCTTCAAGAGTCACATCAAGCATCACCTTCTCCTGGAAGGTTTCCTGACCACCCCCTACACACACACACACACACACACACACACACACACACACAGACACACACACACACATTGTGCATACCCATGCTTGCCGTGACACCACTCTGGCTTGAAAATTATGTGTGTCTGTCAGCTTCCTATAGTTCCTATAGCAAACTGCATGTAGCAACTGTGTCACAATCATCTTTATGGAGCAAGCTCTAGCACAGTACTTGATACACGGTACTTATGTTCTCACAACCTTGATTTTGAACAGAAACTGTTCTGATAGCCTAAATGACAGATAAAGAACTAAATTAAGTTAATGGAAATGGAGAGGGGAAACTAGATTAGTGAAAATTAACATAATTTAATTGGATGGTGTCTTGCTGAATTCAGTTATGTTGGGCTATGTAGTTTACTGGGTGGTTTTTTTTTTTTACTTATATAACTAATTTGCAAACAGAACAATTAAATATTAATGGAATATAAACAGGCATAGAAAATCACCAGTTCATGGAAGATGCAATTATTATTAGCTTACATATATTGACTGCTTCTAGGAACTGAGCTAGGTTCTTTCTATGCATTGTTTCCTTTCCTTTTCACCATAACCCGATGATATAAGCCTTGTTTATTTCCCCAGTTTTACAGGAGAAATAACTGAGGCTTCGAGAGTTACACTAACTTTCCCAAGTTCCAGCTAGGATCCAGGATTCAAGCTCAAGTCTTTCTGCCTCTAAAACCCAATGTCTTTTTTCTTCATTTTTGTTATTCTTTTCTTTCTTACAAAAATAGGGTCTTGCTATGTTGCCCAAGCTGATCTCAAACTCCTAGCCTCAAACAAGCCTCCCAGCTAGGCCTCCCAAAGTGCTGGTATTACAGGCTGGTATTAAGACAATGGCCTGGAGTGGCGGCCACTGTCTTAACTGCTGTACTCTTGTTCTTATCTTTTGCTAGCCCTGTCCTTCACAGTTATATAAAGAAGCAAAATCAAATCAGAAGACCTCCAGATGACCCATTTCTTGCTGAGTGCTTATTTCAATGATGGTAAGATGATTACAATATGGTGATATAATCATGTGTTAAGTGATGATACTAAGAAAGTTTGCTGCTTTTCTGTATAAATTCTTTCTCAGACAATTCTAGAAAAGATATTAGCATAAAAGCATGCAGGGACACAAAGATCAACTTTTCAATGATGCTTAGAACTTTCCCAGTTCTAAGATGAAAGAAGACAATTCTTAGAATTCTCCCTTGAGTGTTTTTTGTCTCCTTTAGATTTCCCAAGGCTCTGCCCCACTTATTGGATAAGTAAAAGATTCGATTCAATTAGTTTCATCCTTCCCCAGTCTAATCTCTGCTGTCTGGTTGGCCTCTTTGAGAGACTGACCTAGCATCAAGAGGACTGAATTCACCGTAAAATTCTGATTCTTCCACTTCCTTGTCATGGGACCTTGGAGGTGTCTCTTGATTGCTCTGAGCCTCAGTTGCTTTAGCAGAGAATCAAATGAATTAATGAATGTGAAAATCCATGAAAGGCAGAAAGTACTAGTGGTTGTAAGAAAAATGGAAGTGGCCAGCCACGGTGGCTCACGCCTGTAATCCCAGCACTTTGGGAGGCCGAGGCAGGAGGATCACCAGGTCAGGAGTTCAAGACCAGCCTGGCCAACATGATGAAACCCTGTCTCTACCAAAATATAAAACATTAGCCGGGTGTGGTGGCATGCACCTGTAATCTCAGCTACTCGGGAGGCTGAGGCAGGAGAATTGCTTGAACCTGGGAGGCAGAGGTTGCAGTGAGCCAAAATTGTGCCACTGCACTCCAGCCTGGGCAACACAGTGAGACTCGGTCTCAAAAAACAAACAAACAAACAAACAAAGAAAAAAGAAAAAATGAAAACTGGAAGCCCCACTTACTTCTCAGCACCTACTGTGTGCCTGACACTGAGCAGTACTCATAGTATAACAATAACAGATTTTAATCATGCTTGTCAGCTTCTCCCTCGTCTTCAAAGTGCCTAGCACCATGTCTAGCACATAACAGGTGTGTTGATCTGTCGGTTCAAGGAGAGGTAAGAACCATTCTGTTTGCAGACTCTCCCACCTTTTGTGTAGTGATCACCTGAGTTAACTTGAAAATTATCTGTCTCCAGGTAGCAAATGGTTCTGGTACACCTCTTCATGGGAATCCCTGCAATTTTTGCAGAGAAATATGCATCCCTTTTGGTGGGCTAACATCAAGGGAAACTGGAAACTGACCATGTAGAAGCTTCTCCCTACCTAATCCCTGAGATTTGTAAAGAGAGCTCCGAGAGAGCATTCATTATTTCTCAAACTTCCCTTATAAGAATTACCTGAATTACTTGTTAAAAACATATACATATATATATAATTTTTTCTTTTTCTGGGGCTTGAATCAGGAAAAATAAATTCTGAGCCTTATTCCAGCCCCACTTAATCTAAAGCTTCTGGGAATGGCTCTTGAAAGTTATATTTTTAACAAGCACCTCAGGGCCTTATTTCATCCAAACAGTTTGAGAAATTCTGATAGTGTAAACACTTCATTTTACACAGGAAGATTCTAAGCCCCAGTCTGAGTCGGTGGGGTGGGGGCGAAGGGTGGATCTCAGATGCCTAATAGGATGAGGGAGGGAAGCTTACATGAGTCCAGCAAACTAGAGTTATAACAGGGAGGGGTGAGGTCTGTGGCAAACTGGAAATCCAAGTCCAAAAGGGAGGGGCCTCCTATTGGCTCCAGCGAATTGCCACCACGCAGTATGGACCTACGGTTGCCAGTATAGCACATTTTCAAGAAACAATAAAAGTCTGGATTTTGCTAAGAGATTTTCCCATTTTTAAATGTTTACAACTGATCTTTAAAAATTGTTATATATTGTGTGATCCAAATTTCTCTTGGCTACCAGTTTCCACCCCCACATTAGGACTTTGTAAGCTATAGCATCATCTTTTCATTGTCTGTCTCTTGGTGGTGACAGCATCTGTCTCTTCTCTTAGTTTTACCAATTAATTTTAATGGCTTTCTATCACCTAGTAGAAAAGAAGCTTGGCCTGCCAGAAAATCATGCTCTGGTTTCTACCATCTTTCCCACTCCATCACCCATCACTGGAGGACATGTTTGCATCCTGGTCTTGCCACTTACAGTATGATTCTGGGCAACTTAAGATCTCTGTGTGTCAGTATTTTCACCTTCAAAATGGGGCTAATAATAGTACCTACTCCCACAGGGTTGTTGAGAGTGCTAATGAGTTCCTGTTGATAAAATGCTTAGATCAGTGCTCAGGATGTAGTAAATCTTGTATGAGTGTTGCTGTCACCCAAAAGCTAGCTCCAAACATGCCTTCAGTGTGTACCTTCCTGAGCTATAGTTCCTCCTCCTGGAGTAAATGCCCTTCACATTCACCTGGCAGATCTCTTCATCTTTCAGGTCTCACTGAACCTGGCAAACATTCCCTGGCCCCAGGAACACTTAGGTCTTGAATATACCTCATTATCACTTGTCACCTAGTATTACAGGTATCAGGTATCCCTACTAAATTGTACATATCCTTAAAGGTGGCTGCTTTTTCACCTTTGTGGCCTTGGGACCTAACATAGTGCCAGGAAAATGATAGGCATTCAATAAGCAGCATGATTGAAATGAACAAGCTTATCTTTTTTTTAATGTGCTTAATGATTTCCTTATAGATTGTCAACTTAAGGAGAAATGCTCTAATAGGCTACATCTTTGTATTCTTCATAGCACCTAGCAAAATTATATTCAATATTCAATCAATCGATCACATTTTTGTGCTGTTTGCAAAATACGATGCTAGCTTATGAACAAAGAGTTTACAACCTTTTTCTCCATTCCATTCCTATATGCCTTCTGGAGATTTCTATCCTTTGAACTTCCAGAACAGTTCTCTGGGCCTTTCTTACGTTGCTGGTAATTTTCTGTTTTGTATTTATGTAGTGATACGAAGTCCTTGAGGCCAGAGTGTGTGTCTGATTTTTTTTTTTTTTTTTTTTGGTAGACTTCAATATAGCCAGCATAGTCCCTTGTCCACAGTAAGCACTCACTTAATATTTCTTGGTGGTTTTCATGAATACGACCTTTTCACAGAGGTTCTTATGTTTACCAAAGTATTGTTAAAAAGAAAAAAAGTATTCACTTCTTTGAGGGATACTTACTTGGTGTCAAATCATGCCACTGAGTTTTGTTCATTTGAAGAGAACTTATCTCCCAAATTTCAGTCTTTTACCACATATCAAAGAATAAAATTCTACCTATATAAATGAAAATTAAGCAATTATTTCACAAGGGCTCCAGTAAGGCATCTCAAAACATGCTTTGGAAATATTTCAATTGACAGTATACAAATAATTCTTTCCTAAAAAATGACCCTTTTTTCTTTATTTGGGAACTAAGGTATGTATTATAGGAGATTAGCTACTTTCATGGGTCCTTTCATTATAAAAGTTTAACTTACCAAGATCCTAGGTTAAGTGTGGAAAGGAGGAAGCAATGCTATTTATGACACTGAGGTGAAGTTGCCAGTGGAAAAATTAGGTATTTTCCACTTTTCAACATTCAATACACCTTAGGTAGATGAGGGGATTTCTGTTCTTGTTGTAACGTAGCTTGCAATAAGTACATTTAATGGTTTTTAAGGCAACGACTAAAGAATATTTGCATCAATTAGAGATAGAAGCCATCCAGGTAATTTTATATTTGTTTAAAATTAACTGTTTCATGATTGGGTTTTTCAATGCTGTGTTAACTTTATGTTATGCTCAATCAGGAAAGAAAAACAAGAGTTTAAAATTTTTGAAGAAACCAAATGGCATTACAGTAATTGTTGAGATTTTCCTCAAAACAATCTGAAGAATGTATAAGTACTATTACATATCTCTAAGCATTATGAATTTAGAATAAAGATCAAAAATTCTTTTTGAAAAACATAGTTATATAGATGTACATGTCATAACACAGATCTCTCTGATGCCTTAAGTTTTCCTATTGCTATCACCTGGGTTTTAGAAACAGCCACACTCCATTGAGCACCTATCATGTGCCAGGTAGTTTGTATTCATTATTTCTAATCATTCATTTATTCAATAAATATTAATTCAGCACCTACTGCTTGCTGGCACTTGTGTCCACTACTGGGCTACAATAATGAACCAGACATTACCTGCCTTGAGGGAGGTTGCAGAGTTGTAGGAGAGGCCACAAGTCTGCAAGATAGGTAATCTTATCTCCATTTTACATGAGTAAAACAGGATGAAGAAGGACTAATCAAGGCTAGCTGCTACTGTGCTCGTTCCACTAAGCAAACCAGCTTTATCCACTGTGTGTCTCCACTTTAATTCATTCATCTCTGCAAGAGGGTTCTTACCAAATCGTTGTGAAAAAGGGCTGAAAAAAACCTTACTTCAATGGGAAGGCAAAACACCTTGCTATTTAAAACTCACTGCTCTCAATCTTTTGGTAATGTAAGAAACAAATATTAAATACCAGTTATGTTTTGGAGTGGGCACTGGATTTTAAAAAGATACAAGAAGCCTAAATAAGCCTAAAAACCCACATTTCTAGCAGATGTAGAAAAAGTCACTTGTGAAAAGATACAAGAAGCCTAAACAAGGCCTAAAACCCCACAATTCTAGCAGATGTGGGAAAAGAGAGTCATTTGCAAGGTGAAGGGCTCATGGAGCTATGTATTCATAATATATGCAGAAACTTGGAGCTTTTTGTTGCTATTAGTGGGTTTTCCCTACCCTTTCTTCTGATTGTATGTAGTCATGACTAGGATGAAAGACAGATGGCAGGGGAGCCATAAGGGGGACGGTTTGAGAAATAGGATAAGAAAATTCCTGTGGACAAAAGCAAGGCTAGGCCTTGCCTCCATAAGCATTTTTGCTTTCTTTGGTCTATGCCTACAAGATTGTTGGAGTTAATTATCAAGTGACTGTTCTAACTAAAAATGATTGTTCTACTGAAGACTTTTCTTTTGCTTTTCTTCTCTGCCATCTATTCCATCTGATAGAATTTAAGCAGACCCCTCAGAACCATAGAAATGTTCAGCTGGAAAGCACAAAGCTTTAGGAAGAGACTAGGGGCAGCAAAAAACCTTGCCTGGCCACTTCCCTGTTTGCTCTGTAAAAATGGTTCTGCAAAATGCACAACCTTGGATTCTTAGTCACTTCCTAACTGGCCTTGTCACCTACAGCTGCTCATCCCAATAATCATCTTTCACAGACCCCGGTGTTACTTTCCTAGAACACTGATCATGCCACTTCCTTCAGGGGCTCCGCTATCTGCCTGAAGTTTACAGAAGGAAGCCCAAATGCATAAGGGTAACACAGAATGCCTTCACAGCCTGGGCCTAATCCCCACCTTCCTTTTCAGCCCCGCTGCTCCCTTATCTTTCTACACCAGAGGCACACACACAATCACTCTGTTTTTACTGACCTGGTTGTGGTCTTTCAGGCCTCCACACCTTTGCACAAACTAATGCAGCTGCTAGCAATATCCCTTTGCCCTCTGTAACTAGGGAAATAAAACTCACTAAGACCAACATAAAATGATCTCTCTTCAGTAAAAACTGGTAGGTAACTTTAGTCACTCTGTCCTCTCTGCCTCCTCAACATTTTGTGTATAATCTTATTACGGCGCTAATATCATTTATCTTTAATTATTCAAATTTTGCAAGCTGAATCTCTAACCATCCCTTTTTCCTGACAACTCCAACTCCTTTAAATCACCTGCTTTCTGATTATAGACCTGGTATACAGCAAAGCGTCAGTAAAATGTGTTTAATAAAGTACAAGTTAAAAGAAACAAGAGCACACAATAAGAAATGATGCAATTATTCATACCAGTTTATTGTAGGTATTGTGTTTCAAAAAATTTATAGCATAAATAACTTTTCATGTCATAAAATAACTTAGTAGAATTTATAATAAAACTTTGAGAATTTAATATCTCATCAAAATACAATAAAATATGGTTTTCAAATATGATTAACCCTTTCGGCTTTTCTTTTACTTGAGGGCATATAAACCAAAAATACCCAAACTATGGCTGCACACTTAAACTTTAACATATTTGGTTTATTTTAATGTAACTCAACCATTCTAAATTAATACATAGTTTTCCTTCCTGCATGGTTCTTTGTAATTTTTGTTCCTTTTGACTTATTTTTCTGTTTCAACACAGCTTCCTTCTTCATTTTCACCTCTTTCCATCTGCAAAGTCATCTATCTCCGGGCCCCCAGAACATGTAGTTGAACTCACTCAGCCCCTTGGCATCAGTTTCTGTAATCCTTGCATCAGTGTAGGGAGTAACTGCTTGAGTAACTACAAAGGTATTTCAAAAACTTCAGTGCAATTTGGTTCAGTTATTTTCATTCAGATGCCATCACCGTTCAGGGAGATTAATCACTGGAACCCATTGATCCATGTAGCGACTTTCCCGGCAAAAACAAATAAGTTGACTTAAGGCAGGATCCTTCCATTGAGATGAATGTGGATTCTGGAAACAAATTTATAAAAATAAACTTATTTTAAAAACCAGTATATTCTAGTAATTATACTTTTGAGGAGAAAACACTTGAACATTCTATATTTTGGCTATGTGACATGGAGACAAATTAGAAGCACAAAAAAATTAAAGTTTCTTCAAGGTAGTTGGGTTCCCTGCAAAAGCGTTAAGGGTAATTACCTATTAAACTACACATTGCAAAGTCTGAACCCATGCAACCCAAGCTGAACCACATACATATGTTTGCATATCTGTTCAGTTTTGCATGAGAGTATCATTCACCGGTTTGCTCTACCAAACTTGTTACCCTGACCTGAGTGAAACAGTTTTGAGAAAGATTTCCATGCTGTGTGCACAATGAGATGAGAGCTGCACAGCAGTTAACTGGAATTGCCATCAACCATACTCCAAGAGACAGAATAGTACTTTTAAGGAGTAGCAAAATAATCGGGCTGTCACTTGACTAGACCAGTCAAAAAAGAGCAAAATTTAGAAGACAAAAGTAGCACATTTACCCCTGAAAACATAACTTCCCTACCTACCAAAGGTTTTTATCAGGAAAAAAAAAAAGAGCCATTAAAAAAATGCAAGATTGCAGAGAAAAAAAATTCCACTCTATCCTCTTAATGTATTTCTAGGGAATTAACAAGGTTTGTCTCCTACACAATTTCTATTTTTAGCTCTGACTGGCAGAGAATGAAGCTGACTCCTTAATGAGGGGTGAGCCAGGAATTCATTTGGCTTTATCTAATCTGCCCTGCTAAAGGAATTAGTCACGGGAGGCAGTGCAGATGTAGGTAGGGAGTAGCTGGGCTGACTGCTGACTCACAGGGATCTCTTCCGCTGCTGGCAGTCCCCAGCATGCTTAGACATGTTCTGTACCACAGAAAATCCTGGTGATGAAACTAGCACATCTCGGCTGAAAGTCCAGCCACACTCTAGTCGGACAAAGGCAGCCACCCTCCTGACCCCCACCTACCACAGATCCACAATCAGGCAACCCAGCCCTGACTCCCGTCCTTCCGGGGCTCTACCCTGCAGGCTGCAGTCCCCCAGTCCCTTACCGTCACCAGCACGCAGTGCAGGTCCGGGGGCTGCTCGGCGCCCTCGCTCGCCGCGGGGCCAGCGTCGGTCTCCAAGAGCAGGAGCTCCGCCAGCCGGCCCGGGTTGCTGACGCGCAGGATGTTGATGTCGTTCTCGCAGCAAAACGCCTGGATCAGGGTGAAGTGGATCTGCAGAGCCACATCTCTGTCGTCGTCCTCGTCCGCCGCCAGCAGGCACAACACCACGTTATCGGGGTCGCTGGGGGCAGCGGGCGGGGCCAGTGAGCGCAGAAGCGCGGGCGCCCTCAACCACTGCCCGGGTCCCTGGGGGTCGCCGCCCGGCCCGCTCGCCCCCTCCCTTCCGAGACAGGCAGAAAAGCGACAGGAAGTGGCGCGGCCGGGCGAGGGGCGCCCAGCCAAGGCGACCTCCCGGGCTGGGGCGGGAAGGGGTGCCATGGGGGACGCGCAAGGGCCCCACTTACACGTTGAGCAGCTTGGCCGCTTCGTACACCCCGACAGTGATCGTGCGCTGACTCAGGGCTTTGCTGAGCACTTCCTCCAGGGCATCCCCCACCTTATCCATCCTACACGCGGGCAAGGGCGAGGGGTCCCGTCAGCCCCGGTGCCCTCGGGGCCATCGCCGCCCCCCTCGTCCGGTACCACGCCCCTCCCTCTCGAATGCAAGCACCACCGCGCACCTGGGCTCTACGAAAACCCGGCGCTCCCGCGGCCCCGTCACCCCCCATGACCCCTGCACGCCCAAGGACCGGGCGTCCCGTGAGAAGTCCCGAGAGTGCCCCTGCCACAGGCTGCCAGCCACGGGAGCCGCACGGGCAGCGACGGCCACTGCTGCCCTTTGCAAAGGCCCCGGCGGGGCTCGTTCGGGTTGGGGGGCACGCTCTTTCAGTCCGTGGGAGCTCCACGGAGAGTCCCGAGGGAGCAAGGGCGGGAGTTGCCCTGTGCAAACTTTTTAGCTTCCTCCCCTGCAAGCCTTCCACAGCCCGGCTGCACCGGGGAGCGCGGGGTAGGTAAGAGAAGTTCGGGCCGGAAGAGTCCGCAGGCCGACTCACCTTTCGGTCTTCTGCTCTCCAGCCGAGAATTCCTCCAAAGTCATATTGCAAACTGCAGGTCGCCCAGGGAGAGAGCGCGGCGTGCGGGCTGCTCCTGCCACGGCTAGCGCGCGGGCGCCTGCTTTCTGCACTCACTCACAGGCGCCGCTCCGGCAGCTCAGGCCCTGGCGCTCTCCGGCCGCCCCTCGCCCGCCCGGGCTCCTCCTCCTGTGCCAGCCGCCGCAGCTCCGGCCACCCCTCCCGCCTTGCTTGCTCGCTCGCTCCCCGGACCTCGCCTCGCCACGGGCCGCACGACACTAATTGGGCCGCTGCCTCCCAGCCACTGCCTACCAGCCACTGGAGGACAAAGGGCCCCGCTCTCCGGGGTTATCCTGCCAACCCTCAGCCAACCACCTTCCGCCTCATTTGCATGCAGCTTGGCCATTGGGCTATGCAAATCAGCCTGCTCCAGCAATTTGACCCCAGCTCCTGGAGTCAGGTTGAGAGGAGCGGAAAAGGGAGGAGCCACGCGGGAGGCGAGCCGAGGGGGCGGGGGCGGGGGCGGTGCCGAGAGGGGAAGGCGGGTCCCGCGCGCACTCTTATCCGGTTGGCGGGGACCATTGGGAGTGGGGGGCTTTAGCAGAGGCTAGAGGTGGCCTCAGCTTGGGCTGAAGCAGGCTGCCAAGTGTTTTTCTATAATAGTTGCGGCACTTTTTTCTTATTATCTTTTCATGTCTTTTGTTTTAAGGGGTGGCTATTAAAATCTATTTCCAGGGTTAATGCACTGAAGTCTAGTAATTATTAGTAAGCAGGTTACATTAAAAAAGTGTCTCCAGACCTCCGGGGCAAAGTTTACCTCAGAAGTGTTGTTTATCTAAGTCTAGGCGAAGCTGCTTATTAGCAGTAGTATTATTTCGGTGCCCTGATGGCTGGTTTGATTTATTTTTGGAAAGCTGCAAGGGTTGGAAGCTGAAAAAAGAAAAACCAACCCGTTTGTATTCAGGGATGGCAGGGAACCAAGTTAGAATCTTTTCCACAGAAAGCAGAACGGTTTCCCACCTGCCCGGTGTAACTGGGAAATCGTGAGCTGGTCTGCGTGGGGAGCTGGTGACCACATGTGGGAATCCCTGGCAACCCAGATTCTCCTTTCTCAAAGAGCCTTGCCCAAACAAGGATCCTTCTGGACGCCCACCAGCTGAGAGACAACCATCTGACACCCACACAGCCCACAAGTCTAAATTCAAAATGCTCTCGATATGCCCTAAGCTTCCTTTCCTAACGTATGTATGTCGTTACCTTCCACAGAGAGCCTCCTATGATCTCACTGTGAATTATTGATGTTAGATGCTGAATCATGAAGCTGTAACTATAGGAAGTTTTTAGTCATATGCTAAAATTTCACCTTTGAGATAATGGCAACTTGTAGGTGGAAAGCAGACCTTTAAAACTGCAAATGGTAGTTACACATTTTTGAAAAACAAACTTTAATATATAGACTCTCACTGAGTAGTTCAAAAGTCCCTTCCTTTGTTTTATGGTTTATGCAATAAAAGCAAAAACATTTCTTAAACCTACTGAAGTCATCAAAAGTGGTGAAAATGGCTCCCACATGCTTGCATTCAAAACAGTGCTTGCATTATTAAGGTTGCTGTACAGCCAAAGGTCACAGAAGTAATTTCTGCAAAGGTACCTGGAAGTTTTGCACCCTTATGTTTTTATCACTCTAGACAAAATATTCTCCAGCTCTCTTGATCTTAATTTGGTGGAAAAGAAAAGTGATAGGTTTTCTGGTTCATTTATTTGAGTTGTCATTTTGCACTCATTTTTTCACTGTGTTGTCAGCCATGGACAACATTTGAGTAAAGAAATGGTCATGGTCAGTGCATAATTCACCTAAGCATGACTATGTATCTCATATCTATGCCTTAAATCTTAACATTTGATGTCTTTCTTAAAGAATTCCTCAACATTGAAATTTAGGTAGGTTACCGAAGCATTTTCAGTTTTGCAGACAAAACCTGAATTACACAATCTAGCCTGAGTCATCATTTGGCGATTGTTAATATGTTCCGTGGAACTCCAAGGTTCTATCCACTAGGCATTTCTTAGAGGTTCTTGGGAAGAAAATGTGATCACAGCAAGCTGACAAAGAATTAGGGAATCATGTGAGTTTCTTGACAGCAAGGACTTCATCAGTTTGGTGTCCTCAGCTCCTAGTACAATACCTGCATTTAGTAGAAGCACAGTCAAGGTTTATTGAGTTGAATAGAATTTGAGAGTTAAATAAGATATCAGAATCCTGCAGTCCTGTGCATTGCATGAATTCTAACATATTGCACATTTAACGTTAGTTCAAAAACACTTTTGCCTGTCTTCTTCTATACCAAGAACTGTACAATTCCTGGTCCTTTGCCTTTAAAGAGCTTAGGCTCTTATTGGTATGTCCATGCTTGAACTGGATTTTGGGACAAAATAGTATGCACTGTCATCAGCTAGCTATGCTGAAAGTCCCATGACTTCAGTCATCTGAATGGAGGCTGTAGGACAGTAGAACCGGTGTATTGTTTACACCAATTCAAATGAACCACAGTCCTAAAGTGCCCCACCCAAGTCGACTATATCCAGTAAAAATGTGATATCAAATGGTTACTTCTTATTATAGGCTTAGTCCTCCACTCAAAAATTATACTGCATGCTATATTTGACTTCATCAGAAAGTTATTTGCCCAAGTATTTTGGGGATTTTCTCTGAGATAAGCTTGGGCTTCCAGTATGCAAAAATATTCATTTGTCATACTTTCTGACTCAGATACGTTACATCATTTTGCCTGATTGCTGAGTATACCTAGAATGTTTTCTCAGTGATTATCTTCAAAGTTGGGCCTCATGACTGGAAGTAAAAACTGCATTTAGCTACACAGTTAGATTGTAGTTACACATTAGAATGGACATAGTTGATTTATCATTAACTGTTTATTAGTCCTGGAGGACATTGATAGTCAATGGTAAATCAGAGAAATTTTCCTATATCAATATTATATATATATATATATTTCTTTATAATCAGTGTGATAACTCCAATATGTGATGTCATTTTAAAAACCACTACAGGTAACTCTGACAACTGCCAAGTACACAGGAGTAGAATGCTCTTGTAGTAATGTTTGTAAAGATACCAAATGATTATATTTAGAAATCATATGGAAATATATACTCAAGAATTGTTCAATTATTTTAGCACTGCTACTTGCTTTGCATATTAAAGATCTTTTTGATATTTTAGTCATGCTTATCCTACATACATTCCTACTACTGGTTCCATAATGCAGAATTATTCTTTCTTTCTTTCAAAAAACAATCAATGCTTTAACATCTGAAAGAAATATAATGCTTGTTATTTCAGTATTAGATCATTGTCCACATCAAAGGAGAAGATCAGTTCAACTATGATGGATGTATTTTCCACCTACCTAGAATTGTATTGTATTATTTTTTCTTGTTAAAAATCATAAGGTTCCTGGTCAGGTGCAGTAGCTCACGCCTGTAATCCCAGCACTTTGAGAGGCTGAGGAGGTCGGATCACCTGAGGTCAGGAGTTCAAAACCAGCCTGGCCAACATGGTAAAACCCCACCTCTACTAAAAATACAAAAATTAGTTGGGGCCAGGTGTGGTGGCTCACACCTGTAATCCCAGCACTTTGGGAGGCCAAGGCGGGTGGATCACCTGAGGTCAGGAGCTTGAGACCAGCCTGGCTAAGGAGTTTGAGACCAGCCTGGCTAACATGGTGAAACCCCAGCTCTACTAAAAATACAAAAATTAGCCAGGCGCGGTGGCAGGCACCTGTAATCTTAGCTACTCGGGAGGCTGAGGCAGGAGAATCACTTGAATCTGGAGGTGGAGGTTGCAGTGAGCCGAGATGGTGCCATTGCACTCCAGCCTGGGTGACAAGATTGAAACTCCGTCTCAAAACAAAAACAAAAACAACAACAAAAAACTAGTATAATATTCTTAATGCCATCTTTTTTGTGTGTTCAATAAATCCTTATCCTGTGGAAATTCTCTTCAGCTATTAAGAATCATGGTAGTAATCATAGTGTTAATTTGAGCTTTGGGCTGGCCACCTTGTGCTGCCATCAGCTGCTCACATTTCACCAGCCAAGCAAGGCCCAGCCAGTGGAGAAGTCAGATGAAGAGACTAACTAGAACATTCTTCAAGATCAACACCCCCTAACCCCTCACCTCTCTGTCGGTGCGTATCAGAAGGCTTCTATCATGGGAGGAATGTTCTGAGAGTCTCTGCTTTGTAGCCTAATCACTGGTGAGGGAAGTAGGTGGTCTGAGTTGGTGATTGGCCACTGGTAGGTTGTTTTTGCACCTTGAACAGATTTGTGAGTTTGCTTTTTTTTTTTTCTTTTTTGAGACAGGGTCATCCTCTGTCATCCAGACTAGAGTGCAGTGGCACTGTCATAGCTCACTGCAGTCTTGAACTCCCAGGCTCAAGCGATCTTCCTACCTCAGCCTCCTGAGTACCTGGGACTATAGGCACATGCCATCACACCAGCCTAATTTTAAAATTTTCCAAAGAAACGGGGTCTTGCTTTGTTGCCCAGGCTGGTCTCAAACGCCTGGGCTTAAGCAGTCCTCCCACCTTGGCCTCGCAAAGTGCTGGGATTACAGGTGTGAGCCACTGCGCCCAGCCAATTTGTGAGTTTTCTCTCTCTGAAATAAAAGAAACAATTCTATTCACCCATCAACTTCATTGCAAAGTTTTCTTCTTCCTAACTTCTTAACAGCTCATGCTTATACCTCTTCTCTGTACTCACTCTCTTGGTGACCTCATATGGTCCCATGGCCTTAATTATTTATATGCTGATGACTCCCAAATATATTTCAAACCTGGTCAGTCATCTCTTCTGAACCTCAGCGCTTATTCATCATATCTGCATCAATATATAGTAAGCATCTTAAACTTAAAATGACAATTGTTGCTCTCCTGATTGTCTGGCCAAATCTGTGCCTACAATAGGTCAATGGCAACTCCATTCTTCCCACTGTTCAGCCCCCCACACCTTGGTGTCATTCTTGATTCCTTTTTCTCACAACCACATCCAGTCCATCAGTAAATCCTATAGGCTCCATTTCAAAATGTAAAATAATTCAACCATTTCTCATCACCACTACCACCAGCATCATCTCCCACCTAGGAAAATGTAACAACTGGTCTCCCTCTGCTTTTGCCTTTCCTCCCTTCACCTCCAGCAGCCGAAGTGATCCTGTAAATAGTAAGTCAGATCCCAGTCAATTCCTTAACCCAAAGTTATCAATGGCTTTTCTTTTTACTCAGAGAAAAACCCCTAGTCCTTACTATGGCTTAAAATACCATATAAAATCTGTGCCCATGATGAAAATGTCCTAATATTGACAATGGTGACAATTGTACAAATCAGTTAATATAGTAAAACCCATTGAATAAAATATTTAGGGTGTGTACAGAATGTGAATTATATCAATAAAGCTGTTATAAAAATCTGATCCCTACAGCAATCTTATCTTACACTGTTCCCCCCATGCTCATTTCTCTCTAGCCATATTGGACTTCCTTTTGCCTCAGGGCCTTTGTGCTGACTGTAAGCTTGGAATGTTTTTTCTCCTGATACCACATTGCTCATTGCCTTCCAGCCCCCTTCCTAATGAGCCATACCCTGCTCACTCTAGTTGAGTTGCAATACCTCTACTCCCTGGCACCACTAATCTCTTAAATCCTGTTTTTTTAAAAGATCATGTCACAATCACCTTCAAACATATATATTTTACTTATATATATTGTTTGTTATCTGATTCTCCTCCTGCCCACTCCACTATCCAAAAATATGGGGTAGAATTTTGTTTTGTTCACTGATTGGTCCCTAAGTGACTAGAACAGTGCCTTATACAGAGTGGACTCTTAATAAATATTTGTTTTGTGGTTTTTTTTTTTTTTTGAGATGGAGTCTCACTCTGTCGCCCAAGCTGGAGTCCAGTGGCGTGATCTCGGCTCACTGCAAGATCCGCCACCTCCCAGGTTCACGCCATTCTCCTGCCTCAGCCTCCCGAGTAGCTGGGACTACAGGTGCCCGCCACCATGCCTTGCTAATTTTTTTTGTATTTTTAGTAGAGATGGGGTTTCACCATGTTAGCCAGGATGGTCTCGATCTCCTGACCTCATGATCCACCAATAAATATTTGTTAAATCAGATATTATTGAATGAATAAGGTACACAGATTTTAATATATAATTGATGAATTAGAACATAAGAGTTATATAATTTGTTGTCTTTTTTGTATATTAGAAAGGAAGGTGTCTTGATCAAATACTGTTTTGGGGCTTGTATTTTTTTTTCAGTCCTCCAAGACATCAGAAAACTACTTGTATTGTTTTAGTTACAGAGGATTGTGCACCCTTATCTGCATTCATATTATTCTCATAGTTCCTCCACCCCCGTCCAACTGTTTTTCTTATAATTTTTTCAGGGGTTATAAACTGGCCCATTTTGTAAGCTAAGGATTTTGACCTGTACTGTATACACATATAATACCCAATAGATTAAAAGGTGCTTAATTGCCAAGCTTCAAGTCTTGTTCTTTCAATGTAGCACAAAGAGATTATAATGATGAGGAAAACAACTCTGAAAGGTTTTATGAAGGTCAGTTTTGAAGTGGGAGATTTGAAAGCAAAGATGGGTTATGTTGCGGAAGCAACATACAAGAAACACAATTGGAGATGAAATTAAGGAAATAAAGTAGTATTTAGGAGACTGAGAATGAAAGAAAAAGAAATAAAAGAGAATAAGAGCATTCTTTACTACTATTTGAACTTCTACCTCTCTCTCTGGCTTTAGTGCTTGTAAGCATTTAATCCTGATTAACTGGAAATTTCTGCCAGTAAAACTTATTCTTTGAAATAGCTTATAAGTTTTTTTTGTTCTTTGAATAATATGCATTCTTTTATTTTGGTTTGGTCCTCATGTACTTTGGCAATAAAATGTCAGTCTCAAAGTCTGGAAGATATTAAATATTAAAACAAGATCATTTAGGATCAAGCTCTGTAAGACTGTGATGTTTTGAAGAGGGTCTGGGACATGGTCTTTTGGAGTGCTCATTTCTGTATAGCTGGTCTTAGATGTGGGCCACAGCCATGTTTGTGTGACAGTAGTCTTTCTGGCTCCCATGAGACTTTGTATGTAAAGGTCCAAAGTAGCCTCATTTTCAGTAACCAAAGAATGTAGTGAATAGTCTGCTATCTGGCTATCCATTATGAACACTTTACTTCTGTGCTTTGTGGACCATATCAGTTTGTGGCAAAGTGATGGATTGTGTTTAACATTCTGTTGTTGACCTGTAAGGATTTTTGCCATATGTTCCAGCTCATTCCCTTAAGATATAGGAGGGGGCAATCTTATTAGTATCATTGTCCACTAAGCAGAAATGTGTCAGAGATTTTGCTTTCTCAGCTGGAGACTCCCTCTTGGCAAGCCGTCCTCCCTATTTTAGGAAAGCATCGCCATCAAATACAAGAAGGCCAGTTTATAAGCTTATTTGTTTATATTGTATATCTGGTCTGTATTTATGGAAGTTTTGAAATGATGCTGTAAAATTAAGAACTATGTGGCTACTTTGCAGACATAGTAACAATAATAAATCTAATGTGATGTCCCTCCAAGAATGTGGCTTGAATGATAGAATCTTTAGCAGGTTGTTTACCCTCGCCATTCCTCAGTTTCCTCATTTGACAAATATTTGTGAACTCTTTTTAATTTTGAAAAGAACTCCCTTTCCCCAAAATCCACAGTAGGCATAATCCCCACATATAGATAGATAAAAGTGGAAGTGTTGTGGCTGCAGTAGCCGGATAGCAGTGGGGGTGAAGGGCAGGGATTGGCAAGTTTAGGCTCCCCCTCACTCCCCTCCTGCAATACACCCCATAGCCTCTGAGCCATGCATATTGGTCACAATGGGAAATGTCTGGTTCCCTAAGACCCTTCCAGCTCTAACATTTTTTACTTAATAATTTTATTATTCTATAATTACTCTATATTTTTCGCAGTCACTGAGAAACCTCAAATACCTTACCTTACCACAAAAAAAGTTATTTTTCTGGGCCTTAAAAATTCAATCACCAGATAATGTGTCTAAAGAATTTAAAAAACATTCATGTTCCTCTGCTTTGATATCAATTTTCAAACATTTCAATCTGTTTCCATAGGTCAGTTGAAGTTATGTTACAACTTGCCTTATTAACCTTAATTTATTGTCTGGTTACCAAATGCTATGGAGTATGATTTGGCACTGTGTCTTAATAAACAGGTCACACCTGGGAGCTAGTGAGACCTCTCCCATCTGAGAAGAAGGAGCTACAACAGATGGTAAAACGACTGAAAACCAGGTGGGGTCACTGTTTAATGACCATCTGAATTAAGTTTGGTTAATTTGGCGTGTCCCTAATTATCCCTAGCAACTGGACCCTCTACTCCATTTTATAAGTTTGGATTTATATCTTTTATGTAAACTATCAAAACAAGTCCATCTGTGATCCTGAAGCTGTATTTGCCTTAAATCTAACCACAGGGGAAATCCTAATTTATTTGGTTCTAGCTATGAGGAGTCCTTAAACACTGGGTTTTTACAGTGCTCTGCAATTTACTTTTTCTCAGGTTGTCACCTATGATATGAGCATTGCCCTTCATTCTTCTCCAAGTTTAATGAAAAGACACTTAGCATAATTTCCAAAACTCAGACATGTCAAAACTTCAACCTATGTGCATCCCTTTAGAAGATTTTCTCATGAAATCTGTGTGCAGCAGTGAGTTGGCTTCCAGAGATGTTTAGAAAATTCAGAAGTTATGCTGTCCTCAACACTATAATAGATTCAAGGCCTGCCAGCTCCTTTAAAGACACTTCCTCCCCTACCCCCACCAGACCTTATTTTAGTTTGTTTATTTGTTTTTGTTTGTTTGTTTTAGGCAGGGTCTCCCTCTGTCACCCAGGCTGGAGTGCAGTGGCGCAATCTCAGTTCACTGCAGCCTCCAACTCCCAGGCTCAAGTGATCCTCCCCTAGGCTTTATTTATTAGTAAGAATATTAATTTGTGCTGGGATGGTGGCTTGCGACTATAATCCCAGCTACTCAGGGGGCTGAGGAGGGAGGATCACTTGAGACCATGACATCATGTAAACCAGGAGTCCAAGACCAGCCTGGGCAACACAGTGAGACCTCCATCTCTAAAAAAATTAAAATAAATTTTTAAAATATAAAAAGAAGAAAAAATACTAATTTGCTAAATGCTTATCATGCTTAGCACTATGGTAAATTTTTATTTACATGATGTCACTAAGCCCTCACAACAATCTATGAGATAGATACTATTATCTTCATTTTATTGCTAAGTAAGCTGTAGCCTACTGGAGAGGTTAAACTAGTTACTAACTCAAAAGACCCCTAGCTAAATGGCCAGGGCAAGATGCAAATGCACATCTGTGGGACTGCAAATCTCACATTCTTAACCACATATTATGCTTCTCTAGAACAGCTGTGGTTCACGTGGCATCAGAGTGTAGTGTTCAGAATGCAGACTCTGGAATCAGGCTTGGGCAAGCCATCTAAGCTCTTTTGCCTCTTTTCTGACAAACGCTGTCTCTTAAACTTATGATGAAAATCAAATGAGACAAAATACACACAGCACTTAGAGTACACTGCATGTAGCAGGACACCATGAATATTAATTAGATGGCACCCATTTTCCAATGTCCTTTCTAATTTTCTTTGTTCTTAATTCCTTCATCTAAGTAAAATATTGTATTTATTTCCATTTTCTCTAACATTTGAGGCATCATTGCTAACAGCAAAAGTACTGACTGGACTTCCTGGTCCGTCCTTACTGCTGTGAAAATTCCCCTGAATTTTGATGGCAGCCACAGGTAGATCCAATATACATGTTCCCTTTCTAACTATAGATGAACCGAGGTTCCCCCATCAGTGCATTTTAGATCTTTAGGCCGTTTTTTGTTTTTGTTTTTGTTTCCTTGTTTGTTTGAGATAGGGTCTTGCTCTGTCGCCCAGGCTGGAGTGCAGTGGCATGAACTCGGCTCACTGCAACCTCGGTTCACTGCAACCTCTGCCTCCCGGGCTCAAGTGATTCTCGTGCCTCAGCCTCCAGAGTAGCTGAGACTGCAGGCCTGCGCCACCATGCCTGGCTAATTTTTGCATTTTTAGTAGAGATGCAGTTTCACCATGTTGACCAGGCTGGTCTTGAATTCCTGGCCTCAAGTAATCCACCCATTTCAGCCTCCCAAAGTGCTAGGATTAGAGATGTGAGCCACCACAACCAGCCTTTTTAGGCAGTTTTGATAATGTGAATCATGTGTTTCTGTGCATGCTAAGGAACAGGCTTGATGTTATTCAAACACTTCTCGTGTGCGTGTTTTTTAATACAGAACAATGAGTTTCTCAAGTTCACTGTAAAATACTCATGTTTTCTTTTATCCTCTGAGAGCTTCCTGTATTTGTGAGCTCCTTTCAAATCAGCAACTGCAGCCTCGACATCTGGATCCTCCCTGGTGTGGGGAACATAAATTAACTGGTAGCACCCTGTAAATGTTATGGGCAGGAGGAGTTCAGGGAGTGCACAGAGGCAGGCCAGGGTGCTTTCAGTATGTGGCAGCTGGTCCCGATGTAGTGCCTC
This sequence comes from Homo sapiens, assembly GCF_000001405.40. Classification (NCBI taxonomy): domain Eukaryota; kingdom Metazoa; phylum Chordata; class Mammalia; order Primates; family Hominidae; genus Homo; species Homo sapiens. The sequence continues at coordinate 67,674,842 of NC_000001.11, read as the reverse complement.
AGAACTGGGTTTAGCTGACGTCAGATAACACTGATGTGCACCAGATTGACTTGTAGTACCAGGAAAGCTGACCCCTCCCACTTCCCCTACTGCCCCTCTGCTTGCCAGGATGCTGGAGACCATTATGAACTCACAGTTGTCATTTGATCTCCATCTGGCTGCTGTCACTAAAGCTGCCTTTTATCATTTGCCAAAAAGTGTAAAGCAAAAGACATTTCCCTTTCTCACAAATCTTTGCTTCTAGTCCTTGCTCTTCTCATTTTCTGGGTAGTTCCAAGTAATTCTCCTTCTGTCTGAGTCTATGTAGCACCATCAGGAAACCAGCAAAGGACTCACTAGAATATTTACCCATATGCCATCTTCTTGGTGAACTAGATTTAGCAATGGATTTTTTAGGAAGTGTTAGAGGTGGGCTGTGGCTTTGCTGACTTCAAATATTATGTCTTAAGTTTGATGTGGTTTGAACTGCTGATATAAATGTGAGATTTGCGTGTATGAGCTCATATTGTGATAAATTTTATGAGGATGTAGATCACAACAGTCTAGCCATACAATTATGTGGGTCCCTGTATTAAATTAGAATCTACCCAAATTAAACAATGAATATAATAGCAACATGCCATAAATTGGATCTTCTAACAGCTTAGTAATATGAGGGGAATAGAAGAATAAATTCTGAGGTGATACTTGTTGTACTTAGTCACTAAGAACACTAGAATGTTAGTTGAAGCTGATCATAAATCCGGTACCAGCTTAAAAATTTACTGTTAGTGATCATCTAGCAGTTAAGATTTAGCAACATTAGCAAAAGATCATTCTTTGTCAAGAAAACTCTTTAGGGATGACATTTGATATTCAACAAGTGTTGATGGTAATGATGATGGAATATTGTACACTCCAAAAGTTTTGGAAACAAATTTAGGATTCTGATTTTTATGCAGTTTAGCAAATTAATTCTTCAAGAGGTAATTACAAAGAACCTTTTATGTATGTTCTCAGTATACTGTTTATAAAGAAATTAGAAGGCACTACACTCTATATGAATCCATAGTGTGTATGTATGTGTGTGCAAAAAAAAGTGTGGATGGATATACCTCAAAATGTAAGCAATGTTCCTTTATTGTCCATCCTTCCTTCCTTGCTTCCTTCCTTCCTTGCTTCCTTCCTTCCTTCTCTCCTTCCTTCCTTTCTTTCTTTCTTTCTTTTTCTTTCTTTCTTTGTTTCTTTGTTTCTTTGTTTCTTTGTTTCTTTGTTTCTTTCTTTCTTTCTTTCTTTCTTCCTTCCTTCCTTTCTTCCTTCCTTCCTTCCTTTCTTCCTTCCTTTCTTCTTTTCTTCTTTTCTTTTCTTTTTTGACAAGGTCTTTCTCTGTCACCCAGGCTGGAGTGCAGTGGCCCAATCATGATGTGTATGAGCTCATACTGCAACCTTGACCTCCCAGGATCAAGCAATCCTCCTACTGAGTAGCTGAGACTATAGGCACACACTTAGCTAATTATGTTTTTTAGAGATGGGGTCTCACTATGTTGCCCAGGCTGGTTTCAAACTCCTGGATTCAAGCAATCCTCCCACCTTGGCCTCCCAAAGTGCTGGGATTACAGGAAGAGCCTCCGCACCTAGCCTCAGTGTTCTTCTTTGAGTGATGAGATTACTGGTGATTTTTATTTTCTTATTTTGCCTACTTTTATTTGGTGATGTTTTATATAATAAGTGTGTGTTACTTTAAATATATTTTTAATTGAGTAATATTTATCTTCAGTGAAACACACAGATCATAAATGTACAATCTGATGAGTTTTGATAAATGTATATTCTTGTGTTACCCAATCAAGATATAAAGCCCAATCAGGACATAACCCTATTAGTGATATATCCCCAATCAAGATATATAAAGTTTACATTACTTCAGAGAGTTCCATTCTTTCAGTCTCTTAAAAGAAGCTTCTGTGTAGATTAAGATAGGACACATACACACAAAAATTGAAACAGTTCTCTGCCTTCAAGGATCTTACCTTTTTGGTGAAGAAATGAGAAAAATAATAGAGAGCTTAGCACGGAGCATTTAAGGGTTAAATTATGTAGCTCAAAAGAACTCAGAGAAGAGCCAGATAATCAGGTAAGATTTTAAAAGAGCTTAGATCTGTTATTTCATTCCAGTAGAAAAGGTGAAAAGTTTACTAGACTATAAGCTCTAAAAGGTCAAGTACTATGTTTATCTTGTTCACTGTATTCTAAGTGTCTTACACATTGCCTGGCAGAGGATACTGACTCACTAAATATTTGTGGACTGATTAAAAGGGTATTATTTATTCAATTACTCTGTCAACAAATATTTATTTACTCTTCCAGTAAATATTTGTTAAGCTCCTACTGTGTGCCATGGATTGTGCTAAGCCCAGGAGGGAGATATGATGGTAAAATGATAGACATTGTTCCTAACCTCATGGACTTTACAATTGTATCTTGGTGGAAGACTGATACTGTATTAAAAGTGTTTTAGAGACAGATAGAATGGAACTGTGAGGGATTAAAGAGGAAGGCATGTGGTGAGCCTGCAAGCATATTCAGAAGTAGAACTGAGCCTTGGCAAATGATTGCCTGTGATAGATAAATGAGTAGAGGTATCAAAAGTGACTTCAGATCCTGGAGTAAGCAACTTGGTTAATGGTAGAACCACTTAATTTTTTTTCTTGCAGATCATTATGCAATAGAGGCCAAGATTATGGATCCACCATGGTGAGGGTCAGACATCTGTTGGCCATGGTTCAAACTATGGGTCTATAATGTATCCATCGTATACCTTGGGGCAAAGGCAATGATTTACAATGCTGGTGCAGGGCAAAATGGTGACTTGAAAGGATTTTTATTTGGTGCCCATTACCTGTTGTTCTGATTACCTTTTCTTCCTCTTGCCCATGTTCCTCCCTTTATTCCACTGACCCTCATATCCTTTTCAGGTATCTGATAACTCATCCCTACTAAGGTGATTACTGATCATTGTGGCTGTAAGGTGGAGACGCCTTTTTCCCACCTCCCAAACCCTTACATACCCGGAATGTTTGCCTTTTAAGAGGAATAGAATGGATATTAGGGGCATAAGGATGGGTCACAGAGCCAGTTGTTATGATTGTAATTTCTTGGTGAAGGAGTCTGCCCTTATGCCTGTGCCAGTTAGACCTATCCTATTGCTTTCTATTTCCCTATATTCTCTACCTTGCCCTTTTCCAGTATTTTTTTGTACTCTGTACATGTTAGTTGTCTTTATTCTGAATCCTAGCTCTGTGATCTTGAAAAGTTTACTTAACATTTATCGACCTCCATTTCTTCAACTATAATTGGGAGATACATCAATGTCAGTGGATTCAGTGTCTTCACATGGCAGTTTCTCAGGATTAGTTGCTTTTCCCCACCACACACTTATTGGATCCATTGCTGAGAGTTCTAGACTCAGGAAATCACTCTCAGGTATACTCAGCTTTTATAGACAAGCTTAATGGTACCACCTCATTGGATTTGAGAGGCATTTCTCTCAACTCTGTTCCCTCTCTTACTTGCCCAGTTTCATTTGTCTCACCAAATTGTAAGTGTATACCACTGGACACAATAATTATTAAGGAAGAGTGTACCTGGGTCTGCACAAATCCATTCCCACTGGGATCAAAGCAATTCAATAAGTCTCTGCACTGATTACCAATCACAAATGTCCTTGTATATGAAGACTAATCCTTAGTTTGAAGACTAATCCTTAGTTTGAAGACTACACATGTGAATCAAGCAAAGTAACCCAAATCATTATGTGTATGAATAATATATGTGTTTATCCAAATTAGTTAATAAGAGCCCCCCATTCATTCATTTTGTTATACATAGTTGTTAAGCACCTAGTATATGCAAGGGAGTGCACCAGGTACTGGGTCTACAGTATTGAATAAGACAGATTTCCAGTGGAATTAACATTGAGATGTACTTGAAACAACTAATTTCAGACTTAATTGCTCAATTGTAATTGTGGTAAGTTCTACAAAGAAACAATTACAGGTTGCTATGAGAGTTTATAGCAGGGGATATGATCAAGTGAGGAGGTCAGGGAGAGTGGGAGAGACTTCTGAGGAAATTACTGAAGCACTAAATATGAGAGCTAAAAGCATTTTGTGGAAAGAAGGAAATGTAAGAGCTCCCCACTTGTTTGTAAGAAGATTCTGAGTTTCCCAAAGCTGGTGTTGCCATCTCAGGATCTGACCCTGGGAGAGCTGATTTCAGCCTAGGGACTTCATGTTCTGAAGCTGAGATCATGAAGGATCTTCTCACTTGCTTATACCCAAAGGGAAGAAACTCACCCTCAGAAGCCAACCAACCAATTATAATTGAGGGAAAAGTTATAAAGGTGTTAAGCATCATTTAATTTTGCTTACCAAAGACATACACAGGCTACCCAGGAAACTGACTTCACTGAAGATCTGCTTGGGGACAACCCAACCAATTATAATTGAGGGAAAAGTTATAAAGGTATTAAGCATCATTTAATTTTGCTTACCAAAGACATACACAGGCTACCCAGGAACCTGACTTCACTGAAGATCTGCTTGGGGACAACCATTTTACACATCTTTGAGCTCACTCAGTCCTCTGTTAACCTTACAATGCAGATAAAAATCCCAATTTACACCCAGGATAACTGAAGGTGAGAGGAATTCAATAACTTGTCCACACCTGTACCAACCTTCATCCATCTGATTTGAAAGCTCATGATCTTTCAGCTACACCAAGCTACCCCATTGTTAGCATTTTGTTAGATGACTGCTGTCTTCTTTAGGAACAATTAGAACAGTAAAGAAAAGTTTGAAGTGTCAGTTATCCCTGGAACCAGAAAAATAATCTACTATGTTCCCATTTTTAAAAACTGTTATTTAATGAAGGGGATTATGAGTCATAAGCAGATCAATACTTTGACTATTTAAATTTGTGTATGTTGATATTCTAGTTCCCTAAGTTTTATGAGCAAAGAGGGGAAAGGGAAGTTAGCATGATTAGGACACTTTCCACAAATGGACTGAACCTTCAACAACTGAACAGAAAAATGTACCTTTAGAGGGTTAAGAACAGGTAATTTAGTTGTGTGAACTATTGTCAGCCTCCAAGGATCTAGGTGTCTTTGTATAAATGTCTTTGTATAAATGAAGCCAGTATTGGTGTTTGAACTTCCAAAGAACTAATGAACTAATGTGTTATTTAATTTTATCCTTATTATATTGGAGATCACATTCAAATAGTGCAAGTAAACCAAAGAGAATTCAAGAAGCTTCTGGGAATAGCTTGGTAATTGAGAAATTCCACTGGAAGTGTGTAAGGATCATCTCTTTTCATTTCATAGGAAAAACTCAAGTGACCCAAAAGCCACTGTTCTTTGGAAATAGAACAAGAAATAAATAAATAGACTGTTCATGTGCCTCTTTGCTTATGGAAGTTACAGAAATGGAAATCTGCACAACGGCTTCATTCCTTGCTGTTTGTGCATTAGCCTTCTCTAGGCTGGGAATGTCACTGACAAAAATGATGCTAAATAATTATATCAAGTACTACTTTAAATTGGTCCGGCAGGCTGAAGCAAAATGGTAAAGTTTTCTCCTGAATGCCACACGCTTGGTTGCGCCTTTCATTTATTCCTTTTCCCTCACGTGCACCTTGAGTGTCAATGCCGGCAAGCCATACCTTCTATTTATTTCTCAGACTGCTTTTCTTGGATATCCCCACTGAAAAGACCAAGGTCAAAGCTTGAGCCTCTCTGGCCCATATAATGGCCACTGCTGCCATGCTGTCCCCTTGTTTTCCTCTCTTACCCTCCAGTCTACTTTCCATAGGGCTGCCAGAAGTATCCTCTTACAAATTAATGCAATCAGGTTGCATCAATGCTGAGATCCCTTCTATGGCTTCTTGTTAACTATGGGACAAAGTCCAGGCTACTTAGCATAGTATATCATCTGGCCTTTGCTGACGTCACTGGTGTCATTTCCTGTCTCATAAAGTACTTATTCTCCAGGTACTTCTTGTTCCAACAATACTGAAGCATTTATGGTACCCAGCATGTCTGGCTTCATGGGTGTGCAATCTATGCTGTTTGAGAGGGTGCTGAGCTCAGAAGGGCTCCATTTCATTTAATGCTCTGCTATAACTATTTTGAACTAATTATTGCATGAAAGAACCCAGGTCTTCATGCTGGCCAGGCACAGTGGCTCATGCCTGTAATCCCAGCACTGTGGGACACTGAGATGGAAGGATTGCTTGAGACCAGGATTTTGAGACCAGCCTGGTCAACACGTTGAGACCCCATCTCACTTAGATGCCTTTGCATATGTTCCCTCTCACCACATCTTCATTTTGCACTGGGTCCTGCTGGCCAAACGTCATCTTGGTTCACTCCTATGTGTGTTGTTTCACTCCTCTGTCTGCCTAGTCTATCTTTCCCTTCACTCCGTTTCCTGTGCTTTTCTTTGTCTTCCAAACCTAATTTGAATACTACTTCTTTTTTTTTTCTTTGAGACAGTCTCGCTCTGTTGCCCAGGTTGGAGTGCCGTGGCATGATCTCGGCTCACTACAAGCTCTGCCTCCTGGGTTGATGCCATTCTCCTGCCTCAGCCTCCCAAGTAGCTGGGACTACAGGCACCCGCCACCAGGCTCAGCTAATTTTTTTGTATTTTTAGTGGAGACGGGGTTTCACCGTGTTAGCCAGGATGGTCTTGAACTCCTGACCTCATGATCTGCCCGCCTCAGCCTCCCAAAGTGCTGGGATTACAGGCCTGAGCCACCGCACCCAGCAAATACCACTTCTTTAGTGAAAGCTTCCCTGATCATTTGTCCCTCCATCCCCTACCACATTAATCACTCTCTCTTTTGTGCCACCCCTTTATATTAAACATGTATCTATTATAGTCCTTCCAAGTGCAGAATCTACCTTGAAGGGTAGGTGCTGTGAGGTTTAAATAAGAAAATACATGTAACATGCTTAGAGCTCATAATAAATGTTACCTGTTTTTATGCATTATTCTTTTTGGTGTTCCTGGAACCTAGTAGAGTGACTAGAACATTTATTCTTAGACATTTATTAAATACCTACTGTATGCTAGGGTCTGTAATGGCTTCCTGAGATACAAGGTAAAATAAGACATATCCTTTACTCTTAAATAATTTAACTTTAGTCAAGGAGAGGGATGAACCACTAATAATCATGGTCCAGTAAAAAAAAAATGCTAAGTGCCAAGTATTTCAAGAGCACAGAAGAAAGATATTGGGATCAGACTGAGAAGTTGAAGCTTCATCTGAATTATGCAGGATAAGTGGGAGCTACCTAAACATGGAAAAGGAGGAAGATTATTCTAGGGAGAGAGAACATATGCAAAAGGCACATAAGTGTGAAAAGTCTTGCATGTTTAGGGAACTACATGTCATTCTATGTGACTGGAGCAAATGGTGTTTGGTGAAGTTCTAGAATGCTAGATCATCAGAAAGGACTAGCAAATAGATTTTCACTCCTGTCTATTGGTGGTGGCTGTCTAGAACATTGTGTTGTGAAGGATTCTGAAGCCATGGCCAGTCTCAGCGGGAAATAGTGATGGGATACATTGATTCCCTTTGTTGTGGGGGCAGAAGAGGGGAGTGGGAGTCTGTATGTCATATATCTGCCATTATGATGGATTAAGTAGGGCCTCTTATTCTGTATTAAGAAGCTTGGATTTTATCCTGAAAGCTATAGGGAATTACTGAAAGATTTTAAGCATGGGAGTGACATGATCATATTACATAGTAGGTGCTCCACAAATGTTTGTTGAGTTGAACTGACTATGAATCCCACTTTACCTATTAATGATTTAGTGTATCAAATAGCACGCAAATGATCTGAACCCAGCAAATAAACTATGTATAATGGAGCCTATCGTGCTCAGTGGCTCTGTGCTAAGTGCTGGAAGAATTAGAATAACATCTAAAGGTGCTTAACATGCTCCCATGGTGTGGCTTACATAGGAAAACAGTCTGCTTCACACTGCAGTTTTAATCGGAGGATTAAAGTGGTGTTAATAATTTATGTAGCTATATTGTTTCATGCTATGCGCTGGAGCGATCCCAAAAGGAAGACTTCCAGGGGGCTTTTTGAACTTTTACCCTCCTGCTGGTTACATATAGTGAGAAAATGATTGGAAGAAATGAATTGCAATGTTTTCTAGATATAAATATATTAATATATTTCATAAATATTACTAATAGATCTTTTATTTGTAACTAGGTGGAAAGTGCTGTGAAATGTGGGTTACAACTGCAAATAAATAACCAGACTTATTATCCTTATTAAGAAAATAAATTAAAACCCTATACATTTGGCATTTGTTATCACCATCATTATCTTTTAACTGTCACTGGTAAAAGAATCTTGTGAGAATTTTGCTGGGAAAACTGTCTAGCCATATGTAGAAAGCTGAAACTGGATCCCCTCCTTACACTTTATACAAAAATTAATTCAAGATGGATTAAATACTTAAATGTTGGACCTAAAACCGTGAAAACCCTAGAAGAAAACCTAGGCAATACCATTCAGGACATAGGCATGGGCAAGGACTTCATGACTAAAACACCAAAAGCAATGGCAACAAAAGCCAAAATTGACAAATGGGATCTAATTAAACTAAAGAGCTTCTGCACAGCAAAAGAAACTACCATCAGAATGAACAGGCAACCTACAGAATGGGGGAAAATTTTTGCAATCTATTCATCTGACAAAGGGCTAATATCCAGAATCTACAAAGAACTCAAACAAATTTACAAGAAAAAAACAAACAACCCCATCAAAAAGTGGGCAAAGGATATGAACAGACACTTCTCAAAAGAAGACATTTATGCAGCCAAAAGACACATGAACAAATGCTCATCATCGCTGGCCATCAGAGAAATGCAAATCAAAACCACAATGAGATATCATCTCACACCAGTTAGAATGGCGATCACTAAAAAGTCAGGAAATAACAGGTGCTGGAGAGGATGTGGAGAAATAGGAACACTTTTACACTGTTGGTGGGAGGGTAAACTAGTTCAACCATTGTGGAAGACAGTGTGGCAATTCCTCAAGGATCTAGAACTAGAAATACCATTTGACCCAGCCATCCCATTACTGGGTATATACCCAAAGGAATATAAATCATGCTGCTATAAAGACACATGCACATGTATGTTTATTGTGGCACTACTCACAATAGCAAAGACTTGGAACCAACCCAAAGGTCCAACAATGATAGACTGGATTAAGAAAATGTGGCACATATACACCATGGAATACTATGCAGCCATAAAAAATGATGAGTTCATGTCCTTTGTAGGGACATAGATGAAGCTGGAAACCATCATTCTCAGCAAACTATCACAAGGAGAGAAAACCAAACACCACATGCTCTCACTCATAGGTGGGAATTGAACAGTGAGAACACTTGGACACAGGAAGGGGAACATCACACACTGGGGCCTGTTGTGGGGTGGGGAGAGGGGGAAGGGATAGCATTAGGAGATATACCTAATGTAAATGCCGAGTTAATGGGTGCAGCACACCAACATGGCACATGTACCCTAGAACTTAAAGTATAATTATATATATATATAAAGAATCTTGTGAGAATCTGTGTTTCTGAGAGAACACCCAAAGTGAGGTTGTTTCCTCAACACATTAAGTGTAATGGCCAAAGGCATATATTTCTATTTATTTTTCCTTGATTCCGAAGAGACTTAGGGTAGCATGAAACAATGCAAATAATACAGTGAGGAAAGTTAATTTAAAATAACTACAAAAGGTGGAACAAAGAGAATTTTTAATGTAAGAAAATTCAGTGGGATCTATGCATGAGATTAGTATACACCTTATATACATGTAACATGTAAGAAAATTATGTATCTCAAGATACTGAAGTCAACCAACACTTTAGGTCTCTCTTTTTTTTTTTTTTTTTTGAGATGAAGTCTCACTCTGTTGCCCAGGCTGGAGTACAGAGGTGTGATCTCGGCTCACTGCTGCAACCTTCGCCTCCTGGGTTCAAGCAATTCTCCTGCCTCAGCCTCCAGAGTAGCTGGGATTACAGGCGTGCACCACCACACTCGGTTAATTTTTTTGTATTTTTAGTAGAGATGGGGTTTCACTATGTTGGCCAGGCTGGTCTCGAACTCCTGACCACAAGTGATCCACCCACCTCTGCCTCCCAAAGTGCTGGGATTACAGGCATGAGCCACCATGCCCGGCCTTGTGTTCTTATTATGTACCAAAACCAAAACTGAAGTAATTAATATTTCTGATTTAATTTTTATAAATAAAAAGACTAAAAACAGATTTTTCAGATACTGCCTAGAAGTGATTAAAAGAATCACTGGAGATACTGAAACTAAAATTAAAATTTATACTGCATCGATTAATTACTTCCCTCTTCTTTATGGGTCTATCTGCTTTGTCTTTGTAGCTTTCTGGCATCATCCTCCTTTGACTTCCTGTCATTATAAAGGCTAACAATGGTCATAGATCAGGATGAAAGAGTTTCATCTTTGTGTAAATATTCTTTCTTGCAGTCACATTTGTGGGGTTGGGAGTAAGAGGAAAGAATTTGGAATGCAAACAACTTGAACTGACAGTGTTTTTCTGTATTACTAACATCTAGCACAGTTCCTAATACATAGCTGATTCTTAATAATTGTGAGTTGAAAGAAGAAATGAAGCTTCACAGAACTTATTAGTCCTTACAAAAATGCATAACCACTAAAGATGTATGCCAGTGTGATATCTTTATCATTACTTCTGATACTCAATTCTTAATTTGTATGGTGGTGTTACCTGAACATTTTGTTCTAAAAGCATCTAGACTACAATGCAACCCTAAGAAGAAGGTATGTTAGGAAGACAAGATGTGGAAATCAAAGAAAAATCAAAGAGAGAGCACTCAGTAATTCCTCTTCCTTTGCTGCTCCATTATTTATTATTTTCTTAATTCATGTTTTGTAAAAACAGGAAGACTTTTAAGTCCTCCAACAAAACTCTCCCACTCTCATCCAGCTGCCTCTTATTCTCAAAAAGGATTTTTTAGCTTCCATTTACCAAGTCTTTAGAACACTCAGAAAGTTTGGGAAAGAAAGAGTACACCACTGTTTTTGTTGTTGTTGTTGTTTCGTTTTTTATTTTTTATTTTTTAGTACACTTTGTGCTGGGTGCTCTGTTAGGTAATTTAGCAGAGATTATCTGATTTAGTCCTCACAGAAACCTTAACCGGTGAGTATGTTCCCAATTTATAAATCAAGAAACTGCTGCTCAGAAAGATATCCGGCTTCAAGGATTCAGCTGCAGGTCTATCCTCTACTGTGCAAGAGAGTAATTCTCCCACTCTCAAACCTTTGTGTTTGTTTGTTTGTTTTAATTGTTGATCAAAAGCTTCTATGCTCCATAATCATGAGGACTTAGTATTCCTCCCCTGGAGTAGGATTAATATTTATATTTCCAATGTATCTGGCATTAACTGTTACCAGTTAATCAATCCAGTTGGCCAAGTACTTTACAATGGTCTATTGTTTGAGCAGAAAAAGGAGGCAATGGCAAGTATATAGAATAAAAACTTTCTCTACTGTCACAGACATGATAGATCTCTAGTTCCACAAGATGACCATTAGAATGTGTTGCTCAAATTGCCAATACGATGATGATACTGATGATGAAAATGATGACAATAGTAATACACTCATTTCCTGAGCACCTAACATGTGCCTACGACCGTTTTAAACATTCCTATTGTCTCACTTGATCTTCCTGATAAAGTATGAAGTAAGTGTTATCGTCCTTACTTTACAGATGAGAAAACTGAAGCTCAGAGTTGTAATTTGCCACGTTCTGATAGTACAAAATGACAGAGCTGGGTTTGAACCGAGGTTTGATGCTCATCCCCCTGTCTTTAGCCATGATGCCACATAGCCTTCTATAATAACAACTAACATAATGGTACATACTATCACTTAGATTTTAGTTGTGCTTTCTTGTCTCTACCACAATTGCATTTGCTGGAATTCTTTTTGGAGTGTGTGTGTGAGTGTGTGTGTGTGTCTGTGTGTAGTAGGTGGTTGTATTTATTTCTACTTTATAGGAGAATTTTACCAATAATTCCATGACTTTAATACTCTTCATGCCCAGGATATGCTGGTTTGTTGTGTAACTTAATTTTTCTATAATTTATAATGCTCATTTCTGAAATAGTCTTCAGAATATGCTATTATCTCATTTTACTTCATTCATATATCTATGTATACATTTTTATATATTACATAAAATACATGTGCATATAATCTCATTTGCATTATTTTACCTTTAAGGTGAAATGGTGTCACCCCTTATAATCCAGTTTCTGCTACTTTTCGCTCATCTGATAGGTTTTGAGCCCCAACTGTAAGTTAGATACTCTGCTAGACATCTGGGACACCAAGATGTAAGGACATGGTTTCTATACTCAAGAAACTCATGATAACTCATTCTAGTTTATGTTTAAGGCAAAGATAAGATTGATAATAAGTCTGTGAAATAGTCCGAGTTTAATTTGTGGAATATATCCAAGTATTCCCCTTCTCCATCTTGCATAGAAACCCTACTGTGATATGGCAACAGTCTATAAAATGCCTATGTTTAGCATGCTACAATAAGAGATGCCCAATAGCCTAAGGATGAATTCTAGTTAGTTTCTGCTTAAAAAATTCCCCAAAGTCCTGGAACACAAGATGTTGAAGGGGTTCCAGAAACTAACAGAGAGATCACCTTTATAACTATTGGAAAATTCTGTTACTTTAATTATGTTATCCAAAGACTTGAAAAACAGACCCTATATTCAAATCCTGGCTTCTTCAGCTACTATCTGTATCATGTCGCTATGTTATACAACCCTTCCTGAACCTCAATATCCTTATTTGTAAAATGAAGATAGTAATGTCTTTTATTAGTTTGCTTATGTATTCACTCATCCAGAAAACATATTCTTAAATGCCTACCGCATCCCAGGCATTGAGCTAGACGCTAGATAAACAATGTTCAACAAGATAGCCACTGTTCCTACACTCCTGAGCCTTATAGCCTGGTGAGAGACAGAGGCTGTAAATGAACTGGGTGCTATGATGAAGAATAAAGTAAGGCAATCTGCTTTCAGGTGGGTAAGTAGAGAAGGCCTCTCTGTGGATATGATATTAGGCTGATACCTAAAGAATGCAAAAGACAAGCTTTGTAAATGGCAAGTGAGAAAAGTGTTTCAAGTAAAGGAAACGGTTTGTGCACAGGTCCTGAGCTAGTAAAGGAAGAGTTTGAGAAAGCAAAAGTAGCCTAGTAGATTAAAAAATGAAAAGCAGGGGGAGGGTGGTGGGGGGGCATTATCCTAAAAAATGAACATTGTCTACCTTAAAACCCAGTAATTTCACTCATGGTATATAACCTAGATAAATTCTTAAATATGCCTACTAGGAGACATATATAAAATACTCCTAATAGCACTAATCTTTGTTCATGATAGCACAAAATTAAAATAATCCAAACATGGACAAAAGAAAGGATAAGTAAGTTTTGGTGTATTTGCACAATGGAAGATTATACAGCAGCAAAATGAATGAATTGTAGTTAGACCAATGAAGATGAATTTTTTAAGTAAACTTTGAGATGAATACTGAGTGGTTGTGACCACGTCGTTGACCTCAAGCAGCAGTTGGCTTCTCCACATGGAACCCTGGATTGGAGACACAGAATCTCCCTTCCCACTCCTGTTTTTGGCTTTGTGAGAAACCTTCCCATCAAACATAATGGCTAGCAATGTTATCAACAAGTCAAATCCTCACTCCATGAACCCCAGAGTATTCATTGGGAATCTCAACACTCTTGTGGTCAAGAAGTCTGATGTGGAAGCAATCTTTTCAAAGTATGGCAAAACTGTGGGTGGCTCTGTTCATAAGGGCTTTGCCTCTGTTCACTGTGTTCATGAGAGAAATATCCAGCCTACTGTGGCAGGAGGGGATGGCAGAATGATTGCCGGCCAAGTTTTAGATACTAATCTGGCTGCAGAGCTGAAAGTGAACTGAGGAAAAGCCGGCGTGAGATGATCTGCAGCGGAGATGTATGGCTCCTCTTTTGACTTGGTCTGTGATTTTCAATGGGATTATTATGACAGGATGCACCGTGATCCAGCACATGCTTCTCCTCCTCCTCCTAGTGCTTGGGCTGTAGTACCCTCAAAACGCCAGCATGTATCAGGAAACACCTCACAAAGGGGCAAAAGTGGCTTTAATTCTAAGAGTGGGCAGTGGGGATCTTCCGAATTGAAAGGAGATGACCTTCAGGCCATAAGAAGGAATTGACCCAGATAAAACAAAAAGTGGATTCTCTACTGGAAAATCTGGAGAAATTTGAAAAGGAGGAGAGCCTACAAGGAGTAGAGTTGAAGGATGTGAAGACAGATGACGGGCCGAGCAGCAGCTCCGTGAAGTAAGATGAGACTAATGTGAAGATGGAATCTGAGGGGCTGCAGATGACTCTGCTGAGGAGAAGGACCTGCTGGATGACGACGATACTGAATGTGGGGGTGACCAACTGTAGATAATCAAGGATGATGAAAAAGAGGCTGAGAGAGGGGAGGATGACAGAGACAGCGCCAGTGGCGGGAATGACTTTTTTTTTTTTTTTTTGAGACAGTCTTGCTCTGTCACCCAGGTTGGAGTGCAGTGGCGCAATCTCGGCTCACTGCAAGCTCTGCCTCCCAGGTTCAAGCAATTCTCCTGCCTCAGCCTCCCAAGTAGCTGGGATTACAGACGCGTGCCACCATGCCCAGCTAATTTTTGTATTTTTTTTAGTAGAGACGGGGTTTTGCCATGTTGGCCAGGTTGGTCTCGAACTCCTGACCTCAGGTGATCCACCCACCTCGGCCTCCCAAAGTGCTGAATTACAGGTGTGAGCCGCCACATCCAGCTGAGAACGACTCTTAAACACATGATGGGGTTTAGAAATCCTATCCCATTATTTCTTTACTTAGGCGGCTGTCTAAGATCAAATTCCTCACCTGATCCTCTCCCCTGGTATCTTCAGCACATGCTCACTGTTCTCCCCATCCTTGTCCTTACCATGTTCATTAATTCATATTGCTCTGAGCCTAGTCTCATTATCACTTCCTTTGAGGCTCCTAGTAGTTTTGTTAAGTCTTACCCTGTAATTTTTGCTTTTAATTTTGATAGCTCTTTATGACTTATCGATTAAAAGGATGTATGGTTTTTATCAACTGTCTCTAAAATAATCTCTTGTTATGCAGGAGAACAGTTCTTTTCATTCATACATGAGTTCAGTAGTTGCTTCCCTAACTGCAAAGGAAATCTCATTTAGTTCAGTAGCACTGGAGGGCAGCTTTGAGTTGGAAGTATGTGGGTTATACCCACAGAAGTATGCTGTGTGGGGCAGTGCAGCGCAAATGTAACAGTGTATTTTTGTGAATGAGAGTTGGCATGTCAAATGCATCCTCTAAAAAAAATCAGTGTAATAGTCTTAAGATAGTTTTCTAAAGTTGATACTGTGGGTTATTTTTGTGAACAGCCTGATGTTTGAGGCCTTTTCCCCACAAAATAAACAGGCCCTTATTAAAGGAGAAACTTGTAGAAAAATAAATAAATAGTACTTTGAATGGAGAAAAAATTACCAAAAAACAACCCCAACTTACAGTATTATTTACTGTGCATTTAAAATAATCTTAAAATACCCCAAATTTAAAAATATTATAAAAGTATTTTTAGAAAACAAAAGAACTGAAACTCCTGCTTCTGGCCAACATGTTAGAACAGACAGCAAATTTACTCTTCTGCCTCAACAACTTGATAACTGGAAAAATACATGAAACAATGGTTTTTGGAAATTGGACAATAGGCAGAGCAGGACTGTAGTGTGTGAGTGAAGGAAAACAAACCAGGTGAGCTCTGTAATTGCACCAGCTTACCCCCTGAAGGGAGTTTTCAGGCAGTAGCACTGAAAAACTGAACCCCAAACAAAATCCAGTAGTAATGAAGAAAGCAGATTGGTGTTTGGGGAGAACAAGGCAGCCACAATTTACAGAGCAGAGTAGTGTAGAGGAGGGAGCTATACAGGAGAGATCTGGGGATCTGCAGAATGATCTATTTAACCCATTTATACCTGAGGTTGCAATTTTTTTTGTATTTGAAAAATCAAACCTTGGCGATGACATTGAGCAGTAGGATATAAATAACTCCCACATGCTTAGCGTTCCATTAATGGAACACTAGGCATAAGTGGGAGTGAGAGAGAATTAACCTGAGGTCAGGGAAAGACCTACCAGAAGGGAGTAGGCAGAAGAATTCCTGGATCTCATATAGGACTGAGAAATGTTCTTGCTTCCACAAGTCAGAGTGAACAGGTCTCATGATATATGCAGCATCAGTAGGAAACTAAGAAGTAAAACATCTTAATAGTCAGCATAAAACCTTACTAGAGGCTGCTGTGGACCCAAAACCACAAAGCTTAAAAGCAAGCTTGAAAGGATCCAACTGTTATCCAAATAACTGCATACCAGAAAAAAGTATGACATTATTAAAAGAATACAAGAAAATCTAGCCACCAGCGACATAAATTGACAATGTCCAGTATCTGAGAAAAAAATAAATAACCATGAGAATGCAAAGAAGCAGTAAAATAATATCCCAAAACATAGACAAAAACCAATCCTTAGAAACTGATGCAAAAATGATATCAATGATGAAACTAGTGCATAAGAATATTAAAGCCACTCCATATGTTCAAAAGGTAGAAGAAAATATAGCCATAATGAGAAGAGAATTTGAAAGTGTGAAAAAGACCCAAATGGAACTTCTAGAGATTATCCAAAGTAAGAAATTCACTGGACGAGATTTGTGTCTTTGAATTTAAAGCACATCTCAAGTAAAAACCAAATACTGAATCTTGCTTTTTTGTCCAGTCTGACAATACCTGACTTTTGATTAGAATATTTAGGACATTCACACTAAACATAACCATCAAGTGCTAGAAAAGTTAGGCCATTTTGCTGTTTTTCTATTCCTCTCGTCTTTTTGTTCTTGTTGCTCCTATGTTCCTCCTTTACTCTTTTTTGTGCTAAAAATTTATTTATTTAATTTTAAGTTCTAGGGTACACATGCAGGACGTGCAGGCTTGTTACATAGGTAAACATGTGCCATGGTGGTGTGCTGCACCTATTAACCCACCACCTAAGTATTAAGCCCAGCATGCATTAGCTATTTTTCTTAATGCTCTCCCTCCCCCAACTGCACCCTCCAACAGGCTCAGTGTGTGTTGTTCCCCTACCTGTGTGCACGTGTATGTTCATTGTAGCACTATTCACAATAACAAAGACATGATATCAACCCAAATGCCCATCAATGATAGACTGGATAAAGAAAATATAGTACATATATACCATGGAATACTATGCAGCCATGAAAAGGATTGAGATCATGTCCTTTGCAGGGACATGGATGGAGCTGGAAGCCATAATCCTCAGCAAATTCACACAGCAACAGAAAACCAAACACCTCATATTCTCACTTATAGTGGGAGCTGAATAATGAAAAATTTATTCTTTTATTTTAATTCCTCTTCTGACTTGATAGCTATATTTATTTGCTTTATTTTTTAGTAATTCCTCTAAAAATACCGTATGAGACTGGGTGTGGTAGCATGCACCTGTAGTCCTAGCTACTTGGAAGGTTGAAGTGGGAGGATTGTTTAAGTCCAGAAATTTGGGGCTGCAGTGTGCTACGCTGATCAGGTGTCTGCACTAAGCTTGGCATCAATATGGTAACTTCCTGGAAGGAGAGAACCACCAGGTTATCTCAGGATGGATAAATCAGCCCAAGTTGAAAATAGAGCAAGTCAAAGATCTGATGCTGATTAATAGCAGGATTGTGCCTGTAAATAGCCATTGCACTCCAGCCTGGGCAACATAGTGATAGCCCATCTATAATAAAAATAAAAAGATAGGCCGGGCACAGTGGCTCACGCCTGTAATCCCAGCACTTTGGGAGGCTGAGGAGGGCGGCTCATGAGGTCAGGAGATCAAGACCATCCTGGCCAACATGGTGAAACCTCGTCTCTACTAAAATACAAAAAATTAGCTGGGCGTGGTGGCGTGCACCTGTAGCCCCAGCTACTAGGGAGGCTGAGGCAGGGAAACCGCTTGAACCCAGGAGATGGAGGTTGCAGTGAGCTGAGATCATGCCACTGCACTCCAGCCTGGGGACAGAGCAAGACTCTGTCTGAAAAAAAAAAAAAAAAAAAAAAAAAAATGTGCTCCTCAACTGATACACTCAGATGGCAGAAAGTGAAAGTCTTACTGGCTTGAGGTGTCTGAGCATAGCCTCCACCCAACATATTGGCTTACCAATAACCTATGCTGGTGCAGGGGAAAGCCTAAGGAGCCCTCAATCACTTCTCCAAGGAGAAAACAAAAAATTAAAAACTGATCAGAGACATCAATGGCTGCACACTCTGGGAGAGTTTTGCTCTTGTTGCCTAGGCTGGAGTGCAATGGCTCACCGCAACCTCCGCCTCCTGGGTTCAAGCAATTCACCTGCCTTAGCCTCCCGAGTAGCTGGGATTACAGGCATGCACCATCATGCCCGGCTAATTTTGTATTTTTAGTAGAGACAAGGTTTCTCCATGTTGGTCAGGCTGGTCTCGAATTCCTGACCTCAGGTGATCCACCTGCCTCGGCCTCCCAAAGTGCTGGGATTATAGGCGTGAGCCACCGCACCAGGCCGAGGAGCACATTTAAAGGTACAGCAGACTTTCAAGTCTTTTCAGACTTTTAACTTTAACTGGGCTCTTTGGGATGCACACATAGCTTAGCATTTATCCAGAGATATGTGGAGATTTTATTATATCAGTCTTTCTATGGCTCTCTCAGGTCTGTTAATACAATTCTTCCATATTAGCTGTTCCGCCACCCTTCTCAAACCAAGACAACCACTTCCAGCCATTAAAACTGTAGGTTCTTGCTATTCAACATGGATATTTGCATAGGAATGCCCCCTGTGCCGTGTCCAGAACAAAGAAGGCCACAGACTCAGTCTTCTTATTTGGTGTGGTGAAATTTTCATGAGTAAAACTTCTAAAATTGTTACTTGACTTTGGTCATTTACCAGTGCTCCAAAATGGTTGTTGTTAATAATTTTGTCCAGCTTTATAATTGTTTGCTGTGGAAAGAAACTTCTCTACCTCTTCTCCATGCCACCATTACAGAAAGTAGAGTCTCCAAGCAGAAATTTTTTTTTTTGGTAGAAATTGACCAGCTTATTCAGATGGAAATACAAAGGACCTAAAATAGTCAAATAATTTTGAAAAAGTAAAACAAACTTACTCTACATGACTCCAAGACTTACTCTACAAATGTTATGGTATTGGCATAAAGAAACACATAAAGATTAACTGAAAAGAGTAGAGACGCAGAAATGGGCCCACTCATATATGGTCAATTGATTTTTGACATAAGTGCCAAGGTATTTCAATGTGGAAATAATAATTTTTCCAAAAAATAGTGTTAAAGCAATAGGCCCTTAACTTACCCCATACACAAAAATTCACTTGAAATGGGTCATAGACCTAAATATAAAAGCTAAAACTATTAAACTTATAGGAAAAACAATTTAGCAGATTATTGGAATAACTTTGAAGTAGGCAAAGATTTTTAAGATGGGATACAAAAAGTCATAAAAGAAAAAAATTGGTAACACTTAAAAATGTTTAAAAATAATATTTTAAAATTTTAAAACATTTGTTCTTTGAAAGACATTGTTAAGAAAATGGAAAGGCAAACCACAGACTGGGAGAAAACTGCGAAACAAATATTTGATAAAAGACTTGTATCTAGAATATATAAAGAACTCTTACAACTTAAGAAGACAAAAATCTAATTTTAAAAATGAGCAAAAGATATGAAAAGATACTTTATCAAAGAAAATATATTGATGACAAACACATAAAAAGATATTCGACATTATTAGTTAGTAGAACAATGCAAATTAAAACCACAGTGTGATATCCCTATATAGTAACTAGGATGGCTAAGGTTAAAAAAAAAAAAAGGAAAATTGATCATACCAAATGTTGATGAGGAGCACCCAAAACTCTCATACACTGCTGGTGGAGATGAAAAAATGGTGCAACCACTTTGGAAAAAGCTTGATAGTTTCTTATAAAGTGAAACATACACTTTCCAAACAACCCAGCAATCCCATCCCTGGGTATTCATCCAAGAGACAGGAAAACATATGTTCACATAAAGACCTGTACTTGAATAGTCAAAGCAGCATTTGTCATGATAAACTAAAACTGCAAACAACCCAAATGTCTCTCAACTGCAAATGGATAAACACATTGTGGTATATCCATATAGTGTAATACTCTTCAGCATAAGGAATGAACTATTACCACATACAATAGCATAGATGAATCTCAAAAGCATTATGCTGACTGAAGGAGGTCAAACACAAAAGACTACATACTATATGATTCCATTTATATAAAATCCTAAAAAAGGTAAGACACTAGTTGCAGAAATTAGTGTTTGCTAGTGGCTGAGGGTAGGGATAAAAATTGACGAGCGAAGAAGCAAGAGAAAACTTTTTGGGATGAAAGAAATGTTCTGCATCATTACTGTGGTGGTGATTACATGATGGCATATATGTAGCAAAATTCATTGCATTGTATTTTTTTAGACATGGGGTCTCACTATGTTGCCCCAGCTGACTTCAAACTCCTGGGCTCAAGAAATCCTCCTGCCTCAGCCTCCCAAGTAGCTGGGACTACAGGCATGTGCCACCATGCCCAGCATGTACTTTTAAATTATGTGAATTTACTGCAGGTAAGTTATCTGATAGCAAATCTGATTAAGAAAAAAATCAAGCGAGTGATTAAAAAAACAAAATTTAGGATAGTGGTTACCTTTGGAGGGGATGTAGGGAGACAGAATCTGAGGGATGCCCGTAAGAACCTTGAATAGTGGTGATGGTTATGTAGTTTTTCTGTGTGTTCAATTAAAATGTAAAATAATAGGGAGAAATGAGCAAATGGGGAGAAGAAATATGGACATATGTAGACAACCTTAGAAAATCAAGGTATCAGCTAAGAAAGAATGTGATGTTAAGGCTTTTGCTTGTTTTTAAATATAGGAGGTACTAGAACATGATATGCCAATAAGAATGACTTACTAGACAGACAAGGAGAGAGACAGAGAGAGAGAGAGAGAGAGAGAGAGAGAGAAAGGGAGAGAGAGAGAATAATGATTGAAGAAAAAAGGGAACCAAAAAGGAACAAAGTCCCTGGGAGAAGAGAGGATGGCTTCTAGAGCAAGTGAAGGGATCAGCCTTTGTTGGTGGGAGGGTCCCTTTCTGCACAGTAACAAGAGGGAAGAAGGAGAAAATGGACCCAGATTCAGTTAAACTTAGGAACTCAGTGGTGGGAAGATGAAGCAATTTTCTTCTAAAAATTTTCATTTTCTCAATAAAGTACAGCTGAGGCCATCAGTGGAAGTGGGGAGGAGTAGGAGGTTTGAGGAAAGTGTTAGAAATGACCATCCGGAGAGTACAGTGAGGATCTCATCATAGAATGCATGCTTAGTGCCAGGTATATAACATCCCTTCCTTCCACCTAGTGTGCCCACTTCAGCTAAACTCCTCTGTTGATTGAGGGTTATTTACTCCTGTGGCTGTGGTCTAGAGTGGAGAAGTGCTCCGTCAGTAGGTAATGAGTAAGAGTCAGCAGAGGAGGCAGCTGTCTTCCTGGCAGTCTCCTTACCCTGGATTGGTCATCAAAAACACTGCTGGAGATCTGTTTACAGCATTTTGCAATTCAAGAAGGGTAAGGGAGGACTTCACCCTTCTTTCAGGAGACCTGCAAGTTTCGCTTGCTAATTTAATGTTTCTAGGTAGGCTATTGCTAAGCAGTGTTTTCTTGGGTAGTTTCTGTTTTGGGCATTTGTACATGGTGCTATTTGATGTGTACTGAATTGATCAATTGATTGCTCATTTTATTGTGCTTCCACTGTCTGTGATATCCTGTACTATAACATATGTTATATATGTGTGTGTGTATACATACTATAATATATAATATACCATAATAGTATTTCCTACTTAGATAGAACTTGTGCTTTACCTTTCTGCCTGCCTGCCACTGAGATACTTAATAAATGTGGCATGAACTAATCAATAAATGAAAATGTATTTATCAAGTAGTTATTATGGTGCTTGAGAGACAGGCTCAAGTAGCAAGAAGTGCAGACAGGCACTGCCACCAGCAATCTGGTTGTTAAGACTTACACACATTAAAGAGATAGTGTGGTGTAGTATCAATGTACAGAATTTGGAGTTAAATTTGAAGTTTGTAGAAACTAACTAGATTCATGACCTTGAGTGAATTGCTTTACTTTCTGTGCCTCAGTTTTCTTGTTTTTTATTTTTATTTTTATTTATTCATTTTTTTAAAAATAGAGATGAGGTCTCGTTATGTTGCCCAGGCTGGTCTCAAATGCCCGAGCTCAGGTGATTCTCCTGCCTTGGCCTCCCAAAGTGCTAGCATTACAGGCATGAGCCACCACACCTGGCCGGTTTTCTTTTTTTAAAAAAGTAGGGACTTGGATCATAGTAAGACATGAATAAGTTAATACAGGTAAAATGACTAGCATAGTACCCAACCATAGTTAAAGCATAATAAAATTAACCCTGTCACATGGAAATATCTTGTTAATTAAGTGCTACATTTGAGGTGCAGACAGTCATTTTATCTCCTATCAAATAGAAACCATTGTAGTACATATTATCTGTATTAATTCATTTGGTCATCATAATACCCCTGTGAGATGGGAGGATTTTTATGCCTATTTTACAGATGAGGAAACTAAAATGTAAATACGTTAATCGACTTGCTCAAGGTCAGACAACTAGTAAATGGCAGAATTAAGGAATACAAACCCAGGCAGTCTTTTAACTAGATGTTAGTAATTGTAGTGATATTAATAGTACTACTAGTGGCTGTTGTAGGAGTGAGAATAACGAGACAGCACTTTGCTAGGGGTAGGATCTGAGATTGGCTTTTAAATATAGCAAGATTTCTGTAGGCAGAGAGAGAGATGACGTTTCCCCAAACAGAGGACAATCGTGAGCAAAAGCTCAGTCTGGGCAGGTGCAGTCTTGCTCACAGAATTAGGCCTTTTCGAACCCTGCAGAGGGTCTGCCTTATAGGGAAATAGCGTAAGACGGGGCCCAAAAGAATGAATTAGGGTCTGATGTGGCAAGAAGTAATTACTGATAAGGCATTTGCTTTGATCTGGGATTCCAGCCTGGAACTCGGGACGTAGGCTGGGGTAGAAATGAAGATTTGGGATTTGTGTGTGCAGAGGTGGTAAAAATGTCCTATCTTACATCCTTACAGAGCTTTAGCATTTGCCTGATGCTTTCCCATCTGACGTTTTGCTGATCCTCACAATAGCTTTATCACTGGGATGGGCAGGTAACTCCTATTAAGTGAGTTACCATGTGTGAAATGCCTGCTTCTGAGTGGGGACTTCATTAAGGTCACTTCCTTTTTTCATGGACAAGACAATGAGAGTCAAAGATGTTAAGTAACTCGCCCAAGTTCACGGAGCTTCTAAACATTGGAGCTAGGACTTGAAAGCAACTCCTTTGCTCTCAGCTGATTCAGTTTTCCACACTTTCCATGGTAAGCCCAGTAATTATTTCTAATACTAAAATTTATTCAACAAACAATGCAATTGAGCTCCGACTGTATGTCTCACATAGTATCAGGCTATAAGGATGCAAAGATAAATATGTTTACTTTTTTTTTTTTTTTCCAGACAGAGTCTTACTCTGTCGCCCAGGCTTGAGCACAGTGGCATGATCTTGGCTCACTGCAACTTCCACCTCCTGGGTTCAAGTGATTCTCCTGCCTTAGCCTCACAAGTAGCTGGGATTACAGGCGTGTGCCACCACACCCCACAAATTTTTGTATTTTTAGTAGAGACAGGGTTTCACCATGTTGGCCAGGCTGATCTCAAACTCCTGCCTGATCTCAAGTGATCTCCCTGCCTTCGCTTCCCAAAGTGCTGGGATTACAGGCATGAGCCAACGTGCCTGGCCTCCTTTTTTTTAATTTTTTAATTTTAATTTTTATTTTTTGAGACAGGGTCTGCTCTGTCACCCAGGCTGAAGTGCAGTGGTGTAAACACTGCTCACCACATCCTCGAACTCCTGAGTTCAAGGGATCCCCCCACCTCAGCCTCCCCAGTAGTTAGGACTACAGGCGCAGGCCACCACACCTTACTTGTTTACATATTTTACAAATATGCTCACAAACCATTGGGGAAAGTAGGGTTTACATTTTTCAAAACCTAGAATTTGGCAAGTGCAGAGATGATAGTGGGTACACAAGTGTTATGGAATGGGGGTGGGTGGGGGGAGGACAGCTTCACAGAGAAGGCAAAGATTGAAGTGAACCATGTATACAAAGTATGCTCTTACTCATGGTCTGAGTCTCACACTTAACTCTCCTGGGATATCAAGTGTTAGTAGATACACTGGAACTAATGAGCCTCCCACAGGAGAAGTGCAACAAAGAAGCAGGGCAAGTGGACACATGTGGCAGCCTGGGAGTACCCCCAGATCTCCTTAGAGAGAACCAGAATGGGAGGAGTGTAGTAGCTGACAGCCTGTAGCTGCTGCCCCTTTGGGGTTCAACTGCAGCATTCCTACTGAGGCGACACTCCCCAGGCTGCTCCCAGCCAATGTCAGAGCATGGCAAAGGTACTAGAGCCAAGCCATTCCTGCTCAACATGGGAGTCTTCTGACAAGCACTCTGCTCAGGAGCTCAGCAGCCTGGTCCACTCTTTCTCAGAGGTGCACAGCAACCTGGCACTCTTCCTAGCCAGTCCTCCTTTCCCCTCTCCTTCTATAGGTGGGATTACAGGTGTGCCACCAAGCCTGGCATAATTTTAGTGATGAGTTCTTACCATGTTGCTCAGACTGGTCTCGAACTCCTGGTTTCAAGGGATCCTCCCGCTGTGTGAGGCTGTCCCTACCTCCTCCTGATTCTCCTTCAACCGACACAATAGTGTTAGAGAGGGAGAGAAACCCAGAGTAAAACTATTGGGAAATGCCTTTGTTTCATAAGTGAGGAAAGGAGGAGAATGCCGCACATCATGGAGGAAGGGGAAAACCAGCAGAAACCCTGTGGCCGAGACTTCCAGCACCTTTCAGGAGGACAATTCCCAGTTGGATTCTAAGAGAAAATAAGAGTAATGAGAATGCCCACAGCTATATGCCAGGAAGACAATCAGGGCTAAAAATTTAAAAAATAATAAATAAAGTGATGATTGAATGAAGGAATAGAGATGGAGAACTTATTAGGGTATTTAAAGCCAGCAGCTGCAACAGAAAACCCTAAACTCTCAGGTGGTTTAACCTAATAAAAGTTTGTTTTTCACTCACAGCAAGACCAGTTCT
Organism: Homo sapiens; assembly: GCF_000001405.40. Taxonomy (NCBI): domain Eukaryota; kingdom Metazoa; phylum Chordata; class Mammalia; order Primates; family Hominidae; genus Homo; species Homo sapiens. The sequence goes on along the minus strand of NC_000001.11, from coordinate 67,649,294 downwards.
GGTCATGAGACCCTTCTCTACCTCGAGGTTTGTCCTTATAAAGCAAGAGTTTGCATTGATGCCAAAGAAGGGGAGGAGAGAACAGGGGATGGAGGTTTTGACAAGGGTCTGACTTGGCAGTGGCCTGCATCCCTTCTCCTCACACGTCATTGGCCAAAATCTAGGCACGTGGCCTCAACCTAAGAGGGAGGGTGGAGAAAAAATCTGTGCCTGAGTGCCCAGGAAAGAGGAAAATAACACAAGAGTGGGCAAACCCATAGCATTATCTCTGCCACATGGAACATGCCACCACAGTGTTTTGCAATTAGGAATGCATTATAAACCCACATAAAGGTTAATATATACATGGGGATGGGGTGGAGCATTTAAACCAGTCAAATATTTTAACAGACAGATTGCAAGATTGCAAGGAGCAAGGGAAAGCAGGAGGGATTGCAGGAAGTGGAGATAACAACGCCACCTCCAGGAATCTTTAGGTGCTGTCCACCCACCAGCCTCTGATCCCAGGTTGAACACTCCTCTCTCATCACTCATCTTGCCAACTGTATGCAAAGTGCTTGCTCTCTTCCCTAGGCTGTGAACTCTTCAACAAGGGGATGTTGTGCGCTTCATGTCTGTATCCCCAGCCCCCAGCACAGGGCGTGGCACAGAGTCACTGTCAATTGAATGAATAGAAAACATTCACCACTCTGGAGATTATGATTTAGGGGATCTGGAGTGGAGAACAGGTATCCATACTTTAAAAAAAGAGTTATTTATTTACTTAAAATTGTAAAATATATATAACATAAAATTTACCATTCTAGCTTTTTTTTTCTTTTTTGAGATGGTCTGGCTCTGTCATCCAGGCTGGAGTACAGTGGCATGATCATGGCTCACTGCAGCCTCAACCTCCTGGGCTCAAGCAATCATACTGCCTCAGCTCCCCAAGCTGGGACCACAGGCGTGTGCCACCACACCTGGCTAGTTTTTAATTTTAACTATTTTTAAGTGTAGAGATTTTAAGTAAACTCACATTGTGCAAACATCACCACCAACCATCCACAGAACATTTTTCATGTTGCAAAACTGAAACTCTGTACCCATTAAACAATAACTCCCCATTCTCCCCTCCTTGACAACCCTTGGCAACCACCATTCTACTTTCAGCTTCTGAACTGCACTACTCTAGGTACCTGCCATAAGTGGCATCATACAGTATTTGTACTTTTGTGACTAGCTTATTTCCCTTAAAATAACATCCTCAAATTCATCAATGTTGTAGTATGCGTCAGAATTTCCTGTCCTTTTAAGGCTGAATAATATTCATTGTATGGGCATACCACATTTTGTTGGTCCATTCATTGTGGACACTGGGGTTGCTTCCATCTTTTAGCTATTGTGAGTAATGCTCCTGTAAACACAGATGGACAAATATTTCTTCAAGATCCTCTTTTCAATCGTTTAGGGATTTCAATACTTTTTAGAAGCTCTTCAGGTGATCTAAAACACAGCTAAAGCGGAAAACCTCTCTTTTACGTATAGGAGAAGAAAGTCAAGGGGATGATGAGGGATTTGGGGGACTATGAAACAGTGCAAGGCTTGGAGGAGGCAGGCATGAGAAAGAGAGGGGAGAAACAGAGGACTACGAAGAAGAGAGGATGTCAGATTATGTAATACCTGAAGCTGACATGATGTTATCTGCTGACCAGAGCAGGGGAAAGGGAAAGAGAAGATTGACAGCATTTGCTGAAAGGGATCCAATTGGGAGATAACGGGAGGAGAGATGATCAAAGTTAAAAGACAAGTAAAGGACCTGGGGGCATTTGTGTGCTGGAGGAGAGGGGGTGGAAATAGAAGGAACTCCTTTTTATTAAAATGAAGCTCACTTGAGAGCAGACACTTAAAAAAGTTTGTGGCAAGTGGGCTTAGAAATGGACGAAAAATCATTAGCAGGCTCTAGGCTGTCCAGGCCTCACAGTGGACGTGTGGCAGGCCAGGGCTCAGGGCCCCAGGATAAGGGAAAAAGGGATCATGGAAATGATCCAGGTTTGGAAATGGGCCAGAGGATGTGGCAGAAGGTTAAGGGAGGAGAGGGAGGCTAAGTGCCAAACGAGTGCTGAGTATTGCATACCTAAACAAACCCATGCCCTCATAGAAATTTCCTGGTAAAAACAGGGAGAGTCACTGTCACCTACATAGATAACATTAAGTGTTCCATCAAATCAATCAAATTGCCTCCCCTGAGCCTGCCCTTGCCATGAGCCTCTCTATCCCTGGACGGACTGTCTTCCTAGCGACTGGCCACTTTCCTTATAGATTAAGATCTTCCTTGCTGCATTCAGAAACCAGAATTCTCCCTTTGTCCTGCCACATTGTTCCCTTACACTGCAGCCAGCAGCCCAATCCAGGGCCACCAGTAACAGATGTCTAACACCTCAGGGAGTCCCCTCAATGAGTCAATGGGGTGACTTTGCACTTCTAGAAGTCCTTGCCCCCCCTCCTATACTATGGCAGCTGTGGGCTGAAGTGACAGTCCCCAGTGATCTCATTTTGAGCTCATCTTTATTTTTTTTAGATAAAACAAGGTTTTTAAAACACTTGTCCTGAAAAATCCATTCCCATCATCCTCCCTTCCTCTTAGATGACCCAATATGTCTTATCGATCTGGAACTTTCTTTATCTGGTATCTAATGGCTCACATGAAGCTTTGTTCCTATTTCCCTGTGATGCTCCTTTTACCCTCAAGCCTTTGTTGGCATTGTTCCATCTCTTTTCATTGCCTCTGTGGGTCTCAGCTTTATCCCTGTATAATTGCTCAGACTACCTCCTGCCTGCTCTGAGAAATCTGTCAGTTGCTGCCTGCTGCTTGCAGTCTGTTATCTTTTACTTGCTTCACTGGGCTTTTGGCTGCCCTCTGGACATTGCTGCTGTTCTAGGACTAGATATAGATCTGTTTTTTTCCACATTTTATTGCCTTTCTCTCTCTCTCTGTTTTCCCCTCCTTGCAGGCATGTTAGAGGCTCTCCAGCAGGCAAACAGCCTAGGGAAACCACCATCCTACTGGCATCCTTGACATGTCCAAACTGATGGTGTCCTTCAGTTGCAAATGTGCAGGCAGCCAGGCAAGGGGCCAGCTGACTCTGGAGCAGCCCAGTCCTCAGAGGATATGGAGGCAATTAACTTTGTTTAATAAATAAAATAGCCTAAGTTAACTATAAAAAATGTGAGCCTGGGAAAAGAAGATGTACTAGGAAGCATTCTCTCATTCTTCCCTTTGTGCATGCAGGGGAAACACTTCCATGTGCCATGTGGCTTCTGACTGATAATGGAGAGTGAGGCCCTTCCAATGCTCTTCTTGGAACTGCCTGGAAAGTTTTTTGCTGCATTTCTTTTTTTTTTTTTTTTAATTATACTTTAAGTTTTAGGGTACATGTGCACATTGTGCAGGTTAGTTACATATGTATACATGTGCCATGCTGGTGCGCTGCATTTCTAGTTGGCTTCCACTTTGCTCCAGCTTCTGCAGAGCTGCTGACCTTTGATCCCTTCTGTTTGCCTCTAGAAACTGGCGTAGGCCCTTGGCTTCCCATGTTTGTACGTCAGCATGCCCTGGGGACTTAGGCTGCTGCAATTCTTGGCTGCCACACACTAGCTTTGGTTCCATTTTGACTAACCAACTATAGGCACTGTGGTCAGGCCTTCCCTCTCTGTCCAGGCCTTCAGAGACTACCACATTTGGGAAGTGGAGGGGATAGTAGAACAGAGTTCCAAGGAATATTTGAAGTACATTTGTCCCTAGGTGGCAGAAATGTAAGAAGGGAGAATTTTCAAGGAAGAAATGGAAAGAGATTTAGAATAAGTTCTTTGCAATCTGAGTAAAAGAAATATAGGGGGAAAAAACTAGAGCATCAGTAAAGTGAGTAAGAATACCATGAATCCAAAATTGGTAATTTTAATCCAAAATTTAAAAATAGGGATAAACATTGGATCAAATATTGAAGTAGAACCTGAGAATCTATGCGATATAATAATAGTAACCTAGACCATCAATTTGCAACTGGCTTAAGTGCTATTTAAGGTAAATACCACTCCATGATCAAGAGAGTGAGGATGTCTGTCTTTACTCTTTTATTCTTTCACTGACTTCTTTTATAGATATTTTTGAACAGCAGCCCAGTACCTGGATGTTGCTAGATGTGACGGAAGATACAAAGAAGAACACATGGGGTCTGCCTTCAACATAGTTAGACATATAAAAAGTCAAGTTAGGATAAAGAAATGAAGAGTGTTTCAAGATAGTATATGATTAAGTATCAATTAAGTAAGTACTATGGGCCTGCAAGAGGGAGTACCCCTGCAGGCTGGAGGGATCACAGAGGGTTTATGGAAGAGATGGGCCTCAAAGGAACCTGGGTAAGTCAATAAAATTGTAAAGGAAAAGACAAATTCTCATGCTTAGTGATGACTTACTGAGTTCTCATTATGTACAACAAACTGTAGAAGAGCTGTCTCAAGTAGTCTTAGGCTAATGTCCCCATGGGCCTAAGATTGCAGCTGCAACTCCTTACAGAGCTGCATTTCGAACATAAAGAAAGGGGCGAGGGCCAAACATGTTCTCCTTGTGAACTCTCTCCATTTAGGGAGAAAGTCTTTGAAAAAAGATTTACCCTGAAATCTCACTGGCCAGAACTAACTCTTATGCCTACCCCTAGGCAATTACTGGCAAAGGTTTAAGCCAATCGTGATTCTTCCCTGGGCTGGCATAGACTGTGCACAGCTTTGATAAGATCAAGGGATCCCCATTTACTAACTGAATAGAACCAGAGTTCTGTCTGGCAGAGAAGAAAGTGAGGATGGTGGATGAGTAGGCAGTGAACAGTGTTTGCCACATTTACCATTAATGAACCATGCCCATGTGGCTTCTACACTGGCTGTAGCCAGTCCTTGACCTTGGCCTTCATTTACAACTTGGAATTTTTTCCCTATTGAAAATTATTGTTCCTGCACAATGGATCTGACACATGCAAGGAAAGCAACTCAAAATTCCATCAGTAAATTCTTATTCGGAGATCCTTTGGTCACATAAGATTGATGAATTGTCATACCTTTATGTATTTTAAGTTTGAAAAATGTTTTAAGTTAGGTATCATTTTTATGACTCCTAACTAAACTAGCTAAAAATTAACCTACAGACCTCTAGTTTCAAGACAAGAATAGATAAGTCTTTAGATACATCCAGATAAGTTTTAGATAAAAAGGCTTCTTATATTGTAGTCGCTAGATATATTTTTTTTTTGGTCTTAATTCCTCATTGGATTGAAATCTAGAGGGCAGAGTTCAATGAGCTCTAGAACTGAGTGATCCAGTATAGTAACCACTAGCTATATATGACTACTGAGCACTTGAAATGTGGTTAATGAGATGGAGGAAATGAATTTTTCATTGTGTTTTAATTTTAATGTAAAGTCTGATTTTATTATTGAAAAACTTTTAAGTATATTTGGAATAATTTATGTATGGGAATGTCCTTTCTCAGCTGTAAGCTGTATGAAACCTAAAAAAGCTTGACTATTTCCGATGAAAACGTAGTGTTTGAGATGAGTTGTGTCATAAGTATAAAACATATACTTCATTTTAAAGATGTAGTATGGTAAAAACTATGTAAATATATCTCTTAAATAATTTCTTATATTGACTACATCATGAAATGTCAATACTTCAAATATACTGGGTTAAAGAAAATATACTACTTAAATTAATTTTACCTACTTATTTTTACTGTGTTTCAAGGTGGCTATTAGAAAATTCTAAATTACATGTGTGGCTTTTGTTATATTTCTCTTGGACAGCGTTGCTGGAGTATATACTGAGCACTCAAATGTTTGTTGAATGAATGCTTTGGTGACTTGACCAAGGTCACTCAGAAAGATTCAAGACTGAGTCCCAGGTTCCCTTTCTCTCCATGTCATCTTCCTTTCCACCATTCCTTGTGGCCTTCTGTATCCCATACTGTGCTTCCTGGTCACACTCTTATACCCACCTGCAGGACAGAAACTTTCCTCATGGAGTGAGTTTTACAAACTCTGAGGAGAGGGAGAAACATCTGTGTTGAGGGTGTGTAAAGGCAGCAGCTTATAGAAAATGGAGCTCCCTTTGATAGAGAGAAGTAAGTGATTTAGGATGCCAAATCTCAGATGACCCTTTTGTTTTATATTTTGCCATTGCTGGGTGTCTTTTCTGAGATCGCCAGTCAGCGCATTGAATGTTCTTGTTCCAACTTTCTCGTTTCATAAAAAGGGTGGTTTTACACTTCTGGACAGATTTCTTGCTATCCCCAGGGCCCTAGTGACACAGAGCAAACAAGAGCAACGTAGGCTGTCTGAACACAATGGGAGGAAAGCCGAGAACAAGCGGCCACCCACGCTGCTCACCAGAGAAGCCCAGCATTCCCCTGGCTCAGAGAGCAGTTGCTTTGTTAGACCCTACACCAGAAGATTTGCTCTAAACCCGCTGAGACCATTCCCCCAGATTGCAATACTTACAGAACAGCGCTGCACACTGCTCTTCATAAAACACGCACGAAACCAGCTGGGCCTGTGAATCATCCACTGAAGTGAAAGCGCTGTAATTTCACATTTCCAATTTTTGGTCCTCATGTTCAAGCTGAAAGTGCCATTATTTTTGCAGGATTTCATTCAATAGACATTCATTCACCAAATATGTATTGGATACCTGCTATATGTCAGGCAATATGAGATGCCAAGAAAAATAATACATGCTGATTTATTGGTCTATACTATATAACAATGACTTATGTAGCTGACCTATAAATAAGTTATATATTTATTTATCTGAACTATCATAGACCAAGAGAGGCACAGATAATTTTTAAGAGCATAACCCAAAGATGCATCTTTACATAAGAAGTATACTCACCATTCTGGTTCAAAAACAAGGTCTCTCTGGACCAATTTTTTGTCTCTGGCAGTGGCATTAAAACACTTGGTGTGATTCTAGGATACTTTCTAAGGAACTAATTAGAGATTATGGTTAAAGATGTATGTATACTGATGTCATTGCAGTGTTATTTAAGAGAGAAAAGAAAACTCTCTAAATAAGAGTGGTTTAGTAAAATTTGGGCCTGTCCTTATGATGGCAAATCATTACAAATCATGTTTTAAAGAATATTTAGTAATGTAAGAAAATAGTTCCCTTATATGCGAAGATTTAAAAGTCAGGATATAAAAATACACATTACAGGTGTTTTCCAGTTTGGAAAAAATATCTGTATACATATGCAGAGAAAAGACTAGAAGGATATATACCAAAATATTAGCAATTTACCTCTGAGATGAGGTTATGTATGGCTTTATCTTCCTATTTACATTCTATAGTTATAAAATGTTTAATTGTTCACTATTTCTGAAATATGAAAAAACAAACTTTTAATTTTTATTCATTTTATTTATTATTATTATTATTATTATTATTATTATTACCATTTTAGTGAGGGAGACTTGCCATGTTGCCCAGGTTGATCTTGAACTCCCAGCCTCAAGCAATCCTCCTGCCTTGGCATCCCAAAGTGCTGGGATTACAGGCATGAGCCACTGCGCCCAGCCATAACAAACTTTTAAAAGAAAATTGGTGCGGGGCCATTATTTTCCTCTGTGGAATTAATTTTTAAATTTTTAAAATACCTAGCCTCCCCCACTCCTCATTTCTATAGTTCCTTAAATAATTTATTCTGGATTTATCACACTTGACTTTATCTAAAACTTTTGAACCAATTTGTAACTGTCTATGACACATTTTGTGGACAATTAAATCCATAAACTTACCTCCTGATATCACCTGGGGTAATACTATCAACGTTTCTGGGTCATTGAGAAGCCTAGATGAAACGAAAAATGTGTGAAGTCTAGTTGAGTGCTTGGCCCATGATGAGCCTGTGATGAGCCCTCGCTACTGTTCCCTACCTGGCTTTCTTCTCTTCACAACTCTCTGCCTTGTCTAGCATTTGTTTTCTGTATAGTTAAAAATCTAGGCCAGGTGCGGTGGCTGACACCTGTAATCCCAGCACTTTTTGAAAGGCCAAGGCAGGTGGATCACCTGAGGTCGGGAGTTCGTGACCAGCCTGGCCAACATGGTGAAACCCCATTTCTACGAAAAATACAAAAAATTAGTCAAGCGTGGTGGCGGACACCTGTAACCCCAGCTACTCAGGAGGCTGAGGTAGGAGAATCACTTGAACCTGGGAGGTGGAGGTTGCAGTGAGCCAAGATTGCACCACTGCACTCCAGCCCAGGCAACAAGAGTGAAACTCTGTCTCAAAAAAAAATTTAAAAATCGATTGCTTTTTATTGTGGTAAAATATACATATTTTTAAGTGTACAGCTAAGTGGTATTAAGTATATTCACATTGTTGTACAACTATCACCACCATCCATCTCCAGAACACCTTCATTTGCCTGAACTGCAAGTCTGGACACTTTAAGCACTAACTCCTCATTCCCCGCTCCTCCTAGCCCCTGGCAACCACCATTCTATTTTCTATCTCTATGAATTTGACTACTCTAGGTACGTTTTATAAGTGGACCCATACAGGATTTGTTCTTTTTGACTGGCTTATTTCCCTTAGGATAATGTTCTCGAGCTTCACCCATGTGTCCGAAATTTCCTTTTAAAGACTCGATAATGTTCCATTGTCTACACATACCACATATTGTTTATCCACTCATCTGTCCATGGACTTTGGGTTACTTGCCCCTTTTTTGGCTATTGCGAATAATTCTGCTCTGAAAATGAATGTATAGATATTTGTTTAAGCAACTCTTTTGCTCAAAGGAGAATTGCTGGATCATATAATATTAGGTTGGTACAAAAGTAATTGCAGCTTTTCCCATTCCTTTTAAAGGGAAACATTTTTTGAGGAACTGCTAAACTGTGTTCTATAGCAGCTCTACCATTTTACTTTATATGGTATGATTTTTATGCATTTTTGTTTTTCCTAATTAGATTGCTATCTTCCTGAGATCATTTACCCTATGGCATTCACCTCTGAATCTCTCAGAGCCCCTACAAAATTGCCTCAAGCATTATAGATGCTCAATAAATATGGGAATAAAAGGTTTGTTTCAAGCTCCTGGAAGCTCATCTTCTCCACTCTCAGTGTGTTCCTTCTTCTCATCCTTATTCTTTCCTCAGCTCTCATATTCCATGATTTAGTAGACCTATGCTAATAATTTCCATATCTTTAATGATTTATAGTCTTTGGCCATGCAGCTGTTAAGAGCCTGGACACTGAGGTCAGGAAGACCTGGCCTCAAGGCCTGGCTCTACCACTTACCAGTTGTATGACCATAGGCAAGCTTCTAATCTCTTGTTTCGGATATTTTTTGCTGCATAATGAAACACTTCCAAACGTAGTGGCCTGATCAATGGCTATTTTATTATTTACTAGAATCCTTTGGGTGTACTGGGTCAATTCTTGTATTCCACATTGTGTCAGCTGGGGTCACTCACATGGCTGCGTTCATCATTGAGCTTGGCTAGGTTTCCAGTTACCAAGAAGGCCTCACTCACGTATCTGACACTTCATGTCTTGGGTAGCTGAAATTGCCGGGGGCTGGCTGGGTCTTCCCCTCTTCCTTCTTAGTCTCTCATAAAAATTGGACCCTTTTCTCCATGTGGCCTTTGTCCATGTGGCCTTTCTCTCTTAACAGGTTTTTCAGACTTCCTGACATGGCAACTGGCTTCAAAGAGAGCGGAAATGGAAGTTGCCAGCGTTCTTAAGACGTAAGCCAGAACGAGCATGTCATCACTTCCAATTCATTCTTTTGTTGAAAGCCACCACAGGCCAGCCAAGGCTCAACAGGAGGGGAAATAGACTCCAACACTCAGTGGGAAGAAAGGGCATTTGCATATTGGGATGGAGGAATTCATGGCCATATTTGCAGACAACTCATCTCTAACCCTCAGTTTCCCCATCTGTAAAATGGGAGATAATAATAATAGCTATCTTTGTAAGGCTACAGTGATGATAAAATGTAATAATGCATATAAGATGTGCACTAATTGTGATTCAAATTATTCTTATTTTATTATTTCTATTTTATTCCAAGGTTGATGTTTTTCAAGTTCATTTTGAAATTCCCTTCTCTTTCTTTATTCAAGAAGATCAACACACAGCTAATCATCACCACAAAGAGTACTGCAATCAATATAAGAATACCTACCCTCCCTGGTACAAGCCAAGGCTGGCTTCCCAGGAATCCTCAGGGTTTGCCAGCCTTTGTGCCTGTGCCCCACTTCCCTCTTGAGGTGTGGCTCTTGGACTGAAAGGGCGTGACCATCTTTGGGATCCACTTTTGAAATCCTACAGCTTTCTGCAATTTGTTTTTATAAAATCACATTATGCATCTTGAGAAATATTAATGCCTTCTCTCTTTGAACTTTGAAATTTCTTTCATGAAAGAAAAATAAAAAGCAGAGGTTATTAGGATGACATAATGCACTCACCTCATAATTCAGATATTCAAACAAAAATGATCTTTCTATGCTGATTCGGTCTTCCTCACCAAATCACCCCCTGGGGAGTGGGAGGAAAAAAAATATGCTCAAGAGTCAGCCTGATTTAAAGAGTAGTCTAACATGATCATTTAAGCAGTTCCTTTTAGATGCTGTACCATGTCTCTTGGAGAAGATGCTGTGTCTCTCTGACAGCCTTTCTTCCTCCTGGTTTCCTCCCTGTGATGGTTCCTGGGTCTAAGGGGGCTGGCATGGCTATTGCTGCTTACTGGACAGATGGAAGAGCTAGAGTCCTTGGGCCCTGTCCTTCCTCTGCTTTTCAGGGTAATGTTCCTTGTCTGCCTGCTTGCTGCTTCTTCTACAGGCATCAGAACCTGAAGTCCAAGGCTGGTAACTAGTCATTTCCTCTCTGGGTTTGGGAACGGGGTGCTGCCCTTGCCTTATTCAATCTTGGCTTAGCTTTTGTGGGTGCCATGGCTGCTCTGTGGCCTGGCTATGGCTCCCTAGCTATCCTAACCCAGACAGTCAGTGCTGAGCCCTCTCTCTGGGGCAACCCTACCCTGATATGGTAACCCACTGGCATTCTCCATGGCTCACCTCTCAGCCCCTCTGGGTCCAGCCTCTCTCTGACCACGCTGCCAGTGCCAGCCCCTCATTCTTTCAAAGCTTTTGCTTTCAGAAATAATGCCTTGGTGAGCATATTGTATGTGTCTGTTGCTTTCCAGGAATATATATAGAGAAATAAAATTGTGGGATTTTAGGTTACACACATTTTTATATTTTAAGATAGTCCCATATTTACCTCGAAAGTCACTGTTACCAATTTACACTCTATCTCTCCTCATGCTTGCTAATTCTGGAGATTAGCAAATTGTTTACAGAGTTTGTCAATCTGATGGTTGTTAAAAAGGTATTTTAGTATTGCTAAGCATTTTTTCTTATGTTTATTGACCATAAACATCCTGTGAATATCCTGTTCATATCTTTGACTTTTTAAATCAGGTTGGTTTGTTTGTTTTTTGTCTCTTTTTTTTCTTCTTATAGGTTGATATATCCAGGTGTCTTAGTTAGCCTGGGCTGCCATAACAAAATACTATAGACTGGGTAGCTAGACAACAAAAATTTCTCACAGTTCTGGAGGCTAGAAATCCAAATTCAAGATGCCAGAAGGGTCAGTGTCTGGTGAGGGTTTGTTACTTGGGTTGCAGACAATGCCTTCTTGCTGTGTTCTCATAGGGCCTTTCCTTAGTGTTTGCAAGGAGGGAGGGAAGGAGAGAGAGAGAGAGAGAGAGAGAGAGAGAAGGTCTCTTCCTCTTCTTAGAAGGCCATCAGGCTGCATGGACATGGTAGCTCACACCTGTAATCCCAGCACTTTGAGAGGCCAAAGTGGGAGGATTGCTTGAGCCCAGGAGTTTGAGACCAGCCTGGGCAACATAGGGATACCCCATTTCTACAAAAAACGAAATTTTTTTTAAAAAGGCTACCAGTCCTATTGGATTAGGATCCAACCCTTACGATCTCATTTAACCTTAATTACCTCTTAAAAGCCCTATCTCTAAATATAATCACATTGGGGGTTTGTGCTTCAACATATGAATTCAAGAGAGAACACAATTCAGTCAATAACACCAGGATACCATTCTTTTGCCTGTTATATGTGTTTGCATTATGTATGTGTATGTATACACATACACATATACATCTGCAAATGCAAATATTTTCTCCTAGACCATAACTTTTGTTAATGAAGTCTTTGTCATTGATAAGTTTTTACTTTTGATGTGTCAAATTTGTTCACCTTTTTCTTTGTTTTTATGACTTAAGAAGGCCTTCTATACATGTAAGGTCATGAACATACTATTTGTTCATCTATATTTTAGGAGAACTTGCCTATAAGCCTTTTGAGCCTGATGCCCTTGCATGGACTGGAAGGAGGTACACATTTAAATAACAGTTCAGTTTCTTGAATGGTTTATTAATGTTTTCTTCCCAAAGTTTGGTTATTTATATTTTCTTAGAAAATCCTTTTCGTCTGGGTCTCAAATTCCTTGTTATAAAATTGTGCATAATGCTCCTTTTAAGTGATCTTTTATATCTGTACATATCCCTTTTCATGCCTGATATTGCCTGTTAAGCAATAGGCAATATTGCTTTCTCTTTTTATTAACTATTCTAGCCAAATAATTTTTACCTTAATACAAGGCAAATCTGTGGTTTTATTGATCAATTTTGCTGAGGTTTTTCCTGTTTCATTAATTTCTGCTTCTATATTAATTTATTTCTTACTATTTACTTGGCTTTATTTTGTTTTGCTTTTCAATCTTTTTTATATTTCTAATAAATAAATGTAAGACTAGAGGTTTTTTTCTGGAAATTGCTTTGGCCATATTCCATTAGTTTTGATGTGTGTTACTTTCATTGTGGTCTAGTTCTCAGTGGTTTACTTCCTCTTTAAACCAAGAGGTCTTTAGAAGTGTGTTTTTATAGTTAAGGAGTATAGATTTTTTTTTTTGGCTCCCTGTTAATTTCTAAATTTATTGCATTCTGGCTAATGAATGTGGCCTGTATAAGAACAGTTTTTAAAAATGTGTTGTTATTTCCTTTGAGCATAGAACACAGTCAAATTTGGTAAACTTTGCATGTGTGTTTTTAACTTTTAATAATGGCATAATATTGAATGTTTTTACCTTCCAGTGTTGTAGCTTCTGAGACAGGCAGTTGCATTTGGTAGCAAAACCATTATTGATTCATTTAATCAAAAGGTATTTATTTAGTGCCTGCATGGTCTTGGGACTGTAGGTTGACAGTCTGGTCAGAGAAGCAGACACAGATTACAGTAAAATAATGGGCTGAAGAAAATGCATTTGATTCTCTGAGTGTGTATCATAAAAGACCATGGGCTAGGGAAAGGTTCTCTGCTGTTTGAACAGAGACAAAGGGTGAGTGGACGTTAACTAAGGAAAGGGCTGGGGAAGTGCGGAGAAGAGTGTCCTAGGCCAAACAGCGTGGCGTGGAGCCCTGTGTACAACACGAACAAGGTGTGCTGTCCCAGAAGTGCCAGCCGGTCAACGTAGCTGCAGCTCCCCAAGCAGGGTGTTTGTGGTGCAGAAGGAAGCTGGGAAGTGTGTGTGTGTGTGTGTGTGTGTGTGTCTGTGTCTGTGTGTCTGTGTGTGTCTGTGTGTGTGTCTGTGGCGCGCACGGCGGGAGAGAGGGTGCAGAATACGTAAGGCCTTATAAAGAATTTGTGTCTTTCTTTAAGAAAAAGGAGAAGTCCTTAAAAGAGTTAGGTAGGCTCACAGGATCGTATTTGTGGTTTTAAAGGGAAACTTTGTGAGGAACTCTTAATGTTTGTTTGCTCTGAGGACTTTTTTTAATTCGTTGATGGTGTACATAGAGAGGTTCTATTTCCCGTCTCTCTCCCTGTCTTTAGTGAAGTTGACCTAGTTGTGTGAAGAAAATCATTACCCAGTGCATCTTCTATTAACAGCCTGCAAATTACCCTGTGCCTCTGGAACCAAGTCTGCACTTGTTGTAGATTAGAATAATGATAACAACAATTACATAATAAGAAGATGAGTAACAGCTATCTTTTTTTTTTTTAGCACTTCCTATGTGTCCTAGCTCTGTGCTAAGTCCTCTACAAGTTTTATCTCATTGAATCTTCACTACAACCTTAGGAGACTTTTTTTTTTTGGCTACTGCACATGTCAGTCACCTGCACTCAACAAACAGGTTGCCCTCAGTGGCTTTGATTTGCCCAATATGATTATCCTCAAATACACACACACACACACACACACACACTAGTGTGCACACACACACACACACCTCTGACTGCATCAGGGATGCACCCGGGGCCCAACAGCAACCATTGGCAAGCCAGCAGTTCATAGGGTATCAAAAAACAAAACGCTTTATCCACATTAATTCTTGCTTTTAGAAAGTTCAAGTTGAGAAAATAGAGGAAACCTGTTTTCCTCTATTTCACCGTAGAAACTGAAGTTGAAAGATGAGAAGCCAGAGAGTCCATGGCGAGCCTGAGTGCGTTGAGGTCATGAGTTAAGTCATGGATGTGAGTAAGCCAAAGCCATGAGGGAGAGAAAGGATACCTGGGGTGAGGGAGAGAAACTACTTCATGAAGGAAAGAGAAGCAGATCAAGGGGAGGCCAACACTTGGAGAGTGGTATTAATAGTCACATGGGTGGTGAGCACTAGAGTAAAGATCCACACATTCCTGCCCTGGGGCCCAGTTCCAGTCTCTGAAAGGCCCCCATGCCCTGCTCCGCAGAATGGTTCCTACTCTCAGCTTTCATGGGATGCCTAACCCTCATGAGGCCTCATCAAAACCTCATTACCAGAGTGAGCCTAAAAGAGTCTCTGCTCCATGGGACCCCAGGGACAGTGTTCCCATGTCCAGATAAAGAAACAGATTCAGAGAGGGAAAGTAACTTGCCCAAATTGCCACAGCTAATTGGCAGAGCAGAAACTTGAACTAAAATTAGTGTGATTCTTTTTTTGAGACAGGCTCTTGCTCTGTTGCTCAGGCTGGAGTGCAGTGATGCAATCATAGCTCACTGTAGCCTCAAACTCCTGGACTCCAGATATCCTCCCTCCTCAGCCTCCCAAGCAGCTGAGACCACAGGCGTGTGCCACCACACAGGCTAATATTTTCTTTTAGAGATGAGTTCTCACTATGTTGCCCAGGCTGGTCTTGAACTCCTGGGCTCAAGCAGTGCTACCACCTTGGCCTCCCAAAGTGTTGGAATTACAGGCATGAGCCACCATGCCTGGCTCACTTAGTGTCATTCTAAAGCCCTCATTCTTAAACATACTGTTTATTAAAGCAGCAGAAATTATCTGCTCAAAAATATTTGCTCAGTCTATTAACTTCTCCTTACCTTGAACACAAACACAAGGGACATACGACTTTCATATCAATAAGCCAAGTTATTTGGCATTATTGACATGTTGTTAAATCTTACAGCTTAACAATCTTTAACATAAGAGGACTATTGCTTTTGAGTGGACTGCACAAAAATAGTTTTTCCACCTAGTCAGCTATGGGGTGGGTAGGGAGTGAGAAGCAGCAGGGATACTTTAGGAGATGATAGGTTTATATAGTTTTGTCCAAGAACTGGTTAAAGCCTTGCAGGTCTGGGACCTGATTATCCATTCACTCAGGGAGTGGTCCTGGGAGAACTGCGTTATGCAAAAGAAACTCCCAGTAATCATTAGGAAGTAGATTGCTGCATATCTAGTTTTCGGTAGTGGAGGAACAGAGCTGGGTGCCTAATCAACTCTAATTGTGGTCCTCTACGTAGAATGTTCTCTCCCAAGTGCAGTGGCAAGGGGAGTGAATTCAGAACAATTTTAATGAGTACCTAGAAAGTATGAGGCTTCATGCCTACAGAAAGCGTAAAGGTCAGAACGATAGTTATACAGGCCTGAAGCAGGTTGCTTTCACTGTGACAGCAGGAAATCTCTGAGGCTGCAGCCTCCTGGTAAATACAACAGCCCTTTCCCTCCAGAGATCCTCTCTCTGTGTGTACATGCCTCTCCTGACTTGCCCTTGCCCCAGGTCTTGTGCAGAGGACAGAGGGGACCCTCATCTTTCATGTCGCTTCCCAGCAAGCCCTTGTGTGTCCTGTGCCAATTGCAGCTGAAGATATTTCATTTCCTGATATTTGCCAAATCACCTTTTACCTAGTTCCTGATATTTATTCTGTCAAGATGGGGCACAGCCATGACCCGAGAGACCAGACAGACCCACACAGGCAAGACCGATTAGGCAAAGCCCAGTAAGATGCAACAAACCCCAGTGGCATGTCCCATGAGGGTTGGCAGACTGACAGTGTCACAGAGTCCAATAGCAAAGATCAAAATCAGCCCTGAGGGCGGCCTGAGTTTCCCCAGATCATCACCTGTATTCATCTTCACTATCCCTGTATCCATATGTCCGCTAAACCATTACAGAACACTTCTTTTTTAAAAGTTCACTTTCGAAATTAATTAAATAAAACTTTACATACTTATAGTCTATGAAAAATGACAACCACTTATCAAAATAAAAGAAAGAAGCTTTAAAAATAGATGTAACGATTAGGGTAGAAATCGTTTGTCGACTTTTCTTCTAAAACCGCAGCTCATTGCCACTGGGGCCTGCATCGCCTTGGCCTGGCTTGGGGCTGGAGTGTCTAGGCCTGACCAAGAGAGTCAGCCCTGCTTGTGGGTCCTGTTTCCACCACATGTGGTTGAGAGACTGCGGAGAGGTGACTGGAGCCTGCTTGGGCCTCATTTCCTTCCCTGTCAACTGGGGATAACAATAGCACCTGCCCCTCAGGGCTGCTACAAAGACTGGATGGAATATTGCAATGCAAGCACTCAGCATGAGGCTGTGCACATATTACACCCTTTGGCAGTGCTGTTCATTTTTCCAGAGTTTTCCCTGTAAGTGCCCTTGTGACTATCGATCACAATCTGTATTTGGGAAATGTGGTTTTTATAGGTAAGACCACAGTTCTATTTGAAATAGAAGGCTTCTAAGAAACGGTGAGAAAGGTGTAATTATAGTGTGAATATAGCTAAGGACGAGAAATAGTAAACTAGAACAATGGTCCATAGGGATCAATTAGCTAAAACAAAATGCTTCTTTATGAAGAGAGCCCAGGCCTGCCTCCACCAGAAGGCATTGGCCAGGTTCTTCCAGCACAGCTCATCACCTCAACAGCTCTTCAGAGAAACTTTAGGTTATTAACAGCACAGGCTAGAGGCAAATCAGGTCTGTTTGAGTCCAGAGTCCAGAGTTCTCTGCCCCACCTGGCACAGCATCAGCCCTAGGTCAGGGATTCCCAGGTGCAGCCAGAGGTGTGGCTCTCCGCAGTCAGGACCCCTCCCAGCCAGACAGAGAGTGCACTTTATGACAAGTTCCCAGGCTCTGCACAGCCACCTGCCTTTATTCTGCCATGGAATTTTCCCAGATGAAACATCCACTTCCTATACACCTAGTGCCTGCCGCCTTGACCTCCTCTCACTTAGATCCATTTCCTTGCCTTCTCAGTACCCAGCTTCCCTCTACACGCCCAGAGTTTATTCACAGTGTCCTTTCACCCTTCTTCCAGGACACTAATCTACCTTTCTCCTTTCCTCTCCTTCCCTTCCATCTTCTTCCCTCTCCTTTCCTATCTCTCATTTTCTTTCTTTCTCTCCCCTCCTTTCTTTCTTTCTTTCTTTTCTTTCTTTCTTTCTTTCTTTCTTTCTTTCTTTCTTTCTTTCTTTCTTTCTTTCTTTCTTTTCTTTCTTTCTTTCTTTCTTTCTTTCTCTTTCTTTCTTTTCTTTCTTTCTTCTTTTCTCTCTCTCTTTCTCTCTTTCTTCCTCTTTCTCATTCTTTCTTTCCCTTATTTCTTACTTTCTTCCTGCCTTTCTTTCTTTCTCCACAGGGTCTCACTCTGTCACTCAAACTGGAGTGCAGTGATGCAATCACGGCTCATTGCAACCTCAAACTCCTCAAGCAATGAGGCTCAAGCAATCTTCCTGCCTCAGCCTCCGAAGTCACTGGGATTACAGGAGTGAACCACTACAACTGATTTCTCTTTCTTTTCTTTCTATCTCATCCCACCTTCTCCTTCCCTCCCTCCATTCTTCCCTCCTCTCCTCTCCTTTCCTTCTTCATAAATGTTTATTGAGCTCTTCCTCATAGGCTAGGCATTATGCTAGGACTTACAGTGGTAATGGAATCCTTGTCCTTATGGGATTTTTAGTCAAAAATGGAAGACCAACACTAACAAATAATTACTCAAATAATTAAATTATACCAGCCACAATACTGTAAATAAGAGATCTAAGTGGGCCATATTCTACAGAACTCACTGGACACTTTCCACATCTGATTGTCTTATTGCATGTACCACATTGTGAATACCTCAAAGAGCAGGGAGTATGGCTGCTTTGCATTGTGTCTCCAGTGTCTAGTACAGAGCCTGGCATATACATAGTGTGCTCTCAATCATTATTTGTGACATAAACAAATAAGACACTTTAAAATATAACTAGTGTTAGTGCTAATATGACCTGGGAGTCATGAGGGGAAGTCAGAGGTGGCAAATCTCCTCTTTCTTCATCTCACCTTTCCCCCTTCCTACCAACAGCCAAATAGATGCCAAAGGTGTGACGTGTCATGGAATGGATGAAGGCCAAGTGTTATCCTAGATTCTCTGCCCTTAGCTCTCCCCATCAGGAAACACACCCAGGAATGCTCTTCTACAAACCCCTGGCTTTCGGAGAAATAAGGGGACAATCACTCTGCCCAGTTTGTGTCTTCTTTGGCATGGATGCATTTTCACTCCCCTCACCATGGCTGGATAACTGTCTTCCAATTCACACCCACTTTGGGATTTTTATTCTGTCCACTCAATTATGTAGGAAGCAGCAGATTATTGAAAATCATGTAAATATGATCAGAAACTAGTCAGAAAATAATCAAATATGAAAAGAAATGAGTCAAAAATGGGGAGTGTGACTTTGGTAGTAACAGAACAGAGAAAAGAGTCAATATATTTACTCCATCACATTTTCACTTCAAACAGGGAAATAATAACGTATTGAAGGATGGGAGGAAACAAATGAACAAATGAAACAAAACCCTCCAGTTATAGCAAAGGCATCATTTTAGAGCTGAGTGGTGAAGGATCAGAGTACCAGCATCCGTCTTCCTTGTTACCAGGCCCTCAGGAAGGTGTGCAGAAGCCACAGGGGGTGAGGAGGCCACAAGAGAAGCTTGGACATCATGCAAAGAGATGGCAGGCCTTAAGCTGTCCTTGGATTTGACTTGGCTCTGATAATAATTTGTCCAACTTGGCAGTGATATGACAATAAATTCCATGGATGTGAACAGCACAATGCATGCCAAGAAAAGTTGTTTTTTGGCAGAATTACCCTCATTGTTACTGTGTGCTGGGCAAAAAAAAAAAAAAAGTGCAAGAGATTCAGCATCTCTAACTTTCTTGCTCAGGACACAGTCATTTCTTTTCTCCCCAATACACAGGGGAAGGAGGCTGGTGAGGTTACCTTCAACACACTGTGTGCATCCCAATGAGCATGTCAGAGCTAAAAACTGATGGATGCTCAGCCCACTTTAGGACAGGCAATAGCTCAGTGTGCTAGCTCATAAACTGAGAACTTTATCTTATCAAGGATATTAGTGACCTCCCAGTCAAAAGCCCTGAACTAGTTCAACTCCACTGCTTGCAGGGTGAGACTGAAGTCAAGACACAGGAAATGACTTACTGAGAAAACATTACTAAGTTAGCAGCAGAGCCATGAACTGCTTACCGGGTACCTTCTTTATTGCCATTGCCTTGCTGGTAAGTGCTCAATAAATGTTAGCCATCATGATCATCATCAATATCATTATTACTTTTATGTGCTCATCACACACCCTGTGGCAATTAGATGGCATTTTCCCACTTTGTGAATACAGAAACCAGGAAATTTACCCAGGGTCCCACAGCTAGCAAGTGTCACAGCAGGCCTGGAACACAGGTGTGCTGACTCTACCTCCAGTAGTTTTTCCAGCCCTCATCCTGACTGTCCTGTGATCTGTGTATTGTGAAGCTATGAGTCCAGAAAGACCCTGTAGATGCAAAAGTCTAGAGAATAGCTCTTCCAACACTGTCTTCATAGAAGCTATGCTGTTGGGATGCTCCACAGCAGACAACATAAAAGTTCTCTTCAAAATGAGCATTTTCTTCCTCTCTGTTGAGTGCACAATGGGAACGGTGCTGGAAAGCATAAGCAGTTCAGCCATGATGCTGAAGAGGTGGGCAAAGGGCAGGTTCCAGGAGGCCCCATGTCATAACAAGGTGCTTGGGTTTTATCCTACCAGCAGAACCTTTGATGGGGCTTAAGTAAAGGACACCGTGGCAAAAATTTGCGCTTGAGATATTTCACGCTGGCGGTTGGGTGTAGGATGGATTTGAGAGGATTGGAGGAGAGGCAGAGAGAACTGAGAGGAGGCCGCAGCTTAGGTGAGGTGGTCTGAGGAAAGGAGTAGAGGGGCAGATTCAGGATTGACTTGAAATCAAGATGAAAAAGAGGGAAAAGGTGAGTCTCCAGTTTTTAGCTTTGATGACTGATTGGGGTAAGAGTAGAAGAAGAAGAGTTGGATTGAGGGCAAGATGAAGAGTCCTGCTTTAGACATATTGAGATAGAGGGGCCTAAAGGATATTTTATCCTTGATTCCCTCAAAGGAAGGCCTGGGACAAAGGTTTTTGCATGGGTCATTTATCTGGGAAGTGATCCCAAGAACAGGAGAGAGGGATCAGGGAGGGTGGGATAAAGGAAAATGGAAAAATGGAAAGCCAGTAATGGATGTGTATCATATTGGTCACTGCCACAGGACAGTGATGCTGGACCCCTGGGGCCTCCAAGAAGCATTTACGCTGCATTTCAGGACTGTCCACCTGAGAGAGATAAGAGGGAGAAGCGGTTATCCACTGATTCTTGTACTTCAGTAATCCTGATTCCACATGAAGTGTTATCCCAACCCCCACCCCCAATCTGGGTTGCACACGCCCAAGTGTTAGGCATTTCCACAGGCAACCAGAATGACTAGGCATCCAGGGGCATCAGAGAAGCCCCAAGGCACGAAGCGTGGTCTAAGCCAATTGTTGAAAAAAGTTACTGTCTGTGTAAATTGAGTCATAGCCAGGGTAGAACCGCTTGCCAGAGCCACTAATGGACTCAGAAATGAGGCCAAGAGGATATGAGAGGGTGCATAAGAGACACCCAAGTCATGGGACCTCCAGGTGGGTCTGTCCAGGTGGCACATATGTAAATCATCTAAAGTTCTGGAGAGAGACTGGGGCTGGAGACAAAGATTTGGCAATCATCAGTATCCAGGAGGTTGTTGAAACCATGAGGAAAGTGTGTCAAGTGCCCAGAGCAGTGAGCTGAGGAGGAATCCTGGAGGACCCTGAAGGACTGAGCAGAGGAAAAAAAGCCCACGGAGGCACAGGAATGGCCAAGGAGATGTAAGCAGAACCTGGAAAGGATGGTGCCATGGGAGCCAAAGTAGTAGCAGGTGACAAGGAGATTAGCTGAAGGTCTCCAGTGCATCACACCATAAAAAAAATCCCACTGCGTTTGGCAATCAGGAGGTCTTGGGTGCCATCACCGAGAGGAAGCTCAGTACAACTGTGGTGTTAGAGGTCAGAAAATATTGGCCTGAGGTATGAATGGGAGGTAGAAATCTGAAAAGAATAGTGCACCCTGCTTAGTCACAAGGACTGCCCTTGAACAGGATGAGGGCAGTGAAGGCATGAGCACAGGGACAGAGAGAGGGCAGATTTTAGGTCAGAGAGTGAGGCACTGAAGGGGATCAGGCAAAACAGCCTTAGTTTTCTTGGTGAAGCAATATTCTGTGCTGAAACTGTAGTAGTACGTGAACTAGAACTGGCCATCCTCCTTCTCCTGCTGAGAGCTTTCAACCTGAGGACCGCAGGAGAGAGTTGGGCTAGTACTCAGTTATTTCTATCAGTCATTCAGTCAGACAGTCCATATTTACTGAATAGTAACAATGTACAAGGCCTTATGAAACTGGGGACAATACAAGATGACTGCGATTTATTCCCTACTTATAAGGAGCTTTCAAGCATAGGTCCTGGGAATTTGTTACAAACCAGAGGAAGCTAGAAACTGGACTGGGTCAGGGATGCTGGCCTGTGTCCAGAAGTCTATTCATTTATTCAACAAATCTACTGAGGGATTATTATGTGCCAGGCACTGATCCATGTGCTCAAAATATATCAGAGAACAAAACAGACAACAATCCTGGTCTCATGGACCCTATATTCTAATGGGGTATATTTGTCAGGGAAGTCTAAGTTATGCTGTATTAATAAGTGCAGAGTATCAGTGGCTTAACAAAACAATGCTTTATTTATTTCTCTTTTACACAAAATCCATTGTGATTCTACAAGGCAATTGTCTTCCATGCAGTGACTCAGGGGCCCAAGAGGTTTCATCTGAGGTTCCTTAGTTGTGATGGCAGAGGAAAGAGAAACCGAAGAACTTCCCATGGGCTTGTAGGTACTGCAGCTTGGAAATGACTCACAATGCTTTCTCTCAGGACTAATCACATGGCCTCGCCTACAACAAAAAAACTAGCAAATGTGAGGAAGCACATGGAATATTTGGTGAGTGTTATTGTTTCTGCCACATGGCAGGAAGCAGTCTATAGGCTAAATAAATAAATCAGTTACATACCATATTAGAAAGGGATGAGTGCCATGGAAAAAGCAGAGGAGGGTAAGGAGGATTGGCTGTGTTGGGGGAAGAAGTGGAGGGTGGAATTTTTAAATCAGGATAGTTGCTGTGGCCTCAATGAGAAGGTGGCATTTTGAGAAAAGCCTTCAAGGAGATGAGAGAGCCAGTTGAATCTCTGAGAGAAGAATGATCTCAACAGAAAGAATAATCTGTGCAAAGGCCCTGAGGCAGGAAGATGTCTTAGAGAGTGAAAGAGGTAGAAAGTGAGGTTGGAAAGGTACGGGGGGAGGGGCAGGGAAGGTGAGGAACAGCATGCAGATTGTGTATGGCCTTAGAAGCCCTTTGTCAAAACTTTGGCTTTTACTTTGAAAGAAAAGGGATGCTGCTGTTGGATTGAGGCAGAGGACATCACGGCCTGTCTGAGGCATTCATGTGATCACCCTGGATGCTCTGTGGCAAATAGGCTGTAGGGCAAAGTGGCTGCAGGGAGAACCAATAGAAGGCCATTACAGTCATCTAAGTGGAAGACAATGCTGGCTTGGACCAGACTAACACTGGTGAGAAGCAGTTGAATTCCGGAAAGTTTTGGAGGTCTGTGCCCTCACGTGGAGTTTCTGGAGCTCCCTTGCTTCATCAGTCATGACTTGTTAGGTCACAACAGCCCAGAGCCCCTGAAATGAAATTATCTCTGAGCCCATGGTGGGCTTGAGGGGAGGGGAGGGGCAGGAAAGGTGTCTTGTGCCAGGTGGATTCTCAGGTACAGCTTCCAGAGCATGGGGACGCTGCCTCAGGAGTGATCACACTCACTTCTCACTAGACCACAATTCTGCAGTCTCTCCACTGTCTTAAATCACGGAAATGCACTCTGAAGAGCAAGGTGGACAGACTGAGGCCTGCAGAGTCCAGGTGACTTAAAAATCCAGAGTCAGAGTCAGAAAAGGAGCCCCGGTGGCCTGTTCCCAGTGGAGAGCTGCTGCTTCCTTCCCTGCCCTTCCCTCCCGTGACCCGCTTTTGTCAAGATTAAGGTACGTGGGAGAGGGGAAGAGGGGCAAAGGAAGCCTTTCCTATTCTCTCATTCCCACCCCACTCCTCTGCACTTGGCACAGGCTTTGGGAGTCTCTGCACTCCAACAGAACTTTCTAGGTCTGGCACTATGAAGGACATGGAATGTATCAGGATGTAGAGCAAAATGGCCCATGCGGTGGTCAGAGATGGAAAGCACAGACTTTAGTATCAGAAGAACTGTTCCAATCCCAGTTTTTTCACACAAATCAGTTATGGTACCTTGTGAGGTTACTTTACCTCAGTGAATTTTCATTTCCTTGTCTGAAAAATGGGGATAATAAGCCTATCACATAGGATTGTTATAATAAACATAATATGTGTAAAATGTCTAGCTCAGAATAGAAGGATGTGACAGATCCTGTAAACTGGTTCATTCAACATCTATTCTCAAACACCGTCTTCTTTGCTTTTCTCTACTAGCAAGGGTCAAAGAGGAAATACCCAAACTCCCAGCTTCCCTGCAGCTGGGGTTGGCCACAAAACCCAGCTATGACCAATGAGACATAAATACCTGTCCTTGACTTTTCCAAATAAAAAGGCAAAGCTTCTGAGCAGCAAGTCCTTGCTCCTCTCTCTGTCTGCCCCCCTCTCTCTTCTTGCCTGGAACTTAACTGCGAGGCTGGAGGTAGAACAGCCATCTTGATGTCATGAGGCAACAAGCACAAGGTTCACAGGCTAAGGCTGATGAAGTGGCAGGAGAGAAAGAGCTAGGGTGCTTGATGACATTGTTGAGCTTCTGTTTTACTCCAGGGCCACCTGGCCAGGAGTTTATTGTTGTGTGAGACAAGTACCTCATTGCTGGTATTCACCTGTGTTTGTTAGGTCTCTGCTATTTGAAACTAACATAATCAATAATAGCTATCAATATGGTCATCATCATCATTATATATGTTCTCCTACAACTTCAACAACCTCTGGCTCACAGGTGTAGATTTTATTATCTAATTGGGGAGCCAATTAAGATTTATTAATCAAACCTTTAAAGTAGCATTTCCCAGGGAGTATTCCAAGAATGTTGGCTCTTACAGATATTAATAGGTCTTCTGAGAAAAAAAAAAAGCTCTATTGTCAAGTTAACAAATGATGATACTTGGCAGAAATCTTTATAACAGCAGTTTTCGAATTGGTATACTATTTGAGGGCTTTCCAAAGGATTTTAAAGAATCAATTACAGATCCTCAACTATGATAAGTATACTTTCCAAAAGTAAATATGTGTGATGACTCCTCCTTATGGTCCTCCTCTCCCTCCTGTTCCCTCATTAGGTCCATTCTCCCACCTCACAGAAGAAAATCACATCTCACTGCTGGCCAGACTTACCCTGGGGCACTGCTCCAAGGTGGAGAAATCTCTGTGCTACAAAGGAACAACCCCAGGCTGGCTACGGTGGCTCATGTCTGTAATCCCAGCACTTTGGGAGGCTGAGGTAGGCAGATCCCTTGAGTCTAGGAGTTCAAGACCAGCCTGGGAACATGGCGAAACCCCATCTCCACAAAAAAATATAAAAATTAACTGGGCATGGTGGTGCGCACCTGTAGTCCCAGCTACTTGAGAGGCTGAGGTGTGAGGATGGCTTGGGCCTGGAAGGCAGAGGTTGCAGTGAGCTGTGTTGGTGCCACTGCACTCCTAATTTCTTTTTTTTGTTTGTTTAGTTTATTATTATTATTATACTTTAAGTTTTAGGGTACATGTGCACAATGTGCAGGTTAGTTTCATATGTATATATGTGCCATGCTGGTGCGCTGCACCCATTAACTCATCATCTAGCATTAGCACTCCTAATTTCTAATGACTGGGAAATAAATCTATGTGCAAGTCATGTGGTGTTCAATTCTTTGCTTTCAACAGAATGGAAGGACGTAACTGAATTGTCAGCTGATAGATCGTTTAAAATATCTTTATGGTAAATGGCTATGTTATCTTCGTCTTATATCTATGAAATAGTTTAAACTTGAGTGTCAATGCTATGAATTCCATTCCTACCTACTTACTTATGTGAACACAGCTTCTCAATGTTTCT
This sequence comes from Homo sapiens, assembly GCF_000001405.40. Taxonomy (NCBI): domain Eukaryota; kingdom Metazoa; phylum Chordata; class Mammalia; order Primates; family Hominidae; genus Homo; species Homo sapiens. The sequence goes on along the minus strand of NC_000001.11, from coordinate 67,623,436 downwards.
ATCTGTAAAAATAACAAATAGAAATAGAATGGATACTACACCCTGTCTCATTCTAGCAATAAATAATTCACTCATGGGATGCAAGAAGCAGTTGAGAAAAAGTGCCACTCAGCTTACCAATAAATGTGATTCTAATAAAAACTTACTTTTTAAGTTTAATAATTATGCATAAAATTTATAATATTCCTCTGTTGTTTTGGTTAATTCTGTGCTAATCATAACTAAATTCAGAAAAAATTTAAAACACTTGCAGCATTTAATTTACATATGTATTTTTTTGTTTTGTTGTAGAGGTAGAAAAGTATAGTAGAATGATAAATAAAAGGTTTTCAAGCATTATTATTTTAGAATGAACTTCTGTGTAGAAGTGAAATGGAGAAAAATGATGAAAATGTATATTAAAGAGCTTGTTTATATAATTTTAACTAGATGATGGATCTCAAATCACTATAGTTGGTGTCAAATTGCTGTGGTATTTAGAATTCTTTGAGAAACGTTTAAGAGCTTTATTTTTATTTATTTTTTTAATTTTTTTGAGACAGAGTCTCACTTTGTCACCCAGGCTGGAGTGCAGTGGTGCGATCTCAGTTCACTGCAACCTTCGCCTCCTGGGTTCAAGCAATTCTCCTGCTTCAGCCTCCCAAGTAGCTGGGATTACAGGCACAGACCACTGTGCCTGATTAATTTTTGTATTCTTAGTGGTTTTGCCATATTTGCCAAGCTGGTCTTGAACTCCTGACCTCAAATGATCCACCCTCTTTGGTCTCCCAAAGTGCTAGGATTACAGGCATGAGCCACCGCGCCTGGCCAAGAGAGTAATATAAGAGCTTTATTTTTAAATGGTACTATTTATAATATGTTCAGAAATTACCTCCTTTGCAACCATCTCAATGTATCATAAAATTTTTAGATATTTAAGTTAAAAGATGGATGAAAGTATACCATTTTCAAATTTTATGGAAGGGTATACGGGCAAAGATTTGGAGATAAGTGCTTTACAGGATCTCTTTTCATGAACAGATAAAAATGTCAAGTAATCAAGAATGATATTGTGGAAATAGTGCTTCTACCAATAATCATTTGTTCTTCTTTAAAAGACTAGTTATAACACTGCCTTGCTTATTACACATGTACCTGGAAAACCTTTACACACAGACCATGCAAAGACAAACCTCTCTCACTTAATCACAAGTAGATGTTTAGAATTCAAAGTTATTAATCTATTAATCAGATTTCACCTAACTGTGTGAATAAGAAGATAATACACGCAGCTATAAAAAACAATGAAATCATATTCTTTGCAGCAACATAGATGCTGCTAGAGGCCATTATCCTAAGCAAATGAATGCAGGGATAGAAAACCAAATACTCCATGTTCTCACTTATAAGTGGGAGCTAAACACTGGGTATTCGTGGACAGAAAGACGGCAACAATAGACACTGGGAACTACTATGGGGGAAGAGAGAGAGAAGGTCAAGGGTTGAAAAACTACCTATTGGGTACTATGCTCACTACCTGGGTGATGGGATCAATCACACCCCAAATCTCAGAATCATGTAATATATCCATGTAACAAACCTGCACATGTACCCCTGATCTAAAATAAAAGTTGAAAATTTTTTAAAAAAAGAAAATACAGTCCATAATAAATAGCTTCAAAGAGAAGTACATTTGAAGAACAAAATACAGAAAAAAAAGAGGATAAGGCTCATAACAAAAAGCAAATTAAATATGTTGCCAGTGAGGCTGAAGAGAAAAAATAGGCAATGGCAAAGGGATGATCGCTACACTTCCCACCCCAGCTGTCTTTTGTAGACCGTATTTTCTATTTTTAAGATACATATGTTGGGGCCCTGCAGTTCTAGAAAGAGATGGAAAAGGCAAAGAATAGCAATCAAGAATAATAAAGAGCTGATTTTGAGAGGCCTGGATACATCTTAAAGCAATATATTTATTACAAGATTTATGTTTCTGTCTAAATGTAACAGGAAGTCAAATGGCAACCCAAGGGATGTTTTAGAAAGAGCCAAACTTTGAGGAGGAAATTATTTAGGGTACATTAGGATGTATTTCAGTTCTTTTGAAGGGATTAGCTTTAGTAAAGGATCTTTGGTGATCAAAATTCCTGCTGAGATTTCTTCCACTATATAAAAGAAGAAATAGAATAAAAGGAAAATAAAATTTGAGGTTAAAATGGCATTACTGGGCTGGACCCAGTTGCTTATGCCTGTAATCTCAGCACTTGGGGAGGCCCAGGCAGGCAGATCACTTGAGGTCAGGATTTTGAGACCAGCCTGGCCAACACGGTGAAACCCCGTCTCTACTAAAAATATAAAAATTAGCTGGGTGTGCTGGTACATGCCTGTAATCTCAGCTACGCTGGAGGCTGAGGCAGGAGAATTGCTTGAGGCAGTCTGGGAGGCAGACATTGCAGTGAGCAGAGATCATGCCACTGCACTCCAGCCTTGGAGACAGAGCAAGACCCCATCTCAAAAAAAAAAAAAAGGTCTTACCCCTATTATAAGATGATCAAATTGTAGCTTGAAATAATTCTAAAAACTAAAGACAATTCTTGGTTATGAACTTAATAATAATGGATGTTTTTAATACTATTATATCAATAACCCCATTATTAACAATATTAATAACTGAGTATTCAGTTTTATACCTAGTTTTCAAGCTTCATTTAAGCAGGAAATCCTAAAATCTCTGGTAGAGGTGTCAAAATGGTCTAAAGGCAGAGGGATGTGGAGAAGACATGAATGATTCACAGTAGAGATTTTTCAAGTGTGAAAATTAAGGAGCCAAGTGAATATAGCAGGAAAGTGGATTTTTTAGTTCACTCAAGAAAGAACAGATTGCTTGCTTTTTTTCTTTTTTCTTTCTTTTTTTTTTTTTTTTTTGAGACAGAGTCTTGCTCTGACGCCCAGGCTGGATTGCAATGGCATGATCCCAGCTCACTGCAACCTCTGCCTCCCAGGTTCAAGCAATTCTCCAACCTCAGCCTCCCAAGTAGCTGGGATTACAGGTGAGCACCACCACGTCTGGCTAATTTTTGTATTTTAGTAGTGACGGAGTCTCACCATGTTGCCCAAGCTGGTCTCAAACTCCTGACCTCAAATGATCCACCTGCCTCGGCCTCCCAAAGTTCTGGGATTACAGGCGTGAGCCACTGCGCCTGGCCAAGGCTTGTTTTTAATAAAACAAAACAATTATCTCAATTGTGGTCCATTCCAACATCATATATTAAGTGGTGGTACTGTGGGATCAAGTGTAAGGCTCTTCTTCATTAAACTTGCCCCTCCTTCTGCATCTGTGAGTCCACAACCTGCACAACTGCACATGGCAGCCTTAATCCACTATCACCCATTCGCCTAAACTAGAAACCTGAGACTCGTCGTTGATTTCCTCTCATATTTTTCTTATCCGCTTCTCTCACTCCTGACTGCTTCTGCCTAGTTCCCAAGCTGCTCCTGGGAGTGTTTGTCTCCTAGCAAAGAGCTCAATGAACATGTATAGAATAAATGACTTGATTTGATATGAGCTATGATTAACTCTTTTCTCCAGGAGTGCTCTGCCAAGAATGAGACGATGGACACAAAAACCCCTTGTTCTCTAGACTGTTCAGGTGTCATCTCCTCCAAGAAGCCCTTTGGATTCTCTCCCTCCAATCAGACTGGGGTATGTGACCCTCCTCTGATTTTCCAAAGCAACCTGTGCTTATCTTTACCAAAAACACAATTCTGTCTCATAACAATCAATTTGCTTACCTGCATGCCCCACTAGATAGGAACTTTTACACCTGGATCCTCAGCACCTCACATAGTATCTGGTACAAAGTGCAAAGACAATGAGTGTTATTGAATGAGTGGATGAATGATATAAAGAACAAGTGCAGTAAGAGATACACACAAAGTAGTCCTAAGGGGAGACAGATGAAGGAGAAGCTAAATCTGCTGTTGGGTTGAGTAACAGTGCCATTTGAACTGGTCTTGAAGGATGAGTTGCAGTTCTCCTAGTGATCAAGGCAAGGAAGGGTATTCCAAGCAAAAGGAATAGCATGAACAAAAAAGCGTGTATGCAAGAAAGCACATGCAGTATTTAAGACCATGGGAGCCTGGCAAAGCTCAAGAACAGCTTTCAGTGGGAGGAAAGGAGGCAGATGTGGCTAGAAAGATTGTTTTAAACAAGTTATGAAAGACCTGGAAGGGATACCAAGGGGTTTGAAGATTATAAGATAGAAAGCCACTGCAGTTTTAAGGCAGAGTAATAACACGATCAGCTCTCTAAAAGAAAAAATAATATTTTCTTTCCTTTTCAGTGACTAAAAGTCATAGATCTAACTTCCTCCATTTTTAGATTTCTTGATACTTCATGAAAATAAAAAGTAAAGGCCAGCTGAAGCAATTATTCCCCTGACTGGTCTGAACGAGGGATTTTTCTTTTTTCTTTTTCTTGTTTTCTGGCCAGTCACTTGGTGAAGTGAGTGCATCATACAGCTGGGAAAACACGAGCTTCTCGAGTTTGTTTGGCTTCTGAGCGATGTGGGTGAGCGCAAGTCTGGGCAGTGTGTCAGCTCCTTCCTGAAAGTCTGGGTCAAGGAAGTCCACAACACAACCTTGTTTACTTGATTTTGCTTTCAGCATCGAGAACGCTGGTTCTGATTACTGCAAAGGTGTATGTGGTTGCTGTTGGCTCACAACCCTGTAATTCCTTTGAAAAGATGATCTGATTGGGATAACTGTGACTTTAATACTTCAGTTCCTTTGGAAACATCCAGATGAAAAGTGATGCATTATTTTCCTAGTGGCTTTTGTTCCTGGCTAACTGTAATAGTTTGTCGGATCACTGGGAGTAATTCTGTGGAGCTGAGTTTGCTGGGCTGGCAGATTTGGAGGGGTAGACAAAGAATGACCAGTCTGAAGCAACCCTTCTAGCCCAGACACGTGAATTTACAACAAATGTTTACTGAGTGCTTGCTTTGTGCCAAGCACTGAGTCAGGCGCCGGGCAACCAAGATGAACAAGACAGTTTCTACTAGAGTCTGCTAACTAGACTGAAAACTCATCAAAGATAAATGCCGACTCTTAATTCTGTTTACGTCCCCTAAATCGTCTAGGGCAGTATCTAGCTTAAGGCAGAGTCCCCAATAAATACCAAATGTTTAAACAGGCATATTTCGATTTTGCACAGTAAATATTTTCTAAGTGCCTATTAGGGGTTGACGTTGTGTTAGGTAGTAGAGACACTAGAGACTACTAAAATAGAGCTCATACCCTCAAGCTGCTTACGGTCTGGTGGGGAAGACAGACATTAAAACATTAATCGCCTGTAATCCCAGCACTTCGGGAGGCAGAGGTGGGCGGATCGCTTGAACCCAGGTATTGGCAAAACCCTGTCTCTACAAAAAAATATCAAAAAATCAAAAATTACACAGAGTGGTGCGTACCTATAGTCCCAGCTACTCAAGAGGTCAAGGCAGGAGGATTGCTTGAGCCCACGAGGTCAAGGCTGCAGTGAACCATGTTCACACCACTGCACTCCAGCCTGGGCAACAAAGTGAGACCCTATCTCAAAACAAAAAACAAAAAACAAAACCACAAAATTATTCAACTTGTACAAATCTGAGCCCCCTAGGAGCCCCTGAGCCCCTAAGAAATACCTTGTCACCTAGTTCCTGCTCTGGAGCCCCCAGATCTCCCTACTAAATGGATAATAACTGGCGTAGAAGAGAGACCCCAGGATGCTTCTCCAGCAAGCACTATGTCCATTCTGATTGGCCAATGCATTTGCCTTTTTGGTTGATAATATTTTAGTATCATTCCTGCAGGGGATAATAGCAGCACAAGACACTCATGTATGGGGGACAGAGGAAGAAATAACTTCATCATATGAGAGGGATGCCCAATTCCATTTGGAAGGGGAGTATGCAGCCTCCAGCAAAACCCAACACAGCAGGTGATATTTTGTTTCTAGGAGTCTGCTCAAAACCCCTGCTCCCACAAGCATGAGCAGCAGCACAGACCCCAGCTTCAAGGAATTGTGTGCACCACAGGCAAGGGGGCGCCTGAGAATTTATTTCATATTAATAATTGTGGATTTTAGGCTGGGCCTGGTGGCTCACGTCTGTAATCCCATCCCAGCACTTTGGGAGGCTGGGGCGGGCTGATCATTTGAGGTCAGGAGTTCAAGACCAGCCTGGCCAACATGGTGAAACCCTGTCTCTACTAAAAATACAAAAATCAGCTGGGTGTGGTGGCACGTGCCTGTAATCCAAGCTACTCAGGAGGCTGAGGCAGAAGAATCACTTGAACCCACGAGGCAGAGGTTGCAGTAAGCTGAGATCGCACCACTGTACTCCAGCCTGGGTGACAGAATGAGATCCTGTTCCAAAAAATAAATAAGTAAGTAAGTAAGTAAGTAAGTAAATAAATAAATAAATAAATAAGGATTTTAGATACAGAAAATCATTTTGAAGTGATATTGTAAAATATTTTAAGTTTAAAGGTTAATTTTTAAAATTTCTCCTATTCTAGGCCAATCATACCCACAAGCATAGTATTGTAGTCATCTTCATTCAAATAACCTCATTATCTACTGAGTCATTAGATGCACTTGTAAGCAGTAATGATCCAGAGAACCTTCTGAGAGCTAGTTTAAAAATCTTTAGAGCTAATCCTTCCCTCAGGGGAGAGAGGAATGCTTTTGTTTCCTCTTCATGCCTTGCCAAGCTGAGGTTTAGAGTCTAGAAATATTATTGGAGCCTTCAATATTCTGAAAAATTGCAAGAAAGGGAAGGAGGGAGAGAAAGAAAGGAAGGAAGGAGGGAAAGAAGGAGGGAGAGAGGGAGAGAAAGAGAGAGAAAGGGAGAAAGGAAGGAAAAAAACAATCAACCAGGTCAGGCTCAGTGGCTCCCGCCTGGAATCCTAGCACTTTGGCAGGCTGAGCAGTGAGGATCACTTGAGGCCGGGAGTTTGAGACCAGCCTAAGCAACATGGCAAAACCCTGTCTCTACAAAAAATACACACACAAAAAAATTAGCAGGGTGTGGTGGTACTCACCTGTAGTCCTAGCTACTTGAGGGGCTGAGGTGGTAGGATTGCTTGAGCCCAGGAGGTCAAGGCTGCAGTGAGCGGAGATCACGCCATTGACTGCAGCCTGGGTGACAAAGTGAAACCCTGTCTCAAAACAAACAAACAAACAAACAAACAAACAACAACAACAACAACAACAAAACATACAATTCTTCCCAAACTTCTCCTCAGATTTTCAAAATATTGACTCATGAGACCCTGAAGCTGAAAGGGTCAATTTCCCAGTTGTAAAACCATCAAACAACTTGTCTAAGCTGGTTTCTCAATAGGAACCACAATTATTCCATGGAAATATGTCAACTGTTCCTGGCTCAAATTTTATGAGCAAAACAATGAAACAAATTACACTTGTCAGTGTTTTATAGGTAATTGAAACTGGTTTCTTAAAATTCAGGTGTTGGACTATTGAGAACACGCCAGTTCCTTCATTAACTCTTGTTTTTACCTCCTTTCACTCAAGGCAGGATTTCATAATACTGATATTTAAAAATAAATTAGTGGGTCAGGCATGCTGGCCCATGCCTGTAATCCTAGCACTTTGGGGGGCTAAGGTGGGCTGATCACTTGACCTCAGGAGTTCAAGACCAGCCTGTGCAACATGGCAAAACCCCATCTGTACAAAAAAGACAAAAAAAAAAATAAGCCAGGCATGGTGGTGGGCGCCTGTAGTCCCAGCTACTTGGGGTCTGAGGTGGGAGGATCCCTTGAGGCCAGGAGGCGGAGGCTGCAGTGAGCCGAGATCACACCACTGGACTCCAGCCTGAGTGACAAAGTGAGACCTCATCTCAAAGTAAATAAATAAATAGAAATAAATTGCTGGCATGAGACTAGGTTAGTTTCTAGTTACTTCTCCAGCCTTATCTTCCTTTACCTCTTTTACACAAAAATGATAGTGCTCCATCCCCAAGCAGATTCTGTACCGTTTCCCCTCCAGGCATTAGTCACTCTGTCCCCTCTCCATAGAATGACCCCTCCCTCAATTTTCTCTGAAAATATTTGTTTTCTCCAGGATGTCTCTCCTCATCTCCCTTCCTCCTCTGGATAAGGGGCTCTTCCTTTGTGCTCCTATTTCACACTCAGCACCTCTCTATCACTGGATTGACCACCTTCTATCATAAGCACCATGTTTGTATATATATTGCTGTCTTCCCCTCTCCCAAGACACAGTGACAAAATGAAGCATCATTCATTTTTCACATTTTAATGGCCTCGCATACTACCTGAAAACAGTAGGTACTTGTATCAGTCATCTATTGCTGCATAACAAATTACCCCAAAACTTAGCATTTGAAAATCACAATATTTATTATCTCACAGTTTCTCTGAGTCAGAAATTCAGGTACAGGTGCAGCTTAGTTGGGTGATTAGGGTGCAGATCTCTCACAAAGCTGTAATCAAGGTGTCTGTCAGGCTACAGTCACCTCAAGGGTCAACTGCAGGGGGATCTGTTTCCCAGCTCACTTGGGTGGCTGTTGGCAGTCCTCAGAAAATCGACTTTCCAGCTCAATCACATGGTGCTGGCAGACGTTAGGATCCTTGCTGACTGTTGACTGAAGATATTATTTCCTTGCCGCAGAAGTTTCTCCATAATATTTCTCAAAACACAGCAGCTGGATTTCCCCAGAGTGAAGTCTGAGAAAGAGTGAGGTGGAAGTCCCAGTCCTCTTGTAACCTAATCTCAAAAGTGACATTTTGTCACTTTTGTTGTATTCTATTTGCTAGAAGTGAGTCATTAGGTCCAGCACACATTCAAGGAAAGGAGATTGCACAAGGATGTGAATTCTGGGAGGTGGAGATGACTGGGGGCCATCTTCAGGCTGCTGACCACAGTGCTCAATAAATCTGTAAACAAATGGACAAATCTCTCCAGACAGAAATGAGCCCTTCCTTCCCTGAAGATCCATAGCATTTGAATTATTAGAGAATGCAGCACAATGTGACTTTAGCTGAGCATGTGTTCATATACATTGCTGGATTATAAGCAACTGAGTAAAAACGGTGTCAAAAATATGACTGGCACTCAGTAATTCCTTGAGTAGGTGAATAAGTGAAAGAAAGGGTGGCAGAGACCAGGACATGTCCATTAATATCTGTTCTTTAGTGATAGAATTTTTTTATTTTTAGCTAGGCACATAGGCATGCCACTGGAGACTACATTTCCCGATATCCCTTGCAACTGGAGGTGGCTATGCTACCAGTATTGGGCTAATGGGATGTGAGAACCTTGGGCAAACACTTTTGTTTCCCCCTTTCCTTTAACTGGAATACAGAGGTTTGAGTGAGACCCTGAGCAGGGAAATATACAATGAGAGTGGCAGGACCACCCTATCAGACTAATGACTACCAGACAACCTCTGGGCTAGTCCATGAAGCAGAACTAAACTTTCTTTCTTTCTTTCTTTTTTTTTTTTTTTTGATGGAGTCTCACTCTGTCTCCCAGGTTGGAGTGCAGTGGTGTAATCTCGGCTCACTGCAACCTCTGCCTCCTGGGTTCAAGCGATTCTCCTGCCTCAGTCTCCCAAGTAGCTGGGACTACAGGCGCACGCCACCAAGCCCAGCTATTTTTTTTCAATTTTTAGCAGAGACAGGGTTTCACCATGTTGACCAGGCTGGTCTCGAACTCTTGAACTCAAATGATCTGCCCGCCCTGGCCTCCCAAAGTTCTGGGATTATAGGCATGAGCCACCATGCCTGGCCAGAACTAAACTTTTATCCTATAAAAGCTACTGTTCGCTAGAGTCCCGTTGTTATGCCAGCACAGAGTATTCCTGTCAAATACAGAATTTTAAAAGCAAATAAGAAAGCTCCCACCATCCCTTCCTCTCCTTCATAACTAGCCCATGCTTTAAACACACCCAAAATACTTGTTAGATGTAATTGTGTCTATAGGACCATTGGGTTGTGTCGGTGGATGAGAAGGAGTATTTAAGTCATCTTTCCCCTTTGTTAGGCAAGTGGAGGCTTCTTTCAGTCAGCACTTGCAAGATTCAGCGACTCTGGGGCTCCTCAGAGAAGTGGCCTACAGCAGCATGAAGTGGCCTTAACTTTCAAAGGTTGTGGCAGAAAGCCACCAAGGAGAGGCACACATCAGAGTGGATTGTTCTCAAGGAAAATCTGTCCAGGCTGAGGTTTCCTTGCAGGATTTGATTTGTTTTCCAAAAAAGGAGAAGAGTTCTCAGCACAAGCCCTGCAAAGCGCCAGGCCAGCAGCTCCTCCAGACCCCTACAGCTGTCAAGGGCCAGTGTTCCACTGTGCAGAGGCGGCCACTGTCATTCTGGCTCCCCACTCGTCTGCTCTCAGGGCACTGGTCACGCTGCAATCCTGGAGGAGCAGGGTTTCTGCCTTAATCTGAAACTGGAGAGGATCCAGGACCTAAAACTGGATGGTTTTGTGCTGTTTGTATTTTTTTACAGTCTATGGATGGAAGGCTCCACCAACACCATCTTCAAATGCCAAAATAAAATGCTCATCCAGCCAAATCATCTCTGCTGAGGCTAGCACAAGGAGATGACAAAACCTTGTTAAAATACAGGAAGGAGATAGGAAGGAAGTGGAATAAGGGTTTCTTGTCTGGACTGAAAAAAATCTGTTAATAGGGTAGATATATGCCAAGTATAGAGTCATTTGAAGATATTTTTTTCATGGGCAGGCAAATTTGAGAAACCAGAAGAGAAAGAAGGGGTAAAGAACTCCAGGTTAAAGTCTACAGACTTTAAAGACTACAGACATAAAAATGATGAGTTCATGTCCTTTGTAGGGACATGGATGAAATTGGAAATCATCATTCTCAGTAAACTATCGCAAGAACAAAAAACCAAACACCGCATATTCTCACTCATAGGTGGGAATTGAACAATGAGATCACATGGACACAGGAAGGGGAATATCACACTCTGGGGACTGTGGTGGGGTGGGGGGAGGGGGGAGGGATAGCATTGGGAGATATACCTAATGCTAGATGACGAGTTAGTGGGTGCAGCGCACCAGCATGGCACATGTATACATATGTAACTAACCTGCACAATGCGTACATGTACCCTAAAACTTAAAGTATAATAAAAAAAAAAAAAGACTACAGAATACAGTCTACAGGGGAAGTTTTAAAGCACCTGCTGTTATGGGACCTTCTAGAAGTATCCAAGGCACTTAAGAAGTCAGCTATGTCCATTCCCAGCAACGATTCTGAGTGTGCAAAGACTTTGGTGTTTTAATGCTATTGATGGTAGAGGAGGGAGCCAGTAAATCTGACTTGAAGGATGATTCAGATTTAATAGATGGCCATTGGCAGACGGTAGAGAGCATTTCAGGCAGGGAGCAGCATAAGCTACATTCCTGGGGTCCGAGAGTACAAGGGGTGTTTCTGGAACTCCCAATGACCCAGAAAGGAAGAATCACAGGGTACTTGGGTGAGGTCTTTGATGAAAGGGTGGAGATGATTTCAATTAAAAATAGTGCAAAGGACATGGGAAGAACTAAAGAAGGGTTAATGGAGCAGAGAGAAAAGAGACATTCTATTCTGTAGAATCCAGCTGCACAGCAGCATAGTGGTTAGCCGTGCGGCTCACGACTCCGTGGCTTAAGCCACAGCCTCTGGAGTCACCCACTGTATTAGTATCCTCGGCTGCTGTAACAAAGTACCACAGATTGGTGGCTTAAATTTATTTAAGCCATTCAGAAATTTATTGTCATGGTAACCATCCCTTCCTCAACTTCATAACTAGCCCGTGCTTTAAACACATCCAAAATATTTGTTAGCTGTAATTGTGCCTACAGGACCATTGGCTTGTGTCAGTGGTTGAGAAGGAGTATTTAAGTCATCTTTTCCCTTTGTGGGATTGTCACCCACTATATTAGTATCCTAGGCTGCCGTAACAAAGTTCCACAGATTGGTGGCTTAAATTTATTTAAGCTCTCCAGAAGTTTATTGTCTCACAGTTCTGGAGGCCAGAAATCTGAGATCAGAGTGTCGACAGGGTCCGTTCCTTCCGAGGCTATGAGGGAGAATCTGTCCCGTGCCTCTCTCCGAGCTTCTCGTGGTTTGCTGGCAATCTTTGGCTTGTAGATGCATCACCCTGATCTCTGCCTTCGTCTTCATATGGCATTCTCCCTGAGTGCATGTCTGTCTCTATCTTCAAATTCCCCCCTTTTATAAGAATGCAGTCATATTGCATTAGGCCCACCCTAACAAACATATCTTATGATATGCAAAGACCGCTTTTCCATGTTAGGTCGTACTCACGGGTACCAGGTTTAGGACTTTCATATCTTTTTGGGGGACACAATTCAACCCAAACAGCCACGTGGTATTGCACAAAGTGCTTAGTCTTTTAGCCCCAAGGACCTGTCTAAAACAGGATGAAGGTTATCCCTGGTGCAAGGACTGGCATAAAGTCAGTGCCTAACACACATCAGTGGTACTACTGTGCGTACAGACGACCGTCTATAGAAGCCAAGCCCTGGCATAACTTCTAATTCAGGAACGTAGACAGAGGGACCGCTGACAGGTCCCCAGTTTACTGCTTTTCCCCACCCCCAACCCCAGTGCCTAAAGTCTTAGGGGCTTGGTAAATATTTTCTGTAGTTTATGACTCTGTAACTTGACCTAATTTTTACTTGAAGCCACTATACTCCCAGGGTAACAGAAACTGAAATGTCATCAATTTGAGGTTTCTGTCACCTCTTTCCTGGGATTGTGGCTAAATCTCAGTGAGTCATGTCATGCCAGGACTCGGGGCAGAGGCACGGGAGCTGGTTCTTAGTTCACTGGTCCACCTAGGCTTCTGATGAGACTCCCAGTATCCCGCTGGTCCTAAGGCAGCAGTGCCCACAGGCATTGTTCCTGTCCCAACAGCCCCTGAGGTCTGGCAGGGCCGTCTATCATCTCTATGCCTCACAAGGGCAGAGGATCCTTCTGCTCCCTCCATGCCAGGCTGGAGCAAGGGACTCCTCTGGGTCTGCAGCCACTCCCTCATGGGGTCTTCCTGCTTTCCCCCAGGGTTCTTCCCAGGAAAGAGGTAGAGCACTCCTGCCCCGGGGTTCCCAAAGCTTTCTGGGGGACCTGCAGTGCCTGGGGACTCCCCGTGTTAGACTGGCCCAAGCTACCCTCATTAACTTCGCCCTCTACCTCCTCAAACCCAGCTAGATGGGGGTAATCTTTTGTCTCTCTTTACGGTTTTTCCCCAGACATTTTGGAGATACCCTAATCCTCTTTGTTCCATTGAGCAAAGTTTTAGAAAGCAAAACAGAAAGACGGAGGGGGCGGGCACTATTTGTGCCTTCTTTCCTGACACCCCCTCCACTGAAGTGTGGACTCAGACCAGCATATTGCATTACGAGGAAAACACCAGGGGAAATAAGTTAACATTTAAAAAATATTACCTCAGCTTGTTTTGGTGCATAAATAAATAAATAAATGATAGTGGCCCAAGGCACTTGGGGACGGATCCTGAGCCAGCTTCATGAAAATCCTCGCTTCTGAGGTCCCACCTTCCAGTGGGAGGGCCCAGAGCCCCCACACCTTTTCCACCCAGAAGTCAGAGCTCAGGCTGTGGTTTCTATGGTGTCCAAGTGGCCACCTGCCCCAAGTGGAATCACTAATTTCTTCTGCTGGGCTCCCAAGCGTGGCTGCAGTGCTAATGAGCATCTACCCATGCTGCCTGGTATTATTACAGTTAATATTCTACAGAATATTCTACCAGCTCTTCCCCCAACCTATGCAGCTAAGGGAAAGCCCTGTCACTTACTACCTGGGTGATTTTTCTTTCCTCTCATTTTCCTCATAGGTAAAATGAGGATAAGGACCCCCACCTGCTGGGTTGCTGCAAGGGTTAGGTAACACAGCCTCAATAAAGCCCCAAGCCATGGCCCAACAGGTGGTGGGTGTTGTGAATAGAATAGCTGGGGCTGGGGCCTGCTTGGGTAGACTCTCCTTGGCCTCACTTGCACAGGCCAGGGGGTGGGCCATCATGCTAACGAGGCTGCTGCAGCAGAAGGGCCTCAGCCTGTGGACTTCACCCAACAGAAGGGCGATCACTAAAACCCACTCATGCCTTAAACCAGCCCAGGTTAAGGTCACAGTGACCCATTCAATAACTAAGCTCTCATGGAACGTCAGCTATGAGCCAGGTGTTTTCATGCATCTGACATAGGGCTACATGGGGTGCTGGGGGAGGCAGATACGGACAGAGGAACAGGATAATAATGTAAAGAGCTAAAAACAACTGGGCTCAATGTGTTATGGGATCGCAGAAGAACACTGCTTGTTTACTTGTGGTCATTCATTTAATCATACCACCTTCATATCCACCTGTTTTTCCAGAAAGGAAGTAAGGAGGCCTGGGAGAAATAAGGAATTCTACCCTATCAGTCATCTGGGAGTCTGGCCCTAAAGGCTGTCACTAAGCATATCAGGAGGACAGAGATTGTCCAGGCTCAGGGGACAGCAGGGACAAGAGCATGGATGTGTGGACACACCAGCCTGAGATGCTGCTTTTCCCAGGCAGGAAGCGAGTGCTGGTCGCCAGATGTCCCCGGGTCTTACTCCCTCACCGCACCTCTTTCAGTTTCCTGTTCAGATGTCCCTTTCTCAGCAAGGCCTTCCGCAATCACCAGTGGTACGCCAGGGCTGGCTAGTCCCAGTTCACAAGAGCTGATGGTTAAATTTCCAGGAAATTTGCCAGCTGGTTAGTAAACACAGACATTAGCGAAAACTAAATTATGTGAATTTATAACTAAATAAATTGTATTAGCAGCCCAGATTTTTCAAATACTCGAAACTCATCACCGTCTAATTATTTTACATTTTACTATTACCTATACTTGAGGTTATTTAAATCTATTGCATCCATATGGTAGGTATACTACACAATACTGTGCTAATGTGCACTCCCAATTTCCCGTTTAATGATGTTGAATTCATAGTTTTAAATAAGCCAGGCATTGTGATGTGTACTTAGAGTCCCAGCCGAGGTAGAGGCTGATGTGGGAGGATCACTTGAACATAGGAGTTCAAGGCTGCTGTGAGCTATGATTGCACCACTGCACCCCAGCCTATGCAACAGAGCAAGACCCTGTCTCTAAATAAATAAATAAAATTTATAGCTTTGATCTTCCATGGCAAGGATATTTCCACCATTGAAACTGGCCATTTCTACAAATCAGGGCTTCTTCCCCCAGAGAGCCAGTTGTTAAGCATTTACCAGCACACCACTGCTAGCCATCTTATTCAGAATTGTAATCACCCTGCCACCTCCAGTCTCAGCTACTCTCATTTATTTTTTTCATAAACATATTGCTTTCTAACAGGTTACACGATTTATTTCGCATTCTTATTTCCTGTCTCACCACATCAGAAAGCAAGTTACACGAAGGCAGCGATGTTTTTCTACTGTGTCCTTCATGGGTTCCCAGTGCCCAGAAGAGTACCTGGCACCTAGCTGTGCTCAGCAAATCTTTATTGAATGAATGTTGTCGAACGCTGGGACTCTCTGTGGGTATGACTGGTGGGGGTAGGGGTTAGGGCTCCTCCCATCACCTTGCCCTTGCCCACTGGGGCCTTTCCTGACTCCAGGCTGATGCCTGCCTCCCTCCCTGCCATCTCCTGGATGCCTACATACTCAGGGAAGTCTCATGTAAATGTGTTCCTCAGGACCCCAAGTCTGTAGGATTTCTCTTTACTGTGCCAGCTCTAGCCTGAGACCAAAAAGTACTCACTTAATGTTACTGAGAATATAGCCTTGTTGGCCTTTAAGACAGTGGTTCCCAACTGGCACCCAACCAGCACCCAGGAACTCGTTAGAAATGCAAGTTCTCAGGCCCCACCCCAGACACACTGAGCCAGAAATTCTGGGGATGAGGCCCAGCAATTTGTGTTTCTCAGACTCCAATGCAGGAGACTCCAATGTACGCTGATTTGAGAACCACTGACTTAAGCCTTAGAGTCATTCTGAGCCGGTGGTTCTCAATGTGGACAATTTTGTCCCCAAGGGAACATTTGGCAGTGTCGAGATATTTTTGGTTGTCATAGCTGGGGGGCAGGTGCCACTGGCATCTAGTAGGTAGAGGCGTGGATGCTGCTAACCCCCCTACAATGCGCAGGGCAACTCCTACAACAGAATTATCTGGCCCAAATGTCAATAGTGCATAGGCTGAGACCCTGCCTTAAAGTATTCTCACTTTCCTACATCCATCCAGCTCTGCTTTCTTGTCTTTTCTGTAATAACCCACCTGCCCACCTCTGACGGTCAACTGTGAGGAAGACAAATGAGACTGGTGACCTGCCTCATGGATATTTTCATGAGGAACAGGGACAATTAAGCTGACCTTCACAATCCAGTGTGTTAAGTGTTATGATTGGGAAAATAGCAAGCTGATGCCCCCAACCCAAGCTTGAAACTTCAGGGAGGGCTTCCTAGGAAAAGGGGCCTCTGTGCTCAGCCTTCGAGGCAGAGTTAGATTTAATCAGGGCTGGAGTGGGTGGGAGATAGCTTTCCTTATGCAGCACTTACTGTGTTTCAGTCACTGTACTCAGTGTTTCAGCAATACTGTCTCAACACCTTCCAAGATAGACCCTATTGTTAGCACCATTTTATGGATGGAGACACTATAGCCCGAAGATATTAAATAGCTTGCCTAAAGCCAGACATCTAGGAAACGTTGAAGCAGAAACTTGAATCTGGTCTGTAGACTCCAAAGCCTAAAAGGAGGTGGCTGCAGTTTACAGAGGGCAAAGAGAGTGGACTGGGATTTTTTTTAAATACAGTTAACCCTTGTGTTATGGGTTAAATTGGGTCCACTCCCTTACCCTAAATTCATATGTTGACATCCCAATCTCCAGGACCATAGAATGTAACCATATTTGGAGAAAGATCGTCAAAGAGATGGTTTAGTTAAATAAGGCCTTCAGGGTGGGATCTAACCCAGTATGACCGGTGTTCTTATAAGAGGAAGAGGCTGAGCATGGTGGCTCATACCTGAAATCCCAGCACTTTGGGAGGTTGAGGTGGGAAGATCACTTGAGGCCAGGAGTTTAAGACCAGCCTGGGCAACATAGTGAGACCCTGTATCAACAACAACAACAAAAAGTAGCCAGGTGTGGCAGCACATGCCTGTAGTCCTAGCTGCTCAGGGGGATCTCCAGTTTGTGCAACACAGGGAGACACTGTGTCAAAAACAACATTAAGAAAGAGACACCAGGGATGCGCATGCACAGAAAAAGGCCATGCGAGGACTCAGGAAGAAGGCAGCCATCTGCAAGGAGGCCTCAGGAGAAACCAATTTTCCCAACACCTTGATCTTGGACCCCCAGCCTCCAGAACTGCAAGAAAATGAATTTCTGTTGTTTAAGCCACCCAGTCTGTAGCACTTTGTGATGACAAATGTAGCAAATTAATATAACTTGCTTCCTCTTTGGGGACACTGCTTTGATGGTAGGAAAATTCAGGGGATGTTTTGTTCTGTTTTCTCTGCCGTAGAATAAAAAAGACAGATCTGGGGTTTTGCCCTCCTCTCTCTACATACATCTCAAGAGGATTGCTGGGCCCCTCCAGTTTCCTCTGCCTCAGGGGCATGTGCTGAACCAAAGCTGCTGAGAGACAATTTCTCTTCCTGGCTTTTGTAAGAGCCAAAATTCATTAAGAAGACAGTGCAGTGTGTCCTGGAGTGGGGGAGAGAGACTTAAGTGGCAGAGGCAGATTCTCTGAGGCACAGAGGTGATAGTGATCTGAGGGGCCACCAGGGCACTGAAGCGTCCTTTCCTGGCAGTGCCACATAGAGTGGCCATTGCACACCTAGCATGGCTGACTACACTCACCTTCTCATGCAATAGAGCACTGGGACCTCAAAGCATACATGATGCACATTTTAGCTACTGCCAGCGGGGATCCACGCCTGCAGCGACCACTAAGAAGTTTTTCTCTGCTTATGGGCCCTAGAACTGATACTGCTTCTAGAGATGCAGTTAGCATCAATGACAGCTGAGACCGAATCTCCCATCAGCCCAGAGAGATAGAGGGCTTATGTTGGATTGAGCTGATCTTAAAGCTAAAAAGAAAGCAATGCGATATTTTTGCACGCCCAAATGTGTGCATTAAGAGTCAAATTGACCAGGCTTGATTTTTAGAATTGGGCTACCAAAACACAGGGCAGAAGCCAATTCAAAACAAAGCTGAAAACATGTTTTTCAGCAAGAGAAACAATGAGCCAGGAGAGAAGGAGGAATAAACTATCCAGTGTTTTTCTTTTGGCTCTGCTGCTGTCTCCTGGCTCTGTGTTGTCTCTGTCTAGGACTAATTAAGCTTGTCATCCGTATCAGAGGGATGGGGCGAAGATTAACAAGTTAAGTGGAGAAAGGATCTTGAAGCTCCTTAGATGAAAGGGGATCTAATTAGCAAGGCCAGCAATGACCGCAGGCAGGCAGGCAGGCGGGCAGACAGACAGACAGGCAGGCAAGGGCAGACTCTGCCCCTTGCACTTACCAAAGAGCTAGTTAGAGCTCCCGGAATGGGCTTCTGCAAATTCCACTCAAGCCTTCAGCACCAAGAGAGGAATCTTCCACATTTTCTTCCAGCCCTAGAATTCTGAGATTCTTTATGAGTGGAGGAAAAAAAAAAATGTGTGCACCTCTCTAAACTGATTGAGAGGAGAAAAAGGTACAATGCTCATTCCTTTTTCCTCAGCACAGGCTGATCTGCATGAATAGGGGTTAATGATACACAAGGAAGCAAGCAGAGTTGAGAAGTCCAGCAAGTTCGGTGATGGCATGAAAGAGACATAGGTTCTAATGCTGACTCTGCCACTTGCTGGTTATGCGAACTGAGGCCAAACACTTAATAATATCCTCGAAACTCAAGTTCTTTATTAGCGCTTGTGGGGATAATACTTCCTACCTCATGGAGTTGTACGGCTTAGATTTGTTTGTGCTGAACACACGGTACCCAAATAAGTGGATGCTTTTATAATGTCAGTCAATAATGGTACTGCTTGGTATATAATAGGTGTGAGAAATATTGGTTGGCTGAGACCCTTCATTCAGCAATTATTTATTGTATTATTTATTATGCCCATATTATTATATATACCCTGTGTGTAAAATGTTGAGCCACGCAGACACAATTCTGCCCTCACAGAGCTGATGTGTATTCAGACGATAATCTCCATAAACCCTCAAATCCTCCCCTCAATGCCTTGTTTGTACTCTTAAAAGGCATCACTTGAGCACTTTTTTAGTATTTTAATTTTTTATTTATTTTTATTTCGATAGTTTTAGGGGTGCAAGTGGTTTTTGGTTACATGGAGGAATTGTAAAGTGGTGAAGTCTTGGTTTCAGTATACCTGTCACCTAAAGAGTGTATATTGTACCAAATAGGTGATTTTTTTTAAATCTCTCACCCCCCCACCACCCTCCCCATTTCTGAGTCTCCAATGTCCATCATAACGCTCTGTATGCCTTTGCATACCCATGCCTTAGCTCCTACTTATAAATGAGAACATGCGGTACTTGGTTTTCCCTTCCTGAGTTATTTTGGTTAGGATAATGGCCTTCGGTTCCATCCAAGCCGCTGCAAAAGACATTATTTCATTCTTTTTATGGCTGAGTAGTATCCCATGGTAGATATACCAGATTTTCTTTATCCATTGGTTTATAGGCACTTAGATTGATCCTATATCTTTGCAATTGTGAATTGTGCTGTAATAAACATACCAGTGCAGGTGTCATTTTTATACAATGACTTCTTTTCGTTTGGGTAGATACCCAGTAATGGGATTGCTGAAACAAATGGTAGATCTACTTTTAGTTCTTTGAAAAATCTCTATACTTTTTTCCATAGAGATTGTATACATTTACATTCCCACCAACAGTGTATAAGCATTCTCTTTACACCACATCCTCACCATCTATTTTTTTTTTAATTTTTGATAATGGCCATTCTAAATGGGGTAAAGTGGTATCTCATGGTGATTTTAATTTGCATTTCCCTGATAATTAGTGATGTTGGCCATTTGTATATCTTCTTTTGAAAAATATCTGTTCATGTTGTTTGCCCACTTTTTAACGGGATTCTTCATTTTTTTTCTTGCTGATTTGAGTTCCTTAGAGATTCTGAATATTAGTCCTTTTTCAGATGTATAGTTTGTAAATATTTTCTCCCATTCTGTAGGTTGTCTATTCACTCTGTTGATTATTTCTTTTGCTGTGCTGAAGCTTTTTATTTTAATTAAGTCCCATTTATTTATTTTTTGTTTTATTGCATTTGCTTTTGGGGTCTTAGTCATAAATTCTTTGCCTAGGCCAATGTCCAGAAGGGTTTTTCCCAGGTTTTCTCCTTCTAGAATTTTTATGGTTTCAGGTCTTTCATTTAAGTCTTTAATCCACTTTGAGTTAATTTTTGTATATGGCAAGAGATAGGGATCTAGTTTCTTTCTTCTGTGTGTGGCTATCCAATTTTCCCAGCACCCCTTGTTGGATAGAGTCTCCTTTTTCCAGGGTATGCTTTTGTCTGCTTTGTTGAAGATCAGTTGGCTGTAGGTATTTGGCTTTATTTCTGGGTTCTCTATTCTGTTCTCTATGTGTCTTCTTTTATACCAGTACCATGCTGTTTTGATTACTATAGCCTTGTAGTAGAATTTGAAATCTGGTAGTGTGATGCCTCCAGATTTGTTTTTTGTTTGTTTGTTTGTTTGTTTTGCTTAGGGTTGCTTTGGTTATTTTGGCTCTTTTTGGTTCCATATGAATTTTAGGATTATGATTTCTAATTCTGTGAAAAATTATGTTGGTATTTTGTTAGGAATTGTATTGAATCTGAAGATCACTTTGGGCAGTATGGTCATTTTCATGATATTTATTCTTCCAATCCATTAGCATGGGATTTTCTCAATTCGTTTGTGTCATCTATGATTTCTTTCATTAGCGGTTTGTAATTCTCCTTGTAGAGATCTTTCACTTCCTTGGTTAAGTATATTCCTAAAGTTGTTTTTTTGTTTGTTTTTTGCAGCTATTGTAAATGGGATTGAGTTCTTGATTTGATTCTCACCTTGGTCGTTATTGGTGTATAGCAGTGCTACCAATTTATGTACATTGATTTTGTAACCTGAGACCCTACTTAATGCATTTATCAAATCAAGGAGTCTTTTTCAAGAGTCTTCAGGGTTTTCGAGGTATAAGACCATATCATTGGCAGAGACAATTTGACTTCCTCTTTTCCAGTTTGGATGCACTTTCTTTCTTACTGTTGCCTGATTGCTCTGGCTAGGACTTCCCACTCAAGTATTTTTTTTTAATGAAAATAATTTTAAAAACTGCTTACAGTTGTGTTTGTCTAAAAGAAAGTGTCAATTAATTCTACTTTAATAATTAAAGGTGATTATTAGTTTAGAACACTCCAAATTAGCCAACAAGGAGTTTAGAATTTTAAAATGCAAATAGCAGAGCAAATCTTTTCACCTTTTCCCTTCAGTTCCATGCTGTAGGACCCAGAGTTGCTGTTCTACCTGTTATGTAAATGGAAGGCTGGCAGGAATGAAAACAGGGGCAGAACCTGTCCTGTTCCCGGAGACTGTGAGAAAGACCAGTCCTTCTCAGCACTTCTCACCACTGCCGCTGAGCACAGATTGTTGTAAATATTCAGTGAAGTTCTGTCTCCCACACTGCGCTGGGAGCTGCAGGAGGACAGGGATGCTGACTCTATGCTGGGTTCCTGGTTGAATCTCCCAGGCCTAGTGTCACCTTCTATGCTGGGGCTCATGACAGGCAGCATTTTCTAAAGCTCTGCAGGTGACTGTGATAAGGGTTCTCTTATGTTTCATCTCTCCTCACAGCTGCCCTACGAGGTGGGTGCTCTTATCAAGCACTTTTTGCAGATGAGGAATGTGAGGCATAGCAAGGTTTGTGACTTGACTTGACTTGACTTGATTCTATAGTCAGTGTGAGTCCCAGAGCCATGCTTGCTCGGAGCACATGGTCAGGCTCCAGAGTCCTCGGGCTCACCCATTCCTTCCCACTGCCTCCACAGATGTTTGTAGAATGGGATAGGTGGAGGGTGGGCTGGCAGGAGACATGGGAGAGAGGTTGGTTGGGTACAGCAAGGGCCACATTCTAGGCTCATGGGCTTTAGCAGCTCGGATCTAGAACTGCCCCAGGAACAGAGTAGAGTGCAGGCTGGTCTCTCTGCAGATTAAGCTAGTGATCTTGGCTAGGTTATCTCATATTTCTAAGTCTCGGTTTTACCTTATACAAAATGGTGATTAAAAATGAATAAACCATAAAGTCAGAACCACCATGAGATATCACCTCACATCCACTAGTATGGCTATATCAAAAAACAAAACAGGAAATAACAAGTGTCAGCAAGGATGTAGAGAAATTGGAACCCCTGTGCACTGTTGGTGGGAATACAAATGGTGCAGCCACTATGGAAAACAGTATGGTGGTTCTTCAAAAACTTTAGAAAATAATTACTGGGCCCATGTGGTGGCTCACGCCTGTAATCCCAGCACTTTGGGAGACCGAGCTGGGCCGATCACCTGAGGTCAAGAGTTCGAGACCAGCCAGGCCAGCATGGCGAAACACCATCTCTACTAAAAGTACAAAAATTAGCCGGGAGTGGTGGTGCGCGCCTGTAGTCCCAGCTACTTAGGAGGCTGAGGCAGGAGAATTGCTTGAATCTGGGAGGCGGAGGTTGTAGTGAGCCAAGATCGCACCATTGCACTGCAGCCTGGGTGGCAGAGCGAGACTTCATCTCAAAAAAAAAAAGATAGAAAAAGGAAGAAATGAAAATAATTACTGTATAATCCAGCAATTCTACTTCTGGGTATATACCCAAAGGAATTGAAAGCAGGGTCTCAGAGATATTTGTATACCCATGTTTATAGCAGCATTATTTACAATAGCCAAAATGTGGAAGCAACCCAGGTATGTATCAATGAATGAATGGATACATGAAATGTGATATATACACACAATGGAACAGTATTCAGCTTTAAAAAAAAAAAAAAGGAAATTCTGATACATGCTACAACATGGGTGAATACTGAAGACATTAAGCTAAGTGAAATAAGTCGAAGCTCAATTACTGCATGATTCCACTTATACGAGGTACCTAGAGCAGTCAAATTCATAGAGACAGAAAGAAGAATGGTAGTTGTCAGGGGCTAGGGGAAGAGGAGAATGGGGAATTGTTGTTTAACAGGTATAGAGTTTGTTTTGTAAACTACAAAGAGTTCTGGAGATGGATGGATGACAACAGTGAATGCACAGTTCACAATGCACTAAAAAATGGTTAAATGGGCCAGGCACAGTGGCTCACGCCTGTAATCCCAGCAGTTTGGGAGGCCAAGGCAGGTGGATCACTTGATTCAAGGAGTTTGAGACCAGCCTGGTCAACATGGTGAAACCTGTCTCTACTAAAAATAGAAAAATTAGCCAGGTATAATGGTGGGTACCTATAATCCTAGCTACTTGGAAGGCTGAGGCCTGAGAATCACTTGAACCCAAGGGGCGGAACTGCACTTCAGCCTGGGTGACAGAGAGAGTCTGTCTCACCAAAAAAAAAAAAAGAAAAGGGTTAAATGATAAATTTTATGCTGTGTGCCTTTTAACACATTTTAAAAAGTAAACTAATGAAAAGATACATACATTAGTCTACCTCCAAGCAGTGTTGTAAGGCTCAAATGAGATAGAGTTTGGCACATACACTGTATTAATTAAGGGGTTGTGGCCCGAGTACCTTAGGCTCTCCCTCAGGACCTTGCATTTTTAGAGAGGGTTTCTATACCTCTGGCCCTAAAGAAGCGGTGAGCACTGTCAGACTTTTATTTAGAGTGTCAGGCCATGTTGGGGATAGGTTTGGGTTTTGTGTTTTTTTTTAAGCAGAAAGGACTTTGGGTACAACTGCTGACTTCAAAGCAGACACCTCTCACCACCCACAGTCAAAGGGAGTGTTTAAAACTAACCTCTAGGAAGGGCAGGGCCTGAACAGGGCCCGATGGGGTGGGGCCCCAATTTATGTCTCTGCTGGACACTGGTGCTAGTTTGCTCCCAGCTGCTGGAATCTTCCAGTGCTGCCAATAAAAGGTTCAGGAATGCTCACCAAGCCAGAAATGCCAGGCTCTGTCCTGGTCAGCACTCAGCACAGCTATCTGCACTAACAGGCCCTCTCTGCAGAGCAGGAACAATAGCTTCCATTTAAGGACACTCTGGTATTTTGCATATATTATCTCATTTAGTCCTCACAACAGCCTAATAGAATGAATATTATTTATTTTTGAGACGTGAAAACTGAAGTTCAAAGAGGTAAAGTGGTTTGCCCAATAGTGAGTTGAAGAAACCAGATTTGAAATTAGAGCTTGCCCAAAATTGTTATCCTTTCATTATGCTACATTGGAAATGAATGAATGAATACATGAAAATTGTAGAAGTTATTTTCAAAGGTCTTTACCTAAGGATTTCAAAGTATTTTTCAATAATTCCACCATAATTTATTGCATATCTACTGTGCAGGCACCACAGAGTATTGAGTTTATAAAGTTGTCCTTGTCCTTATGGGGCTTGCAGCCAACTGGGGAGACAAGCATGTGATAACTAGTAATAGCTAACATTTAATGACATCGCTGGGCTAGCTTTCACAGGGGTTTGTATATTTAATCTATAACAAAAAAAAAAGCTTCTGAAAGAGATACTAATTCCCATTGCTCAAATTAGGATGCTGAGGCTTAGATGGATTAAAAAACTAACCTACAGTAATATAACTAACTCAGTGCTCCTGAAAGTTTTGACCTTGGACATAACTGCTTGTCAGTGGTCTGCTAAAAAATGAGTACAGAAATTTAGTATAAGTGATTTGTAGCAATTTGATAGAGTAATTTTATTAAGTAAGTTGAATAAACTTTTTTTTAAGTTGGCGTTGTATTTCATATGTTCATTTCTTTTTAAAACTTCATTCTTTTTAAGTAATTTGCTTTATTTTATTTTACAAAATTATTGGTCTGCAGTGGATTGGGAGAAAACAACCGCTTCTTTGCCACTGATAGTTTGAGAGGCAATGAAATAGCTAGCAAAAGCAGACCTGGGATTGGATGGGGACAGTCTAACTCCAGAGCGTCTGCTTGTCCTCAGGGTTGAAAGATGGCTGTTGCACCTCCAGACTCTGCATCTGCATTCCAAGGAGAAGGTAAGGAAAGGAGAAGGGCAAAAGGGATAACTAGTTGAGGCCACAAATAGACACCTTGCTATTTGTCTGTCATGCCAAATTTATTCACACTGCTCAGCCTTTGTTCTTTGTAGTCTCTCTTCTCCAGATACCCAAACAGCTTGCTCCTTTACTTTGTTCAGACCTGCATTCAAATGTCACCTTCCTCTGAGACACAGTCTTTGATCATCCTATCTAAAATATGACCACTGTCCTTTCACTCACTAGCCCTCTATTATCCAACATAGTAGCCACTAACCACTTGTGCCTACTGAGCACTCGAAATGTGGTTAGTCCAAATGGAGATGTGCTGTAAGTATAAAGCACACACTGATTTCAAAGACTTTGTTTGAAAAAAAAAATGTAAAATATCTCATTAATAATTTTTATATTTACTACATGTTGAAATGATAATATTTTGGATATGCTGTATTAGGTTAAATAAAGTACATCAATAAAATTAATTTCACCTCTTTCTCTGTACTCTTTTAAATACAGCTGCTAGGAAATTTGAAATTAACATAAGTGGCTTTCATTATACAGTCGTGCACCACATAATGACATTTTGGTCAACAACGCACCACATATACCCTGGTGATCCCCTGCAGTTGTAGTGCAACACATTACTCACACATTTGTGGTGATGCTGGGATAAACAAACCTACTGTGCTTCCGGATGTATAAAGATATAGCAGATACAATTCTGCAGCATACATAACCCACTTGATAATGACAATAATGACTGTTACTGATTTATGTACTCACTATGCTATTCTTATTTCAGAGTGTACTGCTTCTACTTATATATATTTTAAAATCAACTGTAAAACAGCCTCAGGCAGGTTCTTCAGTAAATATTCTAGAAGAAGGCATTGTTATCATAGGAGATGACAGCTCCATGCCCCTGAAGATCTTCCAGCGGGACAAGATATGGAGGTGAAAAAGAGGGATTATTGATGATCCTGACCCTGTGTACATCTAGGCTGATGCATGTGTTCGTGTCTCAGTTTTTAATTAAAAAGTTCAAAAGGTAGGCCAGGTGCAGTGGCTCATGCCTGTAATCCCAGCACTTTGGGAGGCTGAGGCAGGTGGATCACTTGAGGTCAGGAGTTCAAGACCAGCCTGGCCAACATAGTGAAAGCTCATCTCTACGAAAAATACAAAATTAGCTGAGCATGATGGTGGTTGCTTGCTTGTAATCCCAGTTACTCCAGAGGCTGAGGCAAGAGATTCACTTAACCCAGGAGGTAGAAGTTACAGTGAGCCAAGATTGTGCCACTGCACTCCAGTCTGGGCAACATGCCAGCCTCCGTCTCAAAAAATAAATAAATAAATAAAAATTAAAGTTTAAAAAGTTCCAAAAAAAGTTTAAAATAGAAAAAAAAGCCTATAGAATAATGACACAAAGCAAAAAATAAATAAATAAAACTTTTGAACAGCCATACAATGTGTTCGTGTTTTAAGCTGTGTTATTGCAAAAGACTCATAAAGTTTTTTAAAAATTTAAGTTTATGAAATAGAAAAGTTATAGTAAGCTAAGGTTAATTCATTACTAAAGAAACAAAAATATGCTTTTATAAATTTAGTGTAGCCTAAGTGTGCAGTGTTTGTAAAGTCTACAGGAGTGTACGGTAGTGTCCTAGGCCTTCACATTCACTCACCACTCAGTCACTGACTTACCCAGAGCAATTTCCGTTGCCGCAATCACCATTCACGGTAAGTACCCTATACGGGTATACCATTTTTTATCTTTTATACTGTATTTTTACTGTACCTTTTCTGTTTTCAGATTTGTTTACAGACACAAATAGTTACCATTGTGTTCCAATGGCCTACAGGATTCAGTACAGTGACATGCTGTACAGGTTTGTAGCCTAGGAGCAGTAGGCTACAGCATACGGCTTAGGTCTACAATAGGCTACACCATATAGGTTTGTGTAAGTATATTCAGTGATGTTCACCCAATGATGAAATCACCTAACAACACATTTCTCAGAACATATCCCTGTTGTTAAGTGACGCCTGACTGTATTTCTATTCAACAGAGCTATGTTAGCCCTGACATTGCTTTTTCTTCATAGAAACTATCACTACCAGGCATTAAATAATATATTTATATTTTCTTTATTTATCATCAGCCTTTTCCACTAGAATAGAAACTCCAGAATGGCAGGGAATTTATTTCCTGTTCACCACTCTAATCCCAGTACCTGCAACAGTGCCTGGCGTAATATAGGTATTCCAAAACTGTTGTATGAATGGATGAATAAAAGAATGAAAAAACCCAGCTGGACTAGAGAGTTTCTCAGGTCCCTTTCATCTTTGTGTTTCTAATCATTTTGCCTGTGTGACAATTTGTTTAAAAATATGCATTTCAAAAAAGTATAATATGAATGTGTATAGTAACTTTAATATACAATCTCAAGGTAGTTAGGTGATATTCAAAGTACCCTATTCAGAAATCCACACTCTAGAGGAGACTGCTTGAAGCTTTTCAGATATAAAAATCTACACTAGGAGTTTATTAATTAGCATCAGGAATGTAAAAAATAAGTATTCGTTGCTGGAGAAAGAGCAGTGCTGAAGGTAGCTTAGCTAGAAAAACTTCGCAGCTCAGCTTCTTTGCAAAACAGGGTATGAACATTAAAAAAATTCATCATAGTTGTACCCTCAAGGTCCTAAGCCCCCTGAGTTCCATGCTTCCCTCTTCCCGCAGGACTTGAATGTTGACCTGGGTACCTGGTCGTTTGGTCTCTCTTGGAGTGAATATTTCATGCAGGGTGCCTGTGGGAGTCCCTTCTTCCCACACTTAAAAGAAATGATTGTGGGTTTTGTGCCTAACTTGCCAATAAATACAAAATTGGCAGAATTTGGTCTAAGACCTGACTTCATAACAACATACCTCCAGGTAGCAAGGTTAACAGGACTGGATGGATGGCCCCACCTCACCCCATCTACCTCTGATCACTGGAGGCTACTGATATCTATCAAGAGAAGCTGACAGTTGTTAAACCAGCAGATTGGTTTAGGCCTGTCAGTAAGAGACTGCTAAATTTTTTACCCCAGAGGCTGCTTCTTAGTTTATGCTTTCTCTTCAAGCTCTCCCTCTGCCATAACAGAAAGCTGATCCTAGCTCAGACAGTGCCTGTCTGCAGTCAGGCTGCAGTGGTTCTGGTCCCTTCCATGTCTGTTGAAACAAGCCACTGCAAGGGTGTTGGGCAGCAACCCTGCAGCGTCAGAGGTCAGGGTGAGTTGTTCAATCTGAGCCAAAATTTGAGAGGCAGCCATCATTCTCTCACGGTCAGGCCTCTGGAATTAGCCATGGGCCTTTATTCCCCCTTGATATGGTTTGGCTCTGTGTCCCCACCCAAATCTCACCTTGAATTGTAATAATCCCCACATGTCAAGGGCAGGGCTAGGTGGAGAAAATTGAATCATGGGGGTGGTTTTTCCCATACTCTTCTCATGATAGTAAGTCTCGTGAGATCTGATGGTTTTATCAATGGGAGTTTCCCCACACAAGCTCTCTTGCCTGCCACCATGTAAGATGTGTCTTTGCTTCTCCTTTGCCTTCCGCCATGATTGTGAGGGCTCCTCAGCCATGTGGAACTGTGAGCCCTTTAAACCTCTTTACTTTATAAATTACCCAGTCTCAGGTATGTCTTTATTAGCAGCATGGGAACAGACTAATACAACCCCCTTGGAAAACAGAGAGCTTCAGTTTTTAGAAACTAGGGATAGGCCTGGTTCCAGGTTTCCAAACCAGGGAACATTGCCCTTGGTGTTCTCAGTATGGCAGGCAGGCCCTGAGTCCACATGCACACCAAGAATTGCCCATGGGCTGAAAAAATATGTTTTTCATATGCAATATGCATACACCATGTTTTGTATGCTTACAGATGAATAAAATTCATTTGGCTTGTGCTACTGACTTCATAGAAACTTTTGTCAATATCTGAATCAATAAATCCTAAAGGAATAAATTCTATCCCTCAGGGTCCTCATATGCAAAGGTTGAGTGTTTGCTGAGTTGACTACAGCTTTTTGAGCTGGAAGAGAGTTCAGAGAGCATGTGGTAGACCAATGATTTGCAGATTTTTTTCAGGGTAGAATTTTTTTATTCCCAAATTAACATTCATTTTTTTAAAAAAAGAGCAATAGAAGCTGTGGAAGTTTCCCTAAGGAAACAAGCTCTGTGTGTAAATAGAGGGCTGGCCTACTGTGTGCTGAGGCCGATCTGGACTGAGATGACATTGCTTGTGCTCCACAAATGTCTGCAGAGCCCCACACCCCCTCAGCCTGGGACCCACTGTCTCTCTCTCTCTCTGGAGGAGTCATCCATTTATTCTATCATTTGACAAACTATAGAGTCTCTGAGTTGAGAGGGATTGTGAAGGTTGTCTATTCTTGGGTATCTTTTCTGTAGCAGATCTGATAACATTTTGACAAGTATTTACGAATACCTACTGTGTGCTGGGAAGAATGGTAGGCCCTGAGAAGTGTGGTGAATAAGCTGGAAGGTTGCATCCAACAAGGGCACAGTGGTATTATGGGGGAACAGGCAGCTACAGGAGTGCAGTGGTGGAGCCTGAGACCCCTCTAGGAGGCCAAGGAAAACTCTGCAGGAAGGGATGTCTCAGGTGACCCTTGAGTAGGTGGGTAGAGGGAGGAGTGGAGTGGGGGCTGCAAAAATGGCATGAGTATTCCCTGCTAAGAGGATGGCCTGTGAAAGGAATGACTATTACAACTAACCCACATGACAGATAGGCAGATCTAAGTGCTTTTGCAAGTATACCACTCTCTAATGTAGGTCCTATTATTTACCCCATCTTGCAAATGAAAAAACTCAGATTCAGAGTAATCAGATACCTTGCCCCAGGTCATATAGTGAGAAAGTGATAAAGCCAGGTTTCAAACCCAGATTGTTTGGAACCAGAATCACTGTGCTTAACCACTATGCTGTATTGCCTGAAATACCAAGCGAGCAACAAAAACTTGCAATTGGGTTCATTTCAATGCTGTGGCAGACTTAGAAGTGAGGCTGGGGAGGCAGAAAGGGCCAGACCATGCTTGACTTTGTTGATAGTGCTGAGGGTCTGAACTTGATCCAAAGAGCAATGAGAAGCTAGTAAAGGGTTGCAATCAGAGAAGTGAAATAAACTGATGTCATTAAACTTCCTGCTACAAAACCAGATTCTTATGAGATCATCAGCACTAATCCCACCATGTCCCACCTCCCTGTTCACCTCAGTCACCTCCAGAAGGTCAAGTTCCCATCCCAAGTCATCTGGCATCACCCCAACCCTTAGCCCCATGGTGGCTCTGCACATCTGGTAATCTGAACCAATCTCCCCCACACTGTCCAGCCTCTCAGCAGCCTCCTCTTCTCTATTCTTAATCCCTTCTCAGAATGTTTCCCTCACCGCTTACCCCGTCTAGTGCCTGATTTGTCCTAAAACTTCCATTGCAGCTACTTAACAGCAGGTTGGCTTTTTTTTTCTTCTCATACCCTCCCCATGTATCTGGAGATGGGACAGGTGTGCGCCTGGCCTCCGATTGCCACTTCTAAGCCATTCGTTCCCTTCTTCAACCCCTCTTCCTTTGAAGTATATGTCATCGGACTTTGCGCCTCTGAGTTGCTGCCATCTCCTGCCCACCCTGTCTCACTCCTTTCATGAATGACTTTACCATCGTCTCATTTCTTTCAATTGCCACCATTCTTGGTTGCTTCAAAATTCAGTTGGCTTATCCATCCAATATCTCAGCTGCTTGTTCTTCAGCCAGCTCATACTGATGCCCTTTTCCCCCACCCACCTAGCTATCTTCTTCCTTGGTCATGCCCTTCCATATTGCAAGCCACACTAAATGCACCACCACTGAAATTGCAACCTCAAGTATACCAGCCTCTACTCCCAGCTCACTTTTGCTGGTCCTCCAGTGCAATATGTATGCAGATCTCATAGAGATCTTTGATTATTATTAGCGCTACCACTTTTTCATCAGACACCTCACTCTCAACCCAGCTTAGAGTCATGATTCTTTCTTACAACCACTGCCCTGCAAACTCTGTCCAACAACCTCACATGTCAAGCTCCAGCTTTCCAGCTATCATGCTTGCACCCAAGCAGCTGCATGTTTTTGCAGAATCCACTGATCATGATGATGGGATTCCTTTGACATATATGGACACAAATCTCAAGCCACTGATGGACAAACACTTTCTCAGTATCTCCACTTCCAAAACTCTTCACACCCTCTGTCTTCTCAAACTTCCTGTATCTTCTCTCCTTTCCTCACTTGCAGCTGATGGCCTTCACCTGCAGTTCACTGAGAAAAAGAGAAACAACCACCTAGAAACCACCTCATCTTCTTAGTAACAAAACTTCCAACTTAACTGGCCTGTGCCCACATGCTGGGCCTTTCCTCCTGTTTCTACAGAGGGCACATCCCTGTTCCCCTCTCAGGCCAGCTCGTTTCTCCCATCTTGCCTTCCCCTGGAGAGCACTTCTCTAAGAGTCTCCTCTCTGTCCTGCAGCACTGTTTTCCTTTCTACTGATTCACTCCACTTCCACTTGCCCTCCCTCTCCCTCCACAGAGGGTCAAGAATCCAAAGCCGATGATTTTCCCGTGGAATTGTGTGGGAACTTGTCAGATCTGCTGCAGAAAAAAAGATACCCAAGGATAGATGATCTACATAATCCCTCCCAACTCTGAGCATCTATAGCTTCTGCCTTTATTCTCATGGGCCAATAGTAGTTAGAGTTAGACATTCCTTCATCTTCCTCTACTTTTTTTTTTTTTTTTTTTTTTTTGAGACGGAGTGTCGCTCCATCACCAGGCTGGAGTGCAATAGTGGGATTTCGGCTCAGGCTTGATAGCAGAGGCTTGAACCTCCGCCTCCCGGGTTCAAGCAATTCTCCTGCCTCAGCCTCTCGAGTAGCTGAGACAACAGGCGTGCGCCACCATGCCTGGCTAACTTTTGTATTTTTAGTAGAGATGGGGTTTCGCCATGTTGACCAGGCTGATCTCAAACTCCTGACTTCAGGTGGTCCACCCGCCTCTGCCTTCCAAAGTGCTGGGATTACAGGTGTGAGCCACCATGCCCAGCCCATCTCCCTTCACTTCTGAGTGGAGGTCCCACTCACTTGGCCATGGCATTATGGTGAGGTAGTTTGCTGTGATGCTCATTAATGTGAAAGCCAGCTGGGTTTGGCCACCACTCCTACACTGTCTTGGGTGAGTGTGGGCAAGTTCTTTTATCTCCTGAGCCTTCATTTCCTTTATCTATAAAATAGGGATAATAATAAGATTTACCCTCATAGATGGTAAGGATGGAAAAGGTTAAAACACATAGCGTGCCTATCTTCATGCCCATAGAACCAGAAAAATATTAAGAGATGCCTCCCCTAAGTGGTGGTTAAAGTTATTATTCCCTCCTGTGAGCCCCTGGGTGAACAGTGCATTGTTTAAGGACCTAGGGCAGTTGTGTTTGTGCAGAATTCACTTCCTACCATGAGGCCTGTTGGATTTGTAATGGGCAGATTAGAATTTGTGAAAGTATGCAAGAGCCAGGATGTGAGAGGGCTGGATCCCTGGGCAGAACACATAATGAGGCAAACAAGTTATGCTGTTCCTGTTTTTGAGTTGCAGGGAAAGACCAAGGGCTATTTTTAGCTTGGAAGGTTTGGGTTCTGGGAGGGCGCTGCAGCCGTGTTTGTCACATTACGTTTTAACATAATACAGAGTCACCCCACTAAAGGGATCTGTTTCAGGTTGTTTTTATTAATCCAAGTGCCTTTTTTTCAAATTGAGATGTCCAGACTTAATGGGCAGCAAGCAAACAGTACCCAAGAAGCAGATTTAACCTAATAAAAAATAAATCCTTTGTTCTGTCAAGTTTCCATGAGGTATCCTAAAAACAGGAAAAAAAAAGTCATAAATATAGCATTGCCTTCACTTGAGTAAGTTGTTCTTTAGGGAAAAAATATTTTGTGATTATACTATTGTGTGTCTCACAAAAATAAACATTGGAAGTGTATGTTGTGGTTTAAGAATGAAGGCGAGACCTTCCCAAGGAAATTTTTTGAGCCATTTCAGGTGCAGGCAGATGTCTATCTGTCTTCTAAGATGACAACAAGCACAAAACTGTGGGGG
Organism: Homo sapiens; assembly: GCF_000001405.40. Classification (NCBI taxonomy): domain Eukaryota; kingdom Metazoa; phylum Chordata; class Mammalia; order Primates; family Hominidae; genus Homo; species Homo sapiens. The sequence goes on along the minus strand of NC_000001.11, from coordinate 67,590,005 downwards.
AGGGGGCGCCTGGGGCAGTGGGAGATAATTACAGCAGGTACAGATAATTTGGGCTTGGCAGGTTAAAAACAAAATGTTGGGATTTTTATTCCGTTAGGATGGAACAAACAATGTCCTCCAAAATCAGACCCAACACATTCACTCAAGAAACCTTAGTTGAGCGCCTAGGACAGCCTGCTACTAGAGATACAAAAGGGAACAGATAGGATTGGTCCTTGCCTTAAGAGAGCTCATGGCTCAACAGAGAAGATAGATAAGAAAACAGTGTGACGGAAGCTCTGACCCAAGACATATCCTACTAGACCAACTCGACAACTTCCTAACTGCTTAATAATCCTAAACTTCAATTGCTTCATCTCTGACATAAGGCTAAGAATTCCTATTAAAGATCGTAGGTTAAACATGTGCCATGGGCTCAAAACAAACAAAACCCTCCTTTGTCCTCTTTCTTACGCTCCAAAATGAAAAGATTCCAAGAAAGAAGAAAGCATGGGACCCAGAAGTAAGGCACTCCAACCTAGGAGAGAGGCCCAGGGAAGGCCCAAGACAATGGTGCAGAGATCCTGGGGTGACAGCCGAGCACCCAGCATAGGGGCCACCTGTCTAGACCCAAGCTAGTTAGAAGGCCCCCAGAGAGATTGCCTCAAAAAGTTGAAATTGATAGAATACCAAATATATGTGGAAATGTTGGGAAAGTATTTCTGTCACAGTGGACAGGTTTGAGGCTTACTTAGAGATAAGTACACAGAAAATGAAGCCACTTTATTTATTTATTTATTTTTCTGAGACAGGGTCTTGTTCTGTTGCCCAGGCTGGAGTGTGGTGGCAAGATCACAGCCCACCGCAGCCTTGAATTCCTGGGCTCAAGGTATCCTCCCACCTCAACTTCTTGAATAGCCAGGACTACAGGTGCGCACCACCATGTCTGGCTAGTTTTTGTTGTTGTCGTATGCTGCCCAGGCTAGTCTGGAACTCCTGGACTCAAGCAGTCCCCCCACCGAAGTGCTGGGATTAGAGGCATGAGCCAAACTTTAAAAATAAGAAAATAATTCCAAAGAAAACAAGCAAAATAATGTGTGAGAAAAGTAACAAGTCTAGCGTACTAGATGACCAGCTATAAAAATACTGCTCTGGCTGAAATCGAGTTACATCTATATTAGATAGAAGAGGGGGAAAGCGTATTTGTATGTTGCACATGGTGCAGGCCGCTGATGGCAGAGCTAAATCCTCATCTTTCATGGTGCAAAGCCAAAAGATAATGCCTAAACTGAGAAATCTCAAAGTAGCAATATAAGCATGATACGAGGTGAATAACAAAATGAATCAGCAAAAATATTGGAGGTGGTTGTCTCTGGACCATGGGAAACTGCGCTGCGGAGATTTGGGGAAGCTGTGGGGAACGGGGAAGTAATCACTGACATTTGAACCAAAGTATGTAGAACTTTTTGGCTCTTTAACTACATGCACATATAATTTAGATGATCATAGCACCGAATTTGAAATAATAGCTATAAAAGAACACGGAGTGCTGGAATTCTTGCTGTGTTTATTAACAAACATAAAAGTCATGTGCACATCACATGAAAACTTTCTGAGAAAGAATTGCTATCACATGGTCTACCCAGGTTGGCCAGCCCTTCATATTATTTCTCAGATCTGCAAAGTCGGCTTGTTGATAAAACATCATCTGCTTGAAAGGGAGTGGGGATAATAACAGTGTCTACCCCCATAGGGTAATTGAGAGGGTTGAATTAGAAAAGGCACTTAGCCAGTGCTCTATGAATATTGGCAAGTTGTCCTGTTACCCTTCTCTGTTATAATCATAGATTGCTTTATCTCCAGGAGCAAGGAAAAAGGGCTTGCTCTCTTTACTTCTGTTTATTCCATCATACGGGATGGATGGCTGGAATGTTAGATGTGATAGTGAGCCATCTGGGACCGTAGTGGCAAGGCCACTCCCAAAGGATGGTGAAACTGGAGAAAAAAGGAGAAATGACCTCCCAAATAGTCCCCAACCTCCAGTCTGTTTTATGAGAAAGAAACACACTTCTGTTTTGCTTAAACCCCAGGCGGCTATCTTATGTCTAATACCCCTCTTAATTTTATTAATAGCAGTAGTAGTACCACTAGTCTCAGCAATTATTTATGGTTTGCTGAGAAGGGAAACTTGTGTCAGAGTCGGGGGACTGAAATCCTGACACCTGTGCAAGAATGAAGGAATTGTTAGGCATCTGGCAAAGGGACAGGCAAGAATGTTCTGGACAGAGAGAACAGCATGAATAACAGTGCTGACAATAAAAAAGACACATAGTATTTAGGAAAGAAAAAAAAAATTGAGAATGGGGCCGGGTGGGGTGGCTCATGCCTGTAATCCTAACACGTTGAAATGACAAGGAAGGAGGATTGTTTGAGGCCAGGCGTTCAAGACCAGCATGGGCAACATATTGAGACCCCTTGTCTACAAAAAAAAACTTGAAAATCAGCCAGGTGTGGTTGTGTGCACCTGTAGTCCCAGTTACTCAGCAGGCTAAGGCTGAAGGATCCTTTGAGTCCAGATGTTGAAGGCGGCAATGAGCTATGATTCCACCACTGCATTCCAGCCTAAGCAACAGGGTGAGACCCCATCTCTTAAAAAAATTTTTTTTAAAGAAGATAAGGACGAAGTGGAAGAGGGAAGTTGCAAGAAGTGAGATGGATGAAGTAAGCAATGTTAAGGCCTCATAAACCATGTTGAGGAGTTTTGACTTTCACTCAGGGGCCTTGGGGAACCACTGAAGAAAAGATGCTGTGATTCAATTTTTAATTAAATGTTATTTGTAGTATGGAGAATAGATTGGAAATTAGAAAGAATGCAGGCAAGGTTACTAGTAAGGAAGCTGTGTAGGTAACCTAAGCAAGAAATAAAAGGGGCCTGGACAATGGTAAGAGTAGGAGGATGGAGACAAAAGGACAGAATTGGATGGATTCAGATGACAGGAGGTGGAATCGACCAATTCAGCCTGAAGTTAGAGAGAGAAATGGGCATTGAGAATCAGGCCTATGTTTCTGGCCATTACCCTGGAAGGGTGACTGTGCCACTCATGGGAACAGGAAACGAGGGAGGAGGAATGGGTCTGGGTGGAGTGGGGAAGATGTGCAGCTGAGTTTCAGACACACTCCGTAGGAGGAGCCTGCAAAGCATCCAAATGCTGAAGTTCAGGAAGCAACTGGATATTTGAGCACGAGTCTAAGGCCGTCTCTGGCTTTGTACTCAGTACAGAATTGGTCTTTCCGAAGCATTTTTCAAAAGTGAATCAGGCATACTTCTGAGTAGCCACATTCAGTTGGTGATAGGGGAATCACCATGTTATAGCAGAGGAAATTTAGGCCCAGAAAGGTCCAAACCTGCACTCAGGAATATTAGAGGACTAATCCTTTATTCTGTTCAAAAACAAAAATCTAGACCATACATTTAAACACAATATACAACCCTAGATCTTTGCAAAACCGCTGCTCTGAACCATCAGTCAGTCTTCTCATTAAGTCAATCATTTATTCATGAAACAATAACTGAGGACCTATCTGTGCTTTGTGCAGCTCTAGGAGTTGCAAAGCTATAAGGCAAACAAGATGAAGTCCTGCTTTGATGATTTTTTTGAAGAGGCTATTCTAATTGGGGAATATGGAAAGTAAGCAAACAACTACCACCACCACCCAGAGAATGTCAGGTAGTGAACAGTAAGCTCCACAATGAAAATAAAGTAAGGTGAGTATGATTGAAAGTGGCAGGGAAGATACTTTCAACTGGATGATCAAGAAAGCACTCTCTGAGGATGTGAACAAATAGCAAGAAAAGCCAACCGTGTAAAAAATCTAGGAAAAGAATATTCCAAGAGGAGAGACCTGTCAGTGCAAAGGCCCAGGGTAAGCCTGAGCTTGGTGCAAAGGAGTGGAGTGGTCAGAGGCCAGTGCAGCCATGGTGGGGTGAGTAAGGGAAAGAATTACAGGAATTGGGATCATGGAGGTGGGTTGGGGTCTTGCATCCATCTTGAATGGATTTTATTCTATGTACAGTGGGGAGTCATTAGAGGGTTTTTAGCAGGAATGTGACCTTATGGAGTACTTATGCAACCAATCAATCTGCTGCTGTGCAAAGAGTATATACGGGGTGGGAAAGCAGGCAGGAGTGGGAGCAGGGATGAGAAACCCCACTTCCCTCCTTCTCTGGCTCTATGATCAGTCTTCACATCTTCCTGACGACCATGAGAGGTGGGAATTACTACACTCAGTTTTCAATAAGGATCTATTTTTATATCTGTCCACAAAGCCAAGCACAGTTTGGGGCATGTAGCTGTCCCTTTAATAATGTTTGATGCTTGATTAATAAGTTAAACAACCCATTGATTCCATTTATTCAAAGAATCAGACAAATTAAAAGGCCTAAAAACAAAGACTAGACATACCAGCTGTTTGCCGGCACTAGTCAGTTGCTTGAGCGAGAAGGCTTGTCAAGCTCAATCAACAGGGTGAAGCCAATAGCTGACAATGACACAGAGGTCCCCAAGTCTGCCATTGTTCTGGCTCACCAATATTAAGCTATGTCATCTTGGTGCCTCCAGGAGTCTGGAGGAAAACAAAAACATTTTTTTTTCAAACCTGCTGTTTTCTTTGGTTTGTCATCATCGAGCTGTCACAGGAGCACCCACAGGCTCAGATGTGGCTCCATGGAGCACCCTGGGCAGCCTGCTGTCCGTGCTCAGTCAGCTTCCTCCAAGGTTCACCAGTTAACAAAGGATCTTTGGGCTTTCGTCACAAACAGGGCCTGAATCACTGCAGAAGCCGGGAAAGGCATAGGCACACTCCCTATCCTTAGCGGTACAGCTCCTGAACCAGCAAGCCATCGATGCCAACCACTGGATGACTGCCATCCTGAGATGAAAAGTACAGTGCACCAGAGCTGCCTGCCCCACTCAGCCCCTCCTGGGGGAAATCCCCACTCAGCCCTTGGAGAAACAGGACAAAACTCCATGACCCAATGGTCTGGGAGCGAAGCCCTGACCTTGAAGAGTTCCCTACATAAAGTGGCCTTTAATTTGCTGCCTGGCATGAAAAGATGAATGAAGTCAAATTACTATCCTAGGTTTTAGAACCCAAAACAAGAGGCGCTGGAGTTGATGGTGGGCCCTGGGCTGAGAAGTGAGGCAGTAAAGGCAGAGCTCATAATTGTGGTAGGCTTCGTGCCAATGAGGATGCAAAGGAAGCTGGGGTGGGGCCAGAGAAGGAGGGAGGAGAAAGGTCTGGAACTGGGATGGACAATACAGTAGCCTCATGTACCTATTTTATTTAAATAACAATTTTAATTAATTGATTTAAGTTAATGTGTTTACATTTAAATTAATTTACTTAAATTATTAGAAATTTTTAACTCAGATCCTCTGTGCAGATATAGAATACTTCCATCATTGCAGATGGTTCTGTTGGACCGCGCTGGTCTAGAAGACACTCTAGGATGGAGAATAAAGAGTCTTAGTGCCAGGTTTTCAGTTCCTGATTCCAAATCACCTGAAACTCAACTTTATCTCCTGCCCCCTATCCTATGAGTTAATTTGTACCCTTACAATAATCTACCTCCCTGCCTTTACCATCACCACCTTTCTCTTGAGCTAGATTTTAGTTCTTATTTTAGCTCTTTATAATCAAAAGAAGCTTGGCTAATACATTGGTTGACTAATATGATATTAATAATAAATCAATAATTACCATTACAATTTATGGGATGCTTATGTGTATGGACAGCAAGTCTTCACCATTTTACATATATGTTCTTATTTAATCCTTTTAGAAACCTAATAGAGGCATTTTGTCTCCATTTGACAGCCAAGGGAATCAAGACACAGAGAGGTTAAGCAAGTTGTCTAAACTCACAGAGCTGATTGGTTGGAAATCCATCTTCCATCTTCAATGATTGATGCACAGGAAACTGGCCTGACTTTTAACCATAGAAGCAGGCTATGAAAAGTGATCACCTAAGGTCCCACTCTAGGACAGAGAAGGCAGGAAGTACAAGTCCAAAACTACAGAGATCTACGAATTATGGGACACCTTCTTAGGACAGCTGGTCTGGTTCCAATCATCTCTTTGCCTTGTACTTTTTTTCCCCTACTAAAGGACAGGAAGTTTGAGAAGTGACAAGGTCATGGGCACAGGCTGACCCTGCTAAGAAACAGCCCATTGGGAGCAAACTGCACGTCCTGTGAGCTCAAGGACCTGCCAGCAAAATCCCTGATGCTAGAACATTGGTTAGGAAACCTAAGTTATGTGCTGATTGGCATTGAAAGGCAAATTTGTGGGGCAGGATGGGATGGTGAGGGGGAGTCAGCACATGCTTCTCTGCTGAATTCCATTTCCCATTTGGTTTGGCTGCTTGTTTTTAATGAAATGAGGCCAATCCAAGAATTCCATGTCAACATGGCTCCTTTTACTGGAACCACAAAATCCAGCCCCCTGGGACCTGGCTCTATCTCTGGGCAGACATCAAAAACAACTCTTTTTTACTTAGAAACCAAAACAGTCTTCTAAGAGCTACCCACTTCCTCACCTTTCCTTTTCCCCTCTGAGGAAGAAAGTAAGGGCCAGAGTTTGTGGACTGCGGCACCCCTAGATTTATTATTGGCAGAGAAGGCCTCAGGGCTGGCCAGGCTGCGGGGGTTCTCCTGAGCCCAGCTGTTGGTTTTCCCTTTCTTGTGCTTCCAAGGCCTCATGGTTCCTTCCTGCCTGCTTTTCTCCCTTTTAGGACTGGTTTGATGAGTAGGCAGGGCCTTCTGCAACCCTTCATCACTCTACCACAGCTGCACTCACGCTGGGACTTCAGGGGGGTTGCTACTGCATCCAAACTCCTCTCTCAGCCAGGGAGTAAAGCCTGACACACATCCCTCAAAGCTGCTGCAGCTCTCCAGCACTCTTCTTTGGAGAGAGGAGCCACTTCTTAGCTGCTCCAACACCTGCAATCCCAGCAGTGGGTAGGGATGGGTGCGAGGATAGGAGGAAAGCAGGCATGTTTTAGGAAGGAGAATAGTGATTGGTGATTTGTGGACAATGAAGAGTGGATTCGTTGGCAAGTGGTATGCACTGGCGGGGCATATAGACAGCTGTGGGGTTTGCCGCATACAAGGTTCTCCCAGTGAGAGGGGAGGTGGGAGAAGGGCTGATTCATGCCCTGTCCCCCGGGGCATTGGATGACCTGGCTGCAGATCACCTTTCTCTAGAAAGGCTTCTGTGACTCCTGACCTACCCGAGCGTGGATACGGTCCTCATAACATCGTGCGTTTACCTCCTCTGTGGATCTTTACTTGTCTTCCTGACTACTCCTCTGTCTTCCTCACTTCTTTCTCCCATGGACCCAGCACCGTTGTGTGCACATAGTGGAGCTTAACAAACCTTGGTTGAGTGAATGAATGAATACTGGCTGCTCCTTGAAAAAAGAGCTCCTCCCGGAAGCACAGATGAGGGGGCAATGGGGCGATAGCTGCTCTAACAAGGTTAAGGCTCAAATCGAAGGACAGTGTAGTGGTTATGAGGTGCCTGGAGTGGGCATCTAGGCCCAATCGCTTATTAGCCGTATGCTTGGGCAAGCTGTGTAATCGATCTGTGCCTCAATTTCTTCATTTATAAAGTAGGGATGATAGGCTGGGTGTGGTGGCTCACGCCTGTAATCCCAGCACTTTAGGAGGCTGAGGTGGGCAGATCACAAGGTCAGGAGTTTGAGACCAGCCTGGGCAACATGGTGAAACCCTGTCTGTACTAAAAATACAAAAAAAAAAAAAAATTAGCCAGGTGTGATGATGCACGCCTGTAATCCCAGCTACTCAGGAGGCTGAGGCAGGAGAATTGCTTGAACCCGGGAGGTGGAGTTGGGGTGAGCTGAGATCATGCCACTGCACTCCAGCCTGGCCGACAGAGCTAGACTCCGTCTCAAAAAATAAATTAATTAATTTAAAAAAATAAAATAAAATAGGGATGATAATAATACCTATCTCATAATGTTTTTTGAAGAAATAAATGAGCTAATAAATCTAAAGTCCTTAAAACCTGATACATAGTAAGATTTCAATACATTTCAGCAAAACAAACAAACAAACAAACAAAAACAATGAACCCTAGGAGAGTTAGCTCTGTGCGCTGCTCTCATGGGCTGCTGACTTTTTCTCCCCATCACTGGATTCCTTCTGTGGCTCTGACACACCAGCCCATACTTGTCTCAGAGACTTTGTGCTTCTCTTCCCATGGGCTGGCGTGCTCTTCCCCAGGTATTCACATGGCTTCCCCATCACTTCATTTAGGTCTTTGCTAAAATATTTCTTCTGAGCCTTCCCTTTAGACTTATCTAAAAGAGCACACCCTTGCCCTGCTTCGGGTTTCATCATAAAACACTTATAGTGTCGTGCTAGACATAGGATTTGTACATTAATTTATTTGATTTTTGTTCCTGTCCATACTAAAATGTAAGCTCATGAAGGCAGGCATTTCATTTTATTCACTACATCATTCCTAGTGCCAAGTGTAGTGTCTGCCACATAGCATGTGCTTGAAAAATAGTTGTTGAATGAATCGATGAATGAATGAATGAGTCCACTGACCCTTTCTGGAAGACTTTTGTGTCCATTTCCACCAGGTTCTCCTCCTCAAACTCCCAATCACACTCCCTCATATGCAGCCCTTCCCCCGACTCCCTTTCTATATACCCTGGGCTCCCCTCCCCCACCCCAGTTGGCCCAGTTTGCCAAAGCCATGCTGTGTCTCAGGAGGCAGGTTTCTGGCATAAGCAGTTGGGATTTGCTGACTAGTCCAGAAAGATCATCTGTCCCAGTGTCAGCTGTTAAGGGGACACAGTGAGCAAGACAGAGATAAGCCAGTGGCAGAGACAGTTGAATAGAGAGACAATTACATCTGCATTGGAGCTGGATCAGAGAATCCCACGGAGTGTAGGACCTCCGAGGAGGGGCCCATGCCCACTCCTAGGGCAGAAGTCCCCCTTACACCCAAAGTTAGGCCTCCTGATAGAGCTTCATCCTAAACGAGGCTGAATAGATGACACATAGATATTAGCCTGTGCTGAAAAAGTACCTGGAGAACCAAGCTCTTGTGAAACTCAAAGCTTTTATCAGTCAGGAGCTCAGATTCCATACCATCAGAGAAATATTTTAAAGGCCTCAGGGAATGGCAGGCAGTGTAATTAGCAGTGAGTAGAGCACCTTCTACTTTCCAGGGCAGAGAGAACTTGAGCTCCAGATGCTGGGCCCAGGATGGGGGCAAGGGTGACCCTCAAACTTCTGACTGGGAAGGAAATGTTTCACCCACCTTGGCCAACTGTCAGTCACATACCCAAAGACATTTCTTTTTCGTTTTTATAGTCCCAGGAGACTCCTGCTGATCGGCGGTTCCTTGATGTGATTTTAAAACAATTTTCAGAAGGACAGTGTTCTTGGGATGAATTGTGACCCCCTCAAAATATTCCTATGTTGAATTTCCTCAGTACCTCAGAATGTTATTAGAGAAAGTATCTTTACAAAGGTAATCAAGTTAAAATGAGGTCATTAGGATGGACCCTAATCTACTATGGCTGGTGTCCTTACAAGAAGAGGAAATGTGGACAGACAGGAAGAGAGGAAAGAGACACAGGGAGAAGGCCCTCTACAAGCCACCAAGAGAGGCTGCATCCTTCACAGATCCCTCCCTCACAGCCATCAGAGGGAATCAAGCTTGCTGCTTGATTTCAGACTTCCAGGCTCCAGAACTGTGAAACAATAAGTTTCTGTTGTTTAAGCCACCCAGTTTGTGGTACCTGGTTACAGCAGCCCTGGGAAACTAATACAGAGAGTAAACAACAACTCCTTTAGACAGAAAAAAAGACTCCATTCATGTCTTTTCTAATCACTGGTAAATTCAAGCATTTTACAGGATAGTTTAGTTTCTCTATGGGAGCATACACATTGTATGTTTATTATATGTGTGACTTGGTATAGGAGAGAGAAAGAGAGAGACAGAGAGAGGGAAACCATGCCTTTAAAACTTGTGAGCGGGCCAATGGAGTGTTAGGCACATATAATCAGCTAAATTTAACAAATATTTATTGATCTTACCATGTGGCAGGTGCTTGGCTAGAGACTCAGAAAGCACAGTCCCTGCTTTCATGGAATTCACAATCTGGCAGAAAAAAACACAAGTGTATAAATAATGACACTTCAGAGTGATAAGATCAGTGATTAAAGTGTGTGCAGAGTGCAAAGGGAATACAAGGAAGAAGTGACGATCTCAAGTAAATGGGACCCATCAGGGATGGCTTCTCAGAGGAGGGTCCAAGCTGAGTTAAAATCTGCAATCTTATCCTTGAGGTCAACCTACCAATCAATGAGATAGGTTGCATTTATAAATGCAAACAGTTTGAATATGTTTTCAGGAGCAGAAAAATCACTTGCGGATCATTGCATCGTTGTTTATAACAGCAAAAAAAGAGGAAATAATCCACATCTTTAGTAATATATAGTATTAAGTAAACTATGTATTTACAACTACGAATATTGTATATTCATCCAATGGTCAACCATGGAAAACTTAAAATGAGGTAAAGCTACATGTGCCATCATGGAAAGATCTTCAAGATGTATTGCTAAGTGAACAAAGTAAATGGTAGACCAATGCACATAGTATGATACAATTATGTTATTCATAAAAGGATATGCAAATACTTACTTTTGCTTTTTGTTTTTTCTGCTCCTGAAGGTGACCTTAACTAATAGTTACTTACAATTCTGAATGCATGGCAAGAACTCCACAAGAATACATTAAAACTGACATCATTAATTGCCCAGAAGGACAGGGAGGAGAGGCAGAGGTAAGTAGAAAACTTCAGATTTTTTTTAACCTGGGTGTAAATTCATTTAACCTTTTATAGTAAAGGAGTTTTTAAGGAAAAACACATTTTTGAAAATCTGTTCTGTAAATGACTAGTCTACCTCCTTGGGCTTGGGGTGCTGGGAATCTGTCTGAGATGCTTGAACAGAAGGATTGTTGGAGAACTCACCTCACAGCGAAGTCACCTCCCACCTTTTGCCCCAGTGTGACATCTACCAGGCTAACATGTCCGTTTACACAGTGGCCCTGTCCCCAGCTAACCCTAGTCATGTGCATACTATTTGCTTTGCTGCACTTGTAGCTAGATGCACTGAATTCAAAGGCAGGCAGACCTGGCTTCAAATCCCAAACTTTTTAACTCCCTAGATGTGTGACCTTGAAAGAAGTATTTATCCTCTGAGCTTCAGTTCGCCCATCACAGTGTAATTGTGAGAATTAAATAAAGTAATGCCCATTAAGTGCTCAATAAATCATAGCTTAAATAAATAACAGAAAGATAAATAACAAGAATCAGCTGCTGACTGCGTTCGATTGATTCTCCACCAGCCCTCAGGTTACCCTTAGCTGTGGCCAACAGGGCTATCTACCTCATCTTACTTGGTAGACTTCTCTTGTTTCAGTGAAAAACTAAACCAAACCAACAGGAAATAAACAATGGAATTTGTGAGTTTGATCAAGAATGTACATTTTCAGTAAATCGCAGATTTCACTTTCTCCCTCTGTCCTCTTCATGCCCACCTCAACACACACACACACACACACACAAACACACACACACACACACGTTAAAATCGTTCGAAGGTTGTGGAGACCTGCCTGTTCTCAGAGAAAGAAAACCCAATATGACACCATCCAAATGTGCAACCTTGCCATATCTTTTATCAAAGCATTTATCAAAAAGTTTCTTTAAAATGTTCACCCTATAGCACTTAGCACATTTACAGAATAAATGCAATTCACCAAATATTTATTTAATCATCATAATATTAAAAGTAATAATGTAGTGGACCCTCATCATTTTAGCTACCTAGTATCTGAGCCCATTTCCTATTTTAGGAAATCCTCTCATTTTGTGGGTTTTGGGAAGAGGCGGGGACCCTCTTCCCTCTATAGAAGTTGGAAGAAAGCAGGCATCTTTTTATCCATTCCCTGGAAATGATCTTTTTAATCATTCCCTGGCCCCCATGCTGGACTCAACCATTTGGATGCCTCTATCTGGAGCTTTAAATATGGAGCAAGTGATACGAAGACATGGGGGTGGCCTGGGATGATCCCAGCCAAACAACTTGAGTGTCTGGTGGCAGCCTCAGCAGCAAGCCTTCAGTGGCAGCAGTGCCAGCACCAGGCCCTAAGCAGACAATTCCTGGGACAAGGCCTGGGCTGTGTCTTAGCTGCCCAGTCTACCTTGGTTCCTGCCCATTTTCCACGCCTGGTTCTCCAGTCTTCCTGTTGATTCCATGAGCTACCTGTTATTCTTCTAAGAAATTCCCATTCTCCTTAAGTTAAACAGAGTTAATGTCTATTTATCGGTAACCAAGAACCTTGACTGAAACAAACAACTGCAAATTATTGAGCAGCTATAAGCTAGGAATTATTCTAAACTCCTTACCTGGAGTATTGCACTTTACCTTCATAACAACCCTCCGAGAATGGAACACGTTATTCGCATTTGACAATGTGAAAATTGAGGTTTGCTAAGACTACATAGGTTACTCAAGGTCGGCTGTTAGAAGAGAGGCAGAGTCAGGATTTAAACTCATATCCATCTGCCTGAGAGGCTCTTCCTCCTAGTCGGCTCCACAGGTATTTGTGCATTGGTTTGCTGGTTATTCAAAGTGTCTTGTATCCTACGTCATATAATCCTCACAATTCCTTGAGGTTGGAATTTTTAATCCCTATTTTACAAATGAGGAAACAGACTCAGGGGAATTAAAAATGACTCGCACAAATATTTATCATCAACCTTAAAAGTATGCCTACTCTTTAATCTAATAATTCCAGGTCTGGACATTTATCCCAAGGAAAGAGTCAGAGATGTGACCAAAGACTGTTCATTGGACTGTAATTTATTACAAGGAAACAAATTAATACCACTCTTACGTCCAACAATTGGGAAACGGCCAAACAAATAAGGGCGTACCATAGGATGAAATATAATGGAGTTATGAAAATCAGGCTATAGAAGGAGATCAGTGGTTATCTGGGCCTAGGTGTAGGGAGGAATTGATTTCAAGGGTTTTTCAGGAACTTTCAGGAATGGTGGAAGTGTTCTAAATCTTAATTGTGGTGGTGGTTGCCTGAGCGCACTCAGTTGCCAAAACTCATCAAACCATACACTTAAAATGGGTGTATTTGTTGTATGTAAATTATACCTCAACAATTTTTTATAATTTTTTTTTGCACTCTGTCACCCAGGCCGGAGTGCAATTGTGCAATCATAGCTCACCACAGCCTCGACCTCCTGGACTCAAGCGATTCTCCCACCTCAGCCTCCCAGTTAGCTAGGACTATAAAGGTGAGTGCCACCATGCCTGGCTAATTTTTTATTTTAGTAGAACTAGGGTCTTGCTGTGTTGCCCAGAGTGGTCTCAAACTCCTGGGATCAAATGATCCTCCCACTCTGGCTTCCCAAAGTGCCGAGATTATAAGCATGAGCCACTGCACCCAGCCAATAATTGTTTTAAAGAAAACTCTTCTATAGAAACAAGTTTTACCAATGACAATGTCCATTAAATATTAAGTGAAAAAGTTTACAAAACAATATTGACAGTATGTTTATTTCCGTCTGTGTTACATGCATAAACAAGGAGACACTATACCAAAATAACAGTAGTGGTTATCACTTGGTGGTAGAAATGGATAGTTTAAACTTTCTTTAATTTTTTTGTGTTTGCTTAGTGATCAATGAAAACAAACAAAAGTTTTAATCCCTTGTATGTTACACAAGTATCAACTAGAGAGGAGGCTAGAAATCAGGATTTCAGAGCCAATCCTAGTTCAGTTGTACTTTCTACTATGCCTCAGAGTTTAGGAATTGCTGTATTTGCATGCTTTGGAAAATTGCCCATGAAACATGCCCTTGCCTGCTGGAAACTTGAAGTCTGCAAGGAAGGGCTGAGAGTCAGTGATTACATCTGGTTAGGGAAATCAGGAGAGGCTTGATGGAGGTGGACTCTTTGATGAGCCAAGAAGGATGAATGGGGCCGTAGTGGGTGGAGACCCGGGGCAGAAGGGTGAGAGAGGGACATGTTTGTGGGAACAGAGTCTTCAGTCCAGACCCAGCAAGAGTGAGTTGTGAGGAGAGTGACGCTGGGTGATGAGGCTAGAGGAAGAGTTCACCGTGGGGGCTCCTGAATGAGGACTGAACTGTTGGGGCCAATATACCACTTCACAGATGACAGAACTGAGGCACGCATAGGCCAGTAGGGCTTAATCCCTATTCCTGATAACAAATGTGAGTTGCAGTGGAATCCATGAGAAAATAAAACATAGTACTGAAAATCCAATTTAGGGCCACAGAGGGGACATACATGACAGATGTGCGTGTTTTGGAGTAGGCCCAGGCCCCCAGCAGGACATCAAACTTGCTCGGGTCACTCAGCTCCCTCTCCCCTGTACACCACAGGAACCTGGGGGAAGGACCAGGGCCTACTGGATTTTGTATCTCTGGGGCCCATCACAATGTGTACCTAAGACTGGTACAGAGTGGAGGGTCAGTATGTGGTTGAGAAATGAATGGGAGATCAGAAAACAAGATCAGTCTGGGCTGGATAAACAAGGCAGGGTCTCTTGGAAGAAATGGGATTTTACCCCGGGACATTTAGGGTAGATAAATAATCAGGACAGTGACTTTCCATTTTTTGTGTGGAGGGTAGCTGGGAAACATCACCCCACCCCCAACTCCACAGACTCCCACCTGCGTTACGGTGAAAAGTTCAAGCCCCTTGCAGTCAGACAGTCTAGGCTGGAATCCTGGCTCCATCACTTATCAGCTGAGTGATCTTGGGACAGTCACTTGCTGTCTCCAAGCCCCAGGGTCTTAATCTGTAAAATGGAGGTAAAAATACCTTGTTTGCAGAGTTGTTGTGAGAACAAAGGAGCAAATAAACAAAAGACACAAAAAGATTAACTATGATCAAATCCTGTCTCTTTTTTTGGCCCTCTTCTCTGGTCCACCAGATGAAGAAGTCTAGTAACGCTTCTATAATGAGGGGTGAGTTGCAAGCTGGAGACAACACAGATAAAATTAATCACTAGAAGGGCTTAAATTATCTTCCCCTGAGATCAGGCCTTTTTTGGTGGGGTGGAGGGTGAAGTGAGTTGTTGAGGTTGGAGGAAATACAGGCTTTGTAAGGGGGTGTGTGGCATGAGGACTACAGGAGAGGGGCCTAGAATGGGAGAGGTGGCCACTGAGGACATTAGTTATGTCCAGCCCCCAGTAGGATGTCACATTTCCTTTGGTGGAAAGACAGGGTACCAACATTTGTTGAGCATGATGAAGTGCCAGGCACTGTGCTAGGTGCCAGGGATACATCCTTGATATATGTACAACCCTCACACTAGGCAGCTCCAGTTTTTTGGCAGACATAAACAGGAAAATAAACCACTATAATCCAAGTAATTATAACAAGAACAGAACAAGATACAGAGCACAGAAGACAACATAATACTATAAGGCAATCATATGGAAGGTGGGTTTTGAAAGATGCATAGGAGTTCATCATGAATCCAATCTAAGAAAGGGAAAATGAAGTCAAGTTCAGCACCACTGGAGTAAAAATGGTGGGAAGAGATGAGTTTAAGAGACGAAGCTGGCCATACGCGGTGGCTCATGCCTGTAATCCCAGCACTTCGGGAGGCCAAGGTGGGGGGATCACGAGGTCAGGAGTTCAAGACCAGCTTGGCCAATATGGTGAAACCCCATCTCTACTAAAAATACAAAAATTAGCCAGGCATGGTGGTGTGTGCCTGTAATCTCAGCTACTCAAGAGGCTGAGGCAGAAGAATACTTGAACCCAGGAGGCGGAGGTTGCAGTGAGCCCAGATCGTGCCACTGCACTCCAGCCTGGGTGACAAAGCGAGACTCCATCTCAAAAAAAAAAAAAAGACGAGGCTGGGGAGGGAGGTAGGAGCTAGATGATAATGAGCCATTCTTTATCCTGGAGTGATGGCAACCAGTGAAAGATTTTGAATGAATGAAACTATGTCCAATCTTCAAGTTAGAAAAACCTCTCTGGCAGAAGAATTCAAGGTGCATTGAAGTGGGGCAAGCTCAGAAACAAGATGCTAGTGAAGATGCAGTTTACCGTGGTCAAGGAGAGTGAGTGAGGCTCTAAACCAGGCAACTATGGGGCCATTCTTCTGAGCTCCTCAATCACAGGCAATCTTGTCCTCTTCTAAACCCACAGCATGTGGCTTCTTTCACTCATGGCCTATGACCCAGGACCATGTGCTATCATGAATTGTATATTTGTTTTCCCTCCACTGCCAGATTGAGAGCACTTTTTCCTCTCCACATCCCTGGGCTGAGGAGCTGCTTCACAGTTGGTGCCAATGTGTTCTGAGGTTCAGAAGGAGGGGTGTGGGGTTTCATGGGGTTCAGAAAGAGAGGCATGGAGTAAAAGCAGCCTGTGATCAGTTCATGAGCCAAGCAAGACCTCCAGGCCCTTTGCTCACTCCCCCTTCTCTGTCTGTCCCTAATCAAGCTATGCAAAGAAATGTCTTAACTGCCATCTGTATTGTTTTGTGAATCAACAGAAGAGCCCAAACCTTTTCTCTTGCACATTTACCAACCAGAGATTTAGGGAAATAACACATAATCAGAGGAGGAAAGACCAGCTGGTGGTAGGTGGATTTTGCCTGCATAGTTGGTTGTTTCCCTTCTAATACAAAAGCTGATAGTGGATCATAATCTAGGACATTTTTCCAGAATGAATCTGGCAGTATGCAAAGACATTTGCGTGCAGTAACTTTCTTTCTCACTCTTCCATGACTTTCTGTTGTGTCTGTGTGGGCACAGACAGGGTGGTTGCAGGTTAACTGGGGCCAAAAAGTTGTTATCACCTGGCATCTGTGCCAAGAGCTTATGTAAAATGAGCTGATTCCAGCAGGCACATGTCCCAGGTGGGACCCAACCCCCCACTGGCATGGGCTGGGTGCCTGTGAGCCACATGTTGCTAAGGGCTGAGAAGGAAGCAGTGCCCAGGGCCGGGGCTGTGCAGGGTGAGGGAAGGAGCAGCCTCTGAGAAGGGCCGGGCCAGGTGGATAGGGGAGAAGTCAGGCAAGAGAGGACTGGGAGTCCTGGGCAGCACCTGTTCCCAGAAAGTAAATAATACTTTACCCTTGTGTCATATGCCTGCCTGTCGCCGAGCAGGCGTCAGTTCATCCCTCACTGTGGGCCGCCAGCCCCGTACCAGCATGCTACTCATTTAAAATGTGCTTTGGAAAAGAAATCAAAGGTCCTGATGCCTTCTGCTGCTTGCTCAGCTCCATGGCCCTCCCAAACTCCCATTTCACAGCTGCTACTCAACTGCGGGGCTTATCGGGTGGGCCTGCCAAATATTTGGAACTGATGCCCCCGGCTCCGGACAGGAGTGGGTGATGGGGGCAGAGAGGCTGAGACTGCGCTCGGCTGTGGTCCGGGTAGGACAGGTGCTGGTGGCTGCAGCCTTGTCCCATTCCCCCCTCCCTTCCCCTCCTTCCCTCTGCTCTCCTGTTTACAGTCTGTTCACCGGACAATATTTCAAGTATTCTAAATATGAGTGTCATAAGCTCAAGACGGAATGCTGGGCCCATTGTGCGGAAGGGGAATTAGTTTAAAGACAGGGAAGATTAATTGGTCTGTTTAGGAATGAATCGGTTTAGCAATTACTGTGTTTTGAAAGAATATCATTTATGGGTTTAAGTAATAGTGCAGTGGTTAAGAACTCGGGTGCTGTGTGCTGACAGGACTGGGTTCAAATTCCAGCTCAGCCTCTGGCCTTGGGCCTATTCCGATGCCCATTTGTTGGGTGACCAACTCCTCCAGGTCTGCCCAGAATTTTCTGATTGCTAAGAACCCCCTCAGTTCTGGACACGCCTAGAGAGGAGTAATGATCATGCTTAGCTTATCTAACTGGATAAGATTCATATGGTTTATCACAGTGCCTGGCCCATAGTGAGTACTCCACTAAGAAAGCTAGTGTGATACCTTTTTGAGCACCCCAAACTACTGGCTGCACCAGGGACCGTGCTTTGGGGTGCAAGAGACTCAGCCACAAACATGCCTGTCACTGTGCAAACACTGTAGCATTTTCTAATGGAGCTCACCCTGTTAAGTAGCTAGTGGTGGCTCTATTTTACTGATAAGGAAATTAAGTCTCCAAGGGATAATAAGACACACAAAAGGTTAACAGCTGGAAAGGGAAGGATAGCCCTTTGGAACCCAGCTCTTCTCCATCAAGCCTGGAGTCCTTTCATCCTCAGCCATTCCCTGTCTAGTTCATACCATGCATTGAGTAATGCATAAGCTTTTGTGCCAGTTGCCCTCTCTGGCTGCCCTTACCTCCCAGCCCCTTCTCCTTCAGCTGGCAAATTCCCACCTTGCTTTGGTACCAGCTCAGACATCACCTTCTCCAGGAAATTGTACCTACCCTTCCCATGGGTCTCCAGTCTCTGTTCTCTTCATACCCTTTATATATCTCTCTGGATACATTTCCTTCCTAGTAATAATTTGCTAATTCACTGTCCTGTGAGCTCCTTGAAGACAAGGATTGTGTCTGTCTTTCCACCTCCCTCCAGAGCCAAGCACAGTTCCTAACCCATACCAGGTTTGAATTCATTAAGGTGTGACATGATTGTTTGATACTTAATAAAAGCTTCTATGACTTGACAACTTGTGGTATGTCACACACTAAGCTGAGCATATATATTTCTCATTTAATCCTCACCACAACTCATAAGTTTTGATAAATGACAGATAGGAAAATAAAACTCAGAGAGATTAAATAACCTGTCTGAGGTCACATAGCCAATAAGCACAGATGTGAACTTTGAGTCCAGATCTGCCTAAGAAACTCAACCACTGGGCTCTATCAGCGCCTAACTCAGCTCCTTGCACACATTAGGCATTTGGCACTAGTCAAGGTAGATGGATGGCATAGGATGGCGTACGGCAGGGGCCCAGGGTCATTGGCCCAGGGTTATTGGGCCCAGGGTCATTATTAGGGGCCCAGGCATCCGTGGGCCCAGGGTGATTGTCCTTGGGCCCTCACAGGCCAGCTGTTGTCAGTGGTATGTTTGCAGAAGCTGCCAGTTCCCTGCACTGGCATGAAAAGCTCTTCCTAATTCCATGGCTCATTTTCGCCCTTATGTCTTTCTGGCCTTTCTCATTCTCCCAGGGCAAGGTGAGGTTTGGGAAAGCTGAGGAATGTGGCTGAACTGTCTTCAATAAATTCTTTGCCGATAAGACATGGGGGAGTTTCCAGACACTTTCCTATGACTGTTCCAGCTAAGAACGTTAGGCTAAGCTACAATGACTCAGCCCATGGAAGACCAGGGCTGCTGAAGTTCCCCGGAAGCCAAGTTGCTCTGCATAGGTCTTGGTCCAACCAGGATAGGAAGTCCCAGGCAGCCCCAGTATCCTCAGAACCTTCTTGTGGATGGGAGAGGCAGAATGAGCACTGTCCCTGGGGAGAGACAGGCTAGGTCTGGAAGCATCAATGTCTCCTTCTACCACAGCTTCTGATTTATTACAAACCTTAGAAATGGATTTGGAATACAGGTCATGGGTTAGGATCCTGACTTTGCACTTACTAGCAGTGTGACCATAGCCAGTCATGCAACCTTCCTGGGCTCCAGGATCCTCTCTGCAGAATGTGGAGGAGAACAGTACCTACTTCAGGAAGCAGCTATGAGATTAGAAGAATTAATGTCTACACAATGCTGAGCACAGTCAACACACCAACTAGGTGCTTGAGAGTGGTAGCTATTATCATATGAGGGAGGGATGGAAAAAACTGTGAGTGGAGCTTGCAGCTTCTGGGGTAGCAATGAGTGTGGCCAATCTTCACTGCTCCCCAGCTGAGTGAGTCTACTTGCCATGGCATCTTTGACTGCTCCCGGGCTGAGTGGCATGTACTGAGTTCCTCTGGCCAGAGGCTCCCAAAATGTGTTTTCTGCAGGCTGGTATCTGCAGGAAGGACTGGTTTACTCCAAGCCCATTGTGTCTGCAGCATATGTGTTTTGCCTTGGAAAGCTGGAAGTGTGTGACCCCGCAACATTGGCTCAAGGGGAATTTTCCTGCAGAGGTCAGGCAGGGTCTGCCTTCTTACCCAACAAGGGCCTTGGTTTTGGGAAGTTTCCCCAGGACATGTTGCACCAGAGCCCATGAGCTCCATAGTTTGGCTGTGTTTCCCCTTCCCCTCCCCACTCCCTCTCCTTTTTTTTGCAGAGCCAGAGGTAAAATGGAAAATGTGTGCTCAGGTGAAGAAAGATGTGTACTGTCAGATAATATCTTTTCTTCTCTGGCTTTGAAGTATGTCAGACACAAGCTAAATGGCCTAAAATTGATAATAAGTAGCCTTTTAAGTGCGGTCATGCTTTCTTACCAAATCAACAAATATCTCTTAAGCTGTAAGTGTTCAAAGAGTAGGAATCATGAAGGGTTTATGGATAGAAAGGGCTGTGGAACTGATTTAACAGTTGAAGAAATTAAAACCTCAAGAGGAGATGCCAAGTGCAGTGGCTCACGCCTGTAATCCCAGCACTTTGGGAGGCCAAGGGGGGGATCACTTGAGGTCAGAAGTTCAAGCCCAGCCTGGCCAACATGGTGAAACCCCGTCTCTACTAAAAATACAAAAATTAGCTGGGTGGAGTAGCAGGCACCTGTAATCACAGCTACTCGGGAGGCTAAGGCAGGAGAATTGCTTGAACCCAGGAGATGGAGGCTGCAGTGAGCTGAGATCCACTCCAGCCTGGGTGGCAGAGCGAGACTCTCTTCAAAAAAAAAAAAATCAAAAAACCAAAAAGCTCGAGAGGAGAAACGACGTCCCAAAAGTTATCAGCCAGGTGGGGGAGAGGCAAGATTTAAACCCAAGGCTGATATTTGGCTTAAATCTCTCCCCTTCTTTTTTTTTTTTTTCTGACAGGGTCTCACTCTATTATCCAGGCTGGAGTGCAGTGGCATCGTCTTGGCTCCCTGCAGCCTCCATCTCCTGGGCTCAACTGATCCTCTCACCTCAGCCTCCCAAGTAGCTGGGACCACAGGCACGCGCCACCACACCCAGGTAATTTTTGTATTTTTATAGAGATGGTGTTTCGCTATGTTGCCCAGGCTGGTCTCGAACTCCCAGACTCAAGCAATCTGCCTGCCTCAGTCTTCCAAAGTGCTGGGATTACAGGCATGAGCTAACATGTCTGGCCTCCTCCTCTTTGTAAATGGCCACCTTATGGTGTCACTGGTGTGGTACTGGGCAGCAAAATAACACCAAGAATTAAGGGGAACATCTTCTGCCTTTGAGGAGCTTCAATTTAGTAGAAAAACCAACAGGCCAAATGATGAGCAGATGGTTCTCCACAGCATCGCGCCAGGGAAAGAGCAAAGGTTTTCATGCAGGGCTGACCATATCCTGGGGCTGCACCCTGCAAGGCCCTACAATGCACCATCTGTGGGACCTAACCTCTTGATGTCTCAGTTTCCCCATCTATAAAACTATCTCACAGGGTTGTTATAAAAGCATTTAGTACAGAGCCTAACACATACTATGTGCTCAATAAATGGTAGGAAAAATAAATCCAAGTCCTGTAAAAATGCTGCCTCTTATTATGCCTCCCTTTGGGCAACTTATCATTTGCAAACGGAATTTACATCTGTTTTTTTTTCCTTAGTCTTCATAAGAGCCTTCAAAGATAACCAGGAAAGATTATCAACAAATATTCATTAAATAAATGGCTAAATGGATTGATGAATATTAAAATTACCATGTGCACAGCACTTACCACATGGAACTGTTCTAAGAACTTTGCCTGTTCTATGTATCTTATATAATATATGCATTATACCGGCACAACAACTCTATGAGATGGGTACTATTATCATCCCCATTTTACAGATAAGTAAACTGAGCTCCAGAAGATATTGAACAACTTGCCTAAGGTTATACAGGTAGTAAGTGACTTAGCTGAGAATGACCCCAGGTAAGCTGGCTACAGAATTTGGGCTCCTAACCAGAAAACCGTATTCACTGATTGAATGAATAAATGATAAATGAATGAATATAGAGGCCAGGTAACCCCTATTATATAGATATCAAAGCTGAGGCTGACAGAGCCCAAGGTCACATAGTTGGTTTGGTGGCAAAATGACAATCATATGGCAGCATTCTACTTCCCCACCCCCAGTGGAGTTAGGTGTAGTCGTATCACTTGCTTTGGCCAGTAAAATGTGAGTGAAAGTTGCATATGGCGGCTGGGCATGGCGGCTCACACCTGTAATCCCAGCACTTTGGGAGGCTGAGGCGGGCGGATCACCTGAGGTCAAGAGTTCGAGACCAGCCTGACCAACATGATGAAACTCCGTCCCTACTAAAAATACAAAAATTAGCCTGGCATGGTGGCGTGCACCTGTAGTCCCACCTACTCAGGAGGCTGAGACAGGAGAATTGCTTGAACCTGGGAAGCAGAGGTTGCAGTGAGCCGAGATCATGCCACTGTACTCCAGCCTGGGCAACAGAGCGAGACTCCATCTCAAAAAAAAAAAAAAAGAGAGAGAGAAAAGAAAAAGTTGCACACAGCACTTCCAGGCAGAAGCTTTAAGAATTTGCCACATTTCTTGGAAGCATGTGTTGAAATGAGGCCTCTATCTGTCTGGGTTCCTAAGTGACTAGAATGAACAGAGTCCACCTGTCTATCAATGATAGCATAAAGTGAGGAATAAATTTTTATTATGTTAAACCACTGAGATTGGGGTTGTTATCACAGCAGACCCTGGCTACTCCTGACTGATACATGTGGGGCTAAGAATGAGAGCTTGAGTAATCCAATGCCTCATGCAACTCTTGTCACATTACTTAACCCCAGCCAAGCCTGCACATACATCGGTGTTTTACTCACCAATGACTTCTCCCCCAGCTGGATTAATCTGATTGAATGACCTGGATCATTTATGGCATGAAGGGAAGACAGCTGTTGAATTCCAGCCCCTGACAGAAGGCTCCAGACCGTCAATGATAGCTTGGCTCTGCTAGTTTGATGCATCAGACACTCCCTCCCCAAAGTGCTGCCTGTGTCAATTTTTCTTAACAAATAGAATATTGTATAGAGAGTGAGCTTTTTGTAAAGCAAAATATAAGTGTTGCGATTAGCAGCAGTATCTCTTAAAGCTAAAGATGCAAAGTCAAGTTTAATTAACCAGGTTTGTGTTTGACTGATTTTTTTAAAGGCAGTAAAGAATTTTAAGAATAATTGGTTACATAATCTAATAGGCTTTTCACTTTTATTTGGCAGATTTAGTAACAATTAGACAATTGATAGTGACATCAAAATGCTCAACTAATTTTCCAACATTTTTGATTAGTTAACTGAATCCAATCAGAATTTTTTAAAAGACAGTTTCTATATGTAGACAGTATCCCTTGTGTTTAACTAATGAAAGAAGATTATACAAAAGGAAAGTATCAAGATTTTAAATATTGACTTCTATAAATCGATTTTGTCTAATCAAAAATTTACAGTGACATACACCAACAAGTTAAGTGTCTAGGTCTAGATGAACTTTATATGCATCTTTGTATTTTTCTGCAAACTCAAGGTTTTTTTTAAGGACTATTATATTCTTCTAGTGTTTTCTGAAAGTTTGCATATGCTACCCTTACAATAAATGGAACAACCAAGGTTTTAAAATCAAATTACAATAAAATAATGTTTTCTTTCCTGAGATTGCCTGACTATCTTTGGGGCCACTGCAGGCCAACTTGAAGGTGGATCTGAATCCAGCTCTGTTGTCCCAGATTCTCACCATGTAAGGGCTGATGAGACCCTACAGCACCTTGGGTACAGCTTCTCTATTTTAAGGATAAGGGGAACTAAGGTCCAGGGAAGGGATGTGCTCAGGGCAACACTGCTTTAGAGAGTGGTAAAGTAAAGCAACTACCAGAACCCAGACCTGTCAGATGCTGAAGTTCATGGACTTTCCACTACCCCCTAATTTAAAGGAGCCTGTATGCCTCCATGGTTTGTGCTGTTGCACTAGATGCTCTTCTGAAACTTAGGTAGATACAACTGTACTCCCTGTGTTCTGATATTATCTTCCATTTGCATAGCACTTTACTGTTAAAGCATTTAAAAATGCATTATCTGATTTAAATTCATAACAGCACTGTGGGCTACGAAGGACATTTAGCATTTAAACTCAGTCTTCCTGGTTTCTTGGCCCCTCTTTCCACATTGCATGCCCCACCCCCCCACCTTTACATATTCAGGATGGAAGACTGTGTGGCACTAGCCATATCCTGTTACCTCCATTCCCTAACTGTGTGGCTTAGGGCAAGTGACTTAACCTCCTTATGAAATGAACATAATAATGTAAGTTGTCAAGATGATCACAGGAGATCACTGGGTAGGGGGTCCGGTCCACATTTATTTCATTTCCTTGTGGTAGTTTACCAGGCCCTCTCTCAGGGGAATTTGACAAACTACTTCTTGGCATGCCCCTTCTGCTCCCTTCTATAAGGTCTTTGCCATGTTGTTGGCTGGTACCCTCTGCCTCACTGAAGAGTCTGGCCTCCAGTGCAGCCTGTCCTGATTCCTTCAGCCAATTCTCTCTCTCTCTCTCTCTCTCTCACACACACACACACACACACACACACACACACACAGTGTATGCATATACATGTAATTATTAAAAATATTTCATCCCTTATTTTTGCACCATTAGAGGAGTAAATCAAGACCTGGAAGCTCTTCGCTTTCTTCACTAGCTTTGAGAAACAAAGGTGAAATATGAAAGTTCAACAGGGGAACAGGTGGATGGGGGAAAAGGAGGAAGGAAAGACTAAGAAGGAAGGAAAAGGAAAATGGCTACTATATTGTCTCATTTAGTCCTCACAACAGCCCTCTTATGATTTCCACATTACAGATCAGGAAGGTTAAGTGCCATATCCAGGGTTGCAAGGCCAGATCAGATCCCCCTCTCTGCCTGATTCTGAAGTGGGTGCTTTTCCTGCAAAACCAGGCTGCATCCCACTTGCAAGGGGGAGTTAGGTAGTGTTTAAGTGCACACACTCTGAGCCAGACAACCTATGTTGAATCCTGGTCCTGCCACTTACTAGCTGTGTGACCTTGGATGAGTTCTTTAACTTTAGGCCTCAGTGTCAGCACCAATAAAATGGGAGCCATAAAAAGAGAATGATGGCTTCATGCAGAGGTTGTGGACACTAAATGATCTGCAGCAAGTAAAGCACTTAAAAAAGTGATTTACTTGCTGGGGCCGAGTCAGCCCCCTGTGAGCCCGTGAGCATTAGCAACAATCATCTGGCTGACCTCCCACACCCAAAAGGTGCTCTGGCCCTGGCAGAATCCAGCAGGTCCAGGAGGAGCCCACTTCCTCATGACTCCAGACACAACATCTCCTTCTTCCTCCTTTCCCAAGCTCGTGACCTAGTGGGATCCCAGCTGCTCACGTCAGGACAGCCCAGTTTCCCGTCCTTTTCACTGGTGATTTCCAACTAGGGCATGGGTGGAGTTTTCATGACAGGAAATAAATCTTGTAGAGAGCAAAACAATGAAAGCAAAACTCGTCATATGCCACGTTTAACCAATTTCTTCTCTTGGGTTTCTACTTCACACGGCAGCGTCCGTTTCTGCTTTATTTTCATATCTCCCATAGTTTCCAGTGTGGTTAGAAAACCACCCAGGACCACACAGCTACTAAATGCAGGAACAGGGGTTTGAACCTAGACCATTTGATTCCACACCCTGCCTGCTTACTCCCTGCCCCACAAGGCCTAACCTCCCCTTACAGAATATGCCTTGAGGACAGGCATCACCTCCTAACCTACTCCTAGCCATGGCCAGCACCTAGCAGCTAGCACACAATAATCAGTACCCAGTGATAGACACGATAGGCTTGCTGCCTGACGTTACATGTTTTCATGTAATCTCTTCTCTTCAGAGTTGATTAAGTCAGGTTTGAATTGATGAGAGGCTGAAATATTCATTCATTCATTCATTCAGTGAGTCAGTCACTTATTCATCAAATGTATACTGAGTGCCTTACCTGTATCAGGCACTCTGCTAGGTGCTTGGGGTATGAAAATGAATAAGCAAACTCCCTGAACTCAAAGTGCTTAGGGTCTATGTCAGGGAGGCAGTGCAGGGGTTCTCCATCTTGGATGAACATTTTTTGTGTGGGGTAGGGGAGATGGAGTCTCACTCTTGTCATCTAGGCTGGAGTGCAATGGTGTGATCTCGGCTCACTGCAACCTCCTCTTCCCAGGTTCCAGTGATTCTCCTGCCTCAGCCTCCTGAATATCTGGGATTACAGGCACCCACCACCACGCCTGGCCAATTTTTGTATTTTCAGTAGAGACGGAGTTTCACCGTCTTGTCCAGGCTGGTCTCGAACTCCTGATCTCAGGTGATCCGCCCGACTAGGCCTCCCAAAGTGCTGGGATTACATGCATGAG
Source organism: Homo sapiens (assembly GCF_000001405.40). Taxonomy (NCBI): domain Eukaryota; kingdom Metazoa; phylum Chordata; class Mammalia; order Primates; family Hominidae; genus Homo; species Homo sapiens. Next base: position 67,563,453 of record NC_000001.11, on the reverse strand, counting down.
CCACCACACCTGGCCCCGGATGAACATTTTAATCTCCTGGGGAGCTTTTTAAAAAATGCTGATACCTGAATCTCACTCCAGTGATTCTGATTTAATTGTTATGAGATAGGACCCTCAGATATTTTTCTGCTTGTTTTTTTTTTAAGAATAAACTTTTTACTTAGATGACCTTGAGATTTACAGAATTATTACAAAGATAGTACAGAGTATATAATTCCTGTATACTCCACCCCGCCATTTCTCTTATTGTTAACATCTTACATCAGTGTGGTACATTTGTTACATTTAATGGATCAATATTGATATATTTTTATTAACTGAAGTCTATGTTTTATTTAGAATTCTTTGTTTTTCTTTTAATGTCTTTCTTCTTTTCCAGGGTCCCATTCAGGGTCCACATTACATTTAGTCGTCAGGTCTCCTTAGGCTTCTCTTGGCTGTGACAATTTCTTGGCTTTGGGTTTGTTTGTTTGTTTGTTTGAGTTCCTCAGATTCTAATATATAGCTAGGGTTGAGAGCTTTTGGTCTAGGGACACGAGCATGGAAACTCTAGACATAGGCCATCTGGGTTCCAGTCCTGGCTCGACTGCTTATTAGCTCTGTGACCTTGGTCCAGTCAAGCAACCCCTCGGAGCCTCTATTTTCTCATATGTAAAAAGGAGGTATTAGGAAGAACTACCCCATAAGTTGTGTGAAGATTCATTCACGGCAGTGTTTCCCAACTTTTCATGCCATGGCATCCAGAGAAAATACATGGTATTTTTTGTTTGTTTGTTTGTTTTTTGAGACAGAGTCTTGCTCTGTCACCCAGGCTGAAGGGCAGTGGCACCATCTCAGCTCACTGCAACCTCCGCCTCTCAGGTTCAAGCGATTTTCGAGCCTCAGCCTCCCGAGCAGCCGGGATTACAGGCGTGTCCCACCTTTTTGTATTTTTAGTAGAGACAGAGTTTCACTATGTGGCCAGGCTGGTCTCAGACTCCTAGCCTCAGGCAATCTGCCCACCTCAGCTTCCCAAAATGCTGGGATTACAGGTGTGAGGCACCGCACTTGACCAGAAAATAGTATTTGCATTAGGTATTAACATAATTCACAAAACAAATGATAGTGGCATAAATGGATGAATCTACTCATAGCCAGTGGTAAGGTGATGAAAAATTGAGGCACATATGTCACCTGCAGTCCTGGTATGCCATGTTAGAAAGTTCTGCGTTGTCACATGTAAAAGCACTTGGATGCTGCCTAGGCCAGTGTGAACCCTCCATGTTTGCTATAAATAATACAGAAAGAGACAAACCTGTGAACAGCAAGCAGCACTGCAGCTGGGGCCAGTGATAGCGGCCAGTGCCAGGTTCTTCAGTGGCCCATTTGTAGTGACCTAGTGTGTCTCTCCAAAGGGAATGTTCATCTCTTACTGCAGCAGGAAGGAGCTGCTCTCACTTCCTGTTGGACTCTGGGTGACCTGCTAGGGACAAACCCCATGATACTTCAGCACACTGTGAGAAACAAGAGTAGCCAGGCCGCTGGCACCTGAGGCACACAGAAGCTGCCAGCAAATGAAACAGAAGACTCAGGAGCCTCCAACTCCGTGCAGCCCTCCTGCCACCTGCCTGCCTCTCTGGCGCCACCGTCTGGTGTTGTCTGGGTGTTTTATGACCACCAGTACCTGCTAAGAGGCTGATTTTTTTTCCCTGGAGATTTTTTTTCCTTTATGGAGAAACTTAAGGCTTGGGGACATATAATAAAACTAATATCTTGGGAGGAAAACATCAAAATCCACAATAGAAAAAGAAGTTAACACTGTCTGGGCCGTAGCAGAACCCAGAAAACATATTCATATAATTGAAAAAGTCTACAGCTTCATAATTGACCTTTTGAAACAAAATGGCCTATCATAGTTGCCATCTGTGGTTCTTGACACTGAGGTTCATAGGATAAGCTATGAAGTCTTCAAGTCTTGAGGTGAATTCCTCAAGGGGTTATTTGGCTTTGCAGTCAGTTTTTCTTGACTAAGAGATATCAGCAGCAACTGCACCCACCTCCTGGGCAGCTTCTCTCCTGCCACAATGAGCCTGTAGAACGCCGTGGCTCATCCAGTTTGGACCTGAGAAACTTGGGGGGCTCCAGCATCAGCAGCAGCTCAGAGTTGTTAGTCTCTGGCAGCATTCTTATCATCTTTCCAGCCAGGTTTGAATGCATTGTTTGGATGAGCGGGAGCAAACATTCTCCCAGCATCTGCTTCTGTTCATAGGTGGGGGGCTGTGCCAGTATGCAGCGGTTCCACAGCTCCTGCCCCTGCAAGTGGACCTCAGCCTGGATGCCTGCAGAGGCCATACCACAGGATGAGGGCTGCAGATACTGCAGGCTTATTTGTATGGTGCAATAATGCTGGTCATTTTGACCCCAGCCAAGTTTTGTTACTTCAAAGTTGATCTCAGAATCAAGTTCCTGGTTCTAGCGTTCCAGTCCATCTTAAGTAACAGGAAGCCTTATTTTCTTCACATTTGCTAGCTGTGTATTTCCTGAGGCTGAAGAAACTAGAGATGGGAAGGACTGTTAACTCGACAGGGTTCTCTGCAATTGACCCACAAATGTGCCAGCACCATCCCTATCTGACAGTTCTTATGCCTCTGATACCCAGAGAGACTCATGGATGATTCAAAAATAGTGACAAGGCCAGGTGCAGTGGCTCATGCCTGTAATTGCAACACGTTGGAAGGCTGAGATGGGAGGATTGCTTGAGCCCAGGATTTCAAAACCAACCTGGTCAACATAGCGAGACCCCCGTCTCTACAAAAAAAATTAAAAGTTATCCAGGTGTACTTGTGCGTGCCTGTAGTCCCAGCTATTCAAGAGGCTGAGGCGAGAGGATCGCTTGAGTCCAGGAGCTCGAGGTTGCAGCAAACGGTGATCATGCCACTGCACTCCAGCCTGGGCAGACTCTCAGAAAAAGTCATAAATACTGATGTGCAGAAAAGATTTCTCACCATTATAAAGCATGTTCTTCCTGTGTTCCTCCTCTTACAGTGAAATGCATACATGGCGAGAGTTTTTGTTTTTTTGTTTGTTTTTGAGACGGAGTCTCGCTCTGTCGCCGCACTGGAGTGCAGTGGCGCAATCTCGGCTCACTGTAACCTCCACCTCCCGGGTTCAAGTGATTCTCCTGCCTCAGCCTCCTGAGTAGCTGGGACTACAGGCGCCCGCCACCACGCCCAGCTAATTTTTGTATTTTTAGTAGAAACGGGGTTTCACCATCTTGGCCAGGATTGTCTTGATCTCTTGACCTCGTGATCCACCCATCTCAGCCTCACAAAGTGCTGGGATTACAGTCGTGAGCCACCGCGCCCAGCCAATGGCAGGAGTTTCATAGTTGGCAGAGCCGGGTTCAAATTTTAGCTGTGCTGTGTGACCTTAAGTAAATTTTTTAACCTCCCTGAGCCTCCATTTCCTCATTTGTAAAATTAGGCTGCAAATACCATCTTGAAAGGGTTGTGTTGGGAGAATCAGGAAGGACAGACAAGTGCTAAACAGAACGCCTGGCTCGGAGTCACATCGCAACCAACAGTAACCTAGCCTATGGTTCTTTCCACCACAACTTTGGGAGGCGGGATGGGTATTCTCCCCACTTTATAGATGAAGAAATTGAAGTTCCGAGATTTCAAGTGACTGATCCATGTGAGTGGCAGAGCCTGCTGGGGCTCAAACTTAGGTTTTCCAGACACCGAATCCAGGGCCCTTTCCTCACACTACGTGCAAACTGCCTACTCTTCTCCCTGCTCCAAGGTGGCAGGCACTGGGCTGAGGCTGAGATCATGTGGCTGGAGAAACCACCCACGGTCAGAGAGAGCCAACGCAGAGACTAGAAGATCCACCAGACAGGCGTGAGCTGGACGCCCGGAGCGCGGGAGTGAGGACCCAGACGCAGGGTGGGGAAATTCAACTCGGTGTCCCAGGCAGGGACGGCCAGAGGGGCGTGTGAGACTGAGGCTCTTGGCATCAAAGCACAAAAAGCCTAACAAGCAGCGATGAAGGCTGACTCACAAAGAGACACAGTGACACGAGAAGCCAGACTCGAGAGGAGACATATGAAGACACTCAGACGTGGGCAGAAACGGAGGAAAATTCTACTGAGGAGGTTCCAAGATACCATTAACTGAGCCTAACTTGCCTCTTGTGGGTGTGGCAGGGGAGAACTCCCTGCCTGTGGTAGAGTCAGTTGAAATATTCCTTTCACATGCCTTATAAAGAAAAAAAAAGTATCTACCCTTTTTTTCCTTAGCAAACTCCTTACTCATTCCTCTCCTCTGTCCTCAGTTTAGTGTCAAGGGAAGTTGGCTGGGAGGAATAGGGCTTGATCTGGGATGCTCCGGCTGTCCATGTGATGTCCATGTGTCAGTCCACTAGAAGTGACCAGAGTTCCTGGACCTGGAGTCATGGGATCTTAGACTGCAAGGTCATCCAGCTCGAGTTTCCCCCCAATGCATGAAAATTTCCCTTCCAAAGTGGTCTGCCAGGCTCTGCTTGGATACCTCTGATGATGGGGAGCTCACTACCTCCCAAGGCAATCCCTTACATATATGGGGTTACAGCTCTGAATTTTAGAAAATGGTTCCTTATCACGCGTGTCACTATTCCTTCAGTTGTCAGTGGCAAAAACCCACTGAAACTGTGTTTGGCGAAAGATAAATTAACAAATAAGTAAGAAGGTATTCTGCAGCGCACCCTTGATGTGCCACACAGATCTCCCTCCAGTAAAGGGCTTTTTATCATCAGCTGCCAGAGAGCTCCCAGCAGACGACCTTTAACTGTCCACTCCTTCAGGGATTGCTTCATTGTAGCCACCCTTCCAGGGCCAATCCACAGCCAATGAATGATCAACACAGGAGTATAAATGCCTGGTCATCTCCCCCAACTCTGATAACTCTGGAAGGCCGCTCTAGCTCCAGGGCTTCTCTGGGTGTGGCTGAGGCTGTCTTCAGGTCTGCAGTTGCCTTCGTCCTCCCTCTGCATCTTCTGTTCTTCCTCAAGTCTTGATACCTAAGGCATTCCCTAATCAATATCCTGCACCCTTTCCGGGGCATGAACCTGCAACATATTGGGCTTCCCAGCTGAAAGATCTAGGGGCTTTCAGGCTGGTTCCAGGGGCTCGGGATGAGAGTCAGGGCACAGTGTCACCTGCTCTGGGCTCAGCTCTCCTTTGTGTGGACTTTACTCTTAGGCAGGCCATCTCCAGCAACGCTGAGTATCCATGCAGTCCCAAATCCAGTTGGAGGAGAAAACTTTTTACCAGCAATTTTATAAAGTTCAAAATGTACTTTCCATTAAGCTAATTTGAGTGGCCGGTTGATTCTTGGACTAAGCGCTGTGTCCAGAGAGGATGAAATGTGCTGATTAGTTTAGGCCAGAGTCTTCAGATCCCCAAGACAGACCACAGGGGTCAAGAGTAAGGGAGGGCTGCTGCCTGAGCAACACATGGGCTCTGTGATGGAAGAAAGGGAAGCAGCAAACACCACAGAGGTTTACCACAGTTTTCCCATGTAGCAGCTGCTCTCCTTGCTGTTTCCACTGGGGCCATGTGAAACAAAGCTGATGCCGTTTTCCACAGCACAGCTCTTCAAGTATGGGATGACCTCCATTCTACCCCACCTGCAGCGTACTCGCTCCAACCCCACTCCTCCGTCTATTTCGATATGGCAGGGCCTGAGCCCTCCTGCCTCTCGGGGTAATTTTTTCTCTAAACACAGCCTATTCTTCCCCATTAGTCTGCACATGTGCTGTCCAGAATAAAATACAGTGCTCTCAGAAGAGTATAAAATAATCACTTTCCTCCTTCCAGATATTCTACTTCTATTAAGGGAGTCCAAAATCAAAATAATGAGCTTTTTCTTGATAGACACAAAAGCTGGCTTATAATAAGTATACTATTTGCTAAACTCCCTCAGTGGCTTTCCCACTGAAAGTTCTGGTACTATTACATAGCTCTTTATCCCATAGTTGCACAGTTAGAGTTTTGAACAATATTGCATATAATAAATCACGATTTCTACATATGTTGATTAGATATTAGAGCTCATCCCACTTTGACTCTCTGGGTGCAGGTGTATAATGCTATGTGTGTGAGAATGAGTACTAATCAAAATCCCTGGATTCAGGCCCTAAGTGTCAATGTTTATGAGTTATATGACCTTTGATAGGTCACTTAATTGCTCACTCTCCGTTATATCTAAAATTAGTTAATAATATCTACTTCACATGAGTTGTACATATCAAAATAAAATAGCACATATGAAAATGCTTTAGAAACTATGTGTATGAGCCTATATATATGCTACCATATTAAATCTTTTTCCGGTCCAGTGCACTGGCTCACGCCTGTAATCCCAGCACTTTGGGAGGCTGAGGAGGGTGAATCATCTGAGGTCAGGAGTTCAAGACCAGCCTGGCCAACATGGTGAAACCCCGTCTCTACTAAAAATACAAAATTAGCTGGGTTTGGTAGTCCACGCCTGTAATCCCAGCTACTCGGGAGGCTGAGGCACGAGAATTGCTTGAACCCAGGAGGTGGAGGTTGCAGTGAGCCGAGATCATGCCACTGCACTCCAGCCTGGGCAACAGAGTGAGACTCTGTCTCAAAAAAAAAAAAAAGTTTTTCTTACTGTAGTTCACAGCTCAAAAATTTGAAGAAAAACACTGCCTCACACCATATCCTTCAAAATATCTGGGCCTGTGTCTTCACTACTGCACACACACACAGACACACACACACACACATACACACAACGGAAACAAAAGTTTCATGAGACAACACTCACTCATATATGACTAAGTAAAAACATAAAGTTAAATAGCAAACATGATTTTATTAGTATTCAAATACAACATACAAAAATATCCCAAAATAAATAATACAAAACCAGAAATGCTGGTCATGACATTTGATTTCACAGCTCATCAATGGGTTACAAGTCAATCTCAAAAACACAGGTGTGGCAGAAGAGAGAGACAGCAAATAGTGATTACAGCAGTGCAGTAAATGCTGTGCTTGACAGAATGGCAACTACAGACACGAGGCCAACGTGGGCACCCAAGGAAGAACTCAGGAAGTCAGAAGGCTTCCTGGAGAACGTGGTATTTAGGCTGAAAGTTGAAGGATAGATAGGAGTTGCCAAGTTCCTGGGGGTGAGAGAGCCTGGAAAGGCAGAGAGAGCTCCTGGCAGAAGGATGGACCAGCACAAAGTAAACAAATGTCCCGCCCCTTGCGCCTGCTACACGTAGGAAGGAGGTATTTTCCTGCCTAAAATAGCACGGGGAGCAAAGATCATTGAACTATGCTTGCAAGGTAAAACACAAAAATATATTTGCAGTAAAAATATATGTATATATAAATAAACTCCCTCTCTCTATCGCTCTACACACACACACACATGCACACACATGCACACTCTTACAGACATTCCAAAACTCTTAAGAAAGACATACAGAAGGCAATTATGGCCAGGATATTTGATGGGTGGGATGACGTTCAGGGTTATTCTGTCACACTTCCTTAGGGAGTAGTAAATTAGGCACAATTTACCTAATTGCTCACACTTTTAATCTCAGTGGAAATGAAACTGCTTAAATTACAAAGGTGATAAGGCTTTGAAAGATGTAGACAGGTGTGGTTCCTGGCTCCAGAAATCTCTCCTCCTCTTGTGTGCGTGCCACCCTCCCCTCCCTCCTCACGCTGGGCCCTCCCCGATGCCTGCCATTCTCTGCATTCCTCACACGTGCAGACCCTGCGCCTTGGGCTACAGCTCCCGAGTGGAGACAGGGCAGGACTGTAAAGCACTCTGGCAACAGATCAGCCATCTTCTGGCTGCCTCTGCCTTCCAGCTGCCTCTGCTTCCGGCATGCCAATAATTGGGCCTCTCGTTTGACCTGTTCCCTGGTGCTGGTCCATCTCCCTCATGCCAGGACCTGGCTCCTGCACCTCACCCCCTTTGGCGTGGCATTTCAGCAAAGGCTCTCCTTTCTCTACTTGACTGGGCCTCAGCCTCTGCTGTTTCCTCTCTGCTTAATCCTTCCACACACCTGCAGCCAAGTAGTTGTGTCAAAGGTCTTTAGGAGCCAGATGATCCCAGAAGGTGCATGCATTGCCATTCATTTTTGGGATTCATTAAAGAAATCCAAGGGGACCCAGAGGGGCACAGAATAGACTAGTTTTGAAGGAGGAAAGAGGCCAGTGTGGATGTGATGAAAGCAGCAGGTCTGAGCAGAGAAAACGCCAGAGAGAGAGAGAGAGAGAGAGAGAATGCACACACGCACTCGGGAGAGCAGGTGCTCTGAGCATCCAATAGGCAGCAGCATCTAGGGTGATAGATTCAGGCAAAGAAAGGAAGGAGCCCACAAATCAAAGCTCTTTCCTACATCAAAATTGTGTTACATTAGGCTCCAGCCACCCTGGCCTTTCAGTTGCTCCAACGCATCAAACTCCTTCCTACCATATGTGGTCCCCTCTGACTAGACAGGCTCCTTTTTACTCATTCTATAAAGCCAGCTTACAGGTCCCCTGCTCAGGGAGGCCTCGTTAGACTCTGTGGCCAAGTCCTGAACTATAAACTCCCATCCCATCCTTTCTTTTTTGTTTTTTAGATGGAGTTTCTCTCTCGTTGCCCAGACTGGAGTGCAATGGCACGATCTCAGCTCACTGCAACCTCTGCCTCCTGGGTTCAAGTGATTCTCCAGCCTCAGCCTCCCGAGTAGCTGGAATTACAGGCGTCCCCCACCACACCAGCTAATTTTTGTATTTTTCGTAGAGACGGGATTTCGCCATGTTGTCCAGACTGGTCCCAAACTTCTGGCCTCAGGTGGTCCGCCCCCTCAGCCTCCCAAACTGCTGGGATTGCAGGTGTGAACCACAGTGCCCGGCCCATTCTTTCTTTTTCTTAGCATCCCCATATTAGTCTGTTTTCACGCTGCTAATAAAGACGTACCCAAGACTGAAAAGAAAGAAAAGATTTAATTGGACTTACAGTTCCACATGGCTGGGGAGGCCTCAGAATCATGGTGGGAGGTGAAAGACACTTCTTATATAGTGGCAGCAAGAGAAAATGAGGAAGAAGCAAAAGTGGAAACACCTGATAAACCCATCAGATCTCATGAGACTTATTAACTATCACAAGAATAGCATGGGAAAAACTAGCCTCCATGATTCAATTACCTCCCCCTGGGTCCCTCCCACAACACGTGGGAATTCTGGGAGATACAATTCAAGTTGAGATTTGGATGGGGATACAGCCAAACCATATCAGTCCCCTATATAATCATAATTACTATAATGAATCTGCCTTTATTTGTATAAGATATCTCTTCTCTACTAGATGGTAAGGCTATGAGGAAAGGGATCATCTCACCCAGGATACTGGAGTGCAGTGTTACAGTCATGGCTCACTGCAGCCTCGAACTCCTGGACTCAAGCAATCCTCCCACCTCAGCCTCCCGAGCAGCTGGGACTACAGGCATGCACTACCATGCCCAGCTAATTTTGTAGAGATGGGGTCTCACTGTGTTGCCAAGGCTGGTCTCAAACTCCTGCCCTCAAGTGATCCTCCCACTTCGAACTCTCAAAGTGGTTAGATTACAGGTGTGAGCCACTATGGCCTGCCTCTAGCTTAGCTTTATACCCAACTGTGCCTGATAGCCTTTGGCCCTTTTAGTTAGGTGAGCCAATATGTTACCAGTTCATCCCCCAGAAAGTGGACTCTGAGGCACATTTTAAGGTGCAAAATATTTATTAGGGAATGATGTACAGATCAACACTTGAAGAAGGAAAGGAAGGGAGCCGAAGATGCAGAGGGAGGACTCAAGCCAAAAGCAGACAGCCTAGGCTGAACCCAGGAGAAGTCCAGGAGCTAGAGTGACCTTCTAGAGTTCCTGGAGTTGGGTGAAGATGACCAGACATTTGTACTCTGGCATTGATCATTCATTGACTGCAGGTTATCCCAGGAAGGGGTATGAACGTGGGCAACATGACTTCGCCACAGAGTAATCCTTGAAGGGGTTAGTGGTCACAGGTTGTCTGCTGTCTATGGCAGAGTCAAGTTAGAAATTCAAAGGCTTTCTCAAACCAGCCCGGGCAACATAGGGAGACCCCATCTCTACAAAAAATAGAAAAAATTAGCCAGGTGCAGTGGTGTGCACCTGTAGTCCCAGCTACTCAGGAGGCTGAGGCAGGAGGATCACTTGAGCCTGGGAGGTCGAGGCTGCAAGTGAGCTGAGATTGCGCCACTACACATGGTTACTATAGTGGCAGTAGAAGCCTTTAAATGGAGGATTTGTTCATTTCTCCACCCATCTGACCATTTATCACAAATATGTGTTGAGTGCCTTCTAGGTTCCAGGTACCCCTCCATAGCACAGGAAGAGCCTACTCATCACGCCACAACTGGAGGTTTCTTCAAGACTGGAGAAAGTATGTGATAGGGGAGGGGAATGGGTGACAGGACAGAGCAGTGAAGAAAGGGAATAAAAGTTCTTGCAAAGCAGAACCCACACCTACAAGAAAAGAAACAGCTAATGAATATCAACTATACAGAGGCACTCACTGTACATTATTTCATCTCCCCAGTGAGCCACAGATATTCCTGTCTCACTTTGCTAAAGAGGAAACTGGGCCTCAGAAAGCTGACATAACTCTGTCTCACGATCCCATAGCTCCAAGTGGTACCAGGTTCAAACTCTGCTCTCCCTGAATACAGGGCCATTTGCTCAACCTTTTGCCTGAAGACCTTGGCTCAGCCCTTGCTGGCAATTCATAAACCCACACACAGAGGGCTTCTAATGCAAGTGGGTTTTGTGGTGTCTAGGGAGATACCACTGGGGGCAGCCCAGTATTTAACAAACTGAGTCTGCACAGCCACGTGCTCCGTGCCTGCTTGCCCTGCAGGTGAGCCCAGCCTGCTCACCTGACCTGGCCTGACTCCTGATTGTGCTTTTTCCTGGTGAGTCAGCTCAGCCCTCCTGAACCCGGGCTGTACTCTGACTCCAGTGAACCTGGCCACAGCCACACTGGCTCAGCCAAGAGGGCCTATAACCCTTTCTCTGATGCCCTACCTACTCCTACATGAATGATCTCATTGAATAAAACAAGTGTAAGTGAGCTCATTTCCATGGAAATATCCAATCCTCCCATTGTCTGTGTCCTTCCATGAAAATATAAACTATCCTGCCGGTTGGTAAACTCCTTCTGGGCAGAGTCAAAATCTTATTCAACTTTGATTTCCAGTACCTAGTGCATTACCTGGCTAGAGCAAATGCTCATAGTGCATTCTATGAAAAAACGGAAACTGATCAACAGGCAAACAATAAGCAAAGCTACAGTCACTGAAAACTCAAATGACACCAACAAAAATTCCCATTTGCTCTATTATATCAGAAAGATCTAGATTTAGAATATGTTTTATCCACTTAACAAATGCATACTGAACACCTGCTAAATGCCAGGCATCGTGCTAGGTACTGGAAAGACATCATTGAACAAGAAGATACTGTTCCAAACATCATGAAGCTTAGACACTCGTAGAGGAAACCAGCATCAAGCAAATTATTGATCAAATGATGGCCACAGTGACCAGGAGAACAGAAAACAAGCATGGTGCTGTGCCTATGTGTGGTCGGTGCCGGTGTGGCCTCAGGGGCTGCAGAAGTTTTTCCAATGGAAGGGATTTTTAAGCTGAAACCTCTAAAAGATGAATAGAAATTAACCAGACAAACAGGAAACAACTACTATGACAACAGGGAGAGGCTCTGTCTGTCCATGAGTCTAAGGAACTGGAGAAGGTTTGTGCAGCAAGAGCACAGAGGACAAAGGAAGTGGGGCGGGTTGATGCTGGGTGACACAGGGTAATGCCGGGTGACACAGGGTAATGCCAGGTGACACCAGTTGATGCTGCTGCTGAGAAGCATGTGCCCAAGTTGTGCAGGACTCTATGAGCCATGACGAAGGATTTGAATTTTTTAAATAAAAGAAATTATAGGCCCAGTGCTGTGGCTCACGCCTGTAATCCCAGCACTTTGGGAGGTGGAGACGGGCAGATCACGAGGTCAGGAGTTCGAGACCAGCCTGACTAACATGATGAAACCCTGTCTCTACTAAAAATATAAAAATTAGCTGGGCACAGCAGCACGTGCCTGTAAGCCTAGCTACTCAGGAGGCTGAGGCAGAAAAATCGCTTGAACCTGGGAGGTGGAGTTTGCAGTTAGCCGAGATCACGCCACTGCACTCTAGCCTGGGTGACAGAGTGAGACTGCATCTCAAAAAAAAAACAAAAGAAAGAAAGAAAAGAAATGGTAAATCATTGATAGTGTTTAAGCAGAAGAGTGACAAAATGAGATTTGTGTTTTATTTATTTATTTATTTAATTTTATTATTATTATACTTTAAGTTTTAGGGTACATGTGCACAATGTGCAGGTTAGTTACATATGTATACATGTGCCATGCTGGTGTGCTGCACCCATTAACTCATCATTTAGCATTAGGTATATCTCCTAATGCTATCCCTTCCCCCTCCCCCACCCCACAACAGTTCCCAGAGTGTGATGTTCCCCTTCCTGTGTCCATGTGATCTCATTGTTCAATTCCCACCTATGAGTGAGAATATGCGGTGTTTGGTTTTTTGTTCTTGCGATAGTTTACTGAGAATGATGATTTCCAATTTCATCCATGTCCCTACAAAGGACATGAACTCATCATTTTTTATGGCTGCATAGTATTCCATGGTGTATATGTGCCACATTTTCTTAATCCAGTCTATCATTGTTGGACATTTGGGTTGGTTCCAAGTCTTTGCTATTGTGAATAGTGCCGCAATAAACATACGTGTGCATGTGTCTTTATAGCAGCATGATTTATAGTCCTTTGGGTATATACCCAGCAATGGGATGGCTGGGTCAAATGGTATTTTTAGTTCTAGAGAGGTGTTTGTAGTATTCTCTGATGGTAGTTTGTATTTCTGTGGGATCGGTGGTTATATCCCCTTTATCATTTTTTATTGCATCTATTTGACTCTTCTCTCTTTTCTTCTTTATTAGTCTTGCTAGCGGTCTATCAGTTTTGTTGATCCTTTTGAAAAACCAGCTCCTGGATTCATTAATTTTTTGAAGGGTTTTTTGTGTCTCTATTTCCTTCAGTTCTGCTCTGATTTTAGTTATTTCTTGCCTTCTGCTAGCTTTTGAATGTGTTTGCTCTTGCTTTTCTAGTTCTTTTAATTGTGATGTTAGGGTGTCAATTTTGGATCTTTCCTGCTTTCTCTTGTGGGCATTTAGTGCTATAAATTTCCCTCTACACACTGCTTTGAATGCATCCCAGAGATTCTGGTATGTTGTGTCTTTGTTCTCGCTGGTTTCAAAGAACATCTTTATTTCTGCCTTCATTTCGTTATGTACCCAGTAGTCATTCAGGAGCAGGTTGTTCAGTTTCCATGTAGTTGAGCGGTTTTGAGTGAGTTTCTTAATCCTGAGTTCTAGTTTGATTGCACTGTGGTCTGAGAGACAGTTTGTTATAATTTCTGATCTTTTACATTTGCTGAGGAGTGCTTTACTTCCAACTATGTGGTCAATTTTGGAATAGGTGTGGTGTGGTGCTGAAAAAAGTGTATATTCTGTTGATTTGGGGTGGAGAGTTCAAGACAGCAGTAACCTCTGCAGACTTAAATGTCCCTGTCTGACAGCTTTGAAGAGAGCAGTGGGTCTCCCAGCACGCAGCTGGAGATCTGAGAACGGGCAGACTGCCTCCTCAAGTGGGTCCCTGACCCCTGACCCCTGAGCAGCCTAACTGGGAGGCACCCCCCAGTAGGGGCAGACTGACACCTCACACGGCCGGGTACTCCTCTGAGACAAAACTTCCAGAGGAACGATCAGACAGCAGCATTCGCGGATCACGAAAATCCACGGTTCTGCAGACACTGCTGCTGATACCCAGGCAAACAGGGTCTGGAGTGGACCTCTAGCAAACTCCAACAGACCTGCAGCTGAGGGTCCTCTCTGTTAGAAGGAAAACTAACAAACAGAAAGGACATCCACACCAAAAACCCATCTGTACATCACCATCATCAAAGACCAAAAGTAGATAAAACCACAAAGATGGGGGAAAAAACAGAGCAGAAAAACTGGAAACTCTAAAAAGCAGAGCGCCTCTCCTCCTCCAAAGGAACACAGTTCCTCACCAGCAACGGAACAAAGCTGGACGGAGAATGACTTTGATGAGTTGAGAGAAGAAGGCTTCAGATGAACAAACTACTCTGAGCTCCAGAAGGAAATTCAAACCAAAGGCAAAGAAGTTGAAAACTTTGAAAAAAATTTAGACAAATGTATAACTAGAATAACCAATACAGAGAAGTGCTTAAAGGAGCTGATGGAGCTGAAAGCCAAGGCTCGAGAACTACGTGAAGAATGCAGAAGCCTCAGGAGCCGATGCGATCAACTGGAGGAAAGGGTATCAGTTGTGGAAGATGAAATGAATGAAATGAAGCAAGAAGGGAAGTTTAGAGAAAAAAGAATAAAAAGAAATGAACAAAGCCTCCAAGAAATATGGGACTATGTGAAAAGACCAAATCTACGTCTGATTGGTGTACCTGAAAGTGACGGGGAGAATGGAACCAAAAACACTCTGCAGGATATTATCCAGGAGAACTTCCCCAATCTAGCAAGGCAGGCCAACATTCAGATTCAGGAAATACACAGAACGCCACAAAGATACTCCTCGAGAAGAGCAACTCCAAGACACATAATTGTCAGATTCACCAAAGTTGAAATGAAGGAAAAAATGTTAAGGGCAGCCAGAGAGAAAGGTCGGGTTACCCACAAAGGGAAGCCCATCAGACTAACAGCGGATCTCTCAGCAGAAACTCTACAAGCCAGAAGAGAGTGGGGGCCAATATTCAACATTCTTAAAGAAAAATATTTTCAACCCAGAATTTCATATCCAGCCAAACTAAGCTTCAAAAGTGAAGGAGAAATAAAATCCTTTACAGACAAGCAAATGCTGAGAGATTTTGTCACCACCAGGCCTGCCCTAAAAGAGCTCTTGAAGGAAGCACTAAACATGGAAAGGAACAACAGGTACCAGCCACTGCAAAATCATGCCAAATTGTAAAGACCATCGAGGCTAGGAAGAAACTGCATCAACTAACGAGCAAAATAACCAGCTAACATCATAATGACAGGATCAAATTCACACATAACAATATTAACTTTAAATGTAAATGGACTAAATGCTCCAATTAAAAGACACAGACTGGCAAATTGGATAAAGAGTCAAGACCCATCAGTGTGCTGTATTCAGGAAACCCATCTCACGTGCAGAGACACACATAGGCTCAAAATAAAAGGATGGAGGAAGATCTACCAAGCAAATGTAAAACAAAAAAAGGCAGGGGTTGCAATCCTAGTCTCTGATAAAACAGACTTTAAACCAACAAAGATCAAAAGATACAAAGATGGCCATTACATAATGGTAAGGGGATCAATTCAACAAGAAGAGCTAACTATCCTAAATATATATGCACCCAATACAGGAGCACCCAGATTCATAAAGCAAGTCCTGAGTGACCTACAAGGAGACTTAGACTCCCACACAATAATAATGGGAGACTTTAACACCCCACTGTCAACATTAGACAGATCAACGAGACAGAAAGTTAACAAGGATACCCAGGAATTGAACTCAGCTCTGCACCAAGAAGACCTAATAGAGATTTGGGTTTTAAAAAAATCCTCTCTGGCTGCTATATGTAACAGATTAGAGAACAGCAAGAATGGATGTAGGGCCAAGGCAGGCAGATCACATGGGGTCAGGAGTTCGAAACCAGCCTGGCCAATATGGCGAAACCCCATCTCTACTGAAAATAAAAAATTATGGCTGAGAGTGGTGGCTCATGCCTGTAATCCTAGCACTTTAGCACTTTGGGAGGCCGAGGCGGGCAGATCATCTGAAGTTGAGAGTTCGAGACCCACCTGACCAATATGGAGAAACCCCATCTCCACTAAAAATACAAAATTAGCCAGGTGTGGTGGCGCATGCCTCTAATCCCAGCTACCCGTGAAGATGAGGCAGGAGAATCGCTTGATCCTGGGAGGTGGAGCTTGTGGTGAGTCAAGATCCTGCCATTGCACTCCAGCCTGGGCAACAAGAGCGAAACTCCATCTCAAAAAAAAAAAACAAAAAATTAGCCGGGCGTGGTGGTGGGCGCTGTAGTCCCAGCTACTCAGGGACATGGATGTATACATATGCCCTGTGCATCAAATTATATATTTTAAATAAATGCAGGGTTTTGTATAGCAATTATACTTTAATCTAGCTATAAGGAGAAGAAAGAGAAAGAGAAGAGGGGGAGGAGCAGGAGGAAGAGGAAGAGGAGGAGGAGAAGGAGCAGCAGCCATGGAAACAGCCTTGGAAAGAGATACTTGTAGGTCACAGTGTTGGGGATAGGGCAGGGTGAATATGTGGGCCAGCATGTATGTCCCAATGCCTAAAGCCCACCAAACTCTAGTTGGCATGCTCGGCCTCATGGAATTCCGGACACTTACGTCAATTCTCACTCTGTGCCATTGAGACAATATTAAAAATAAAAATTCTCAATATTTAGAATACTGAGAAAATAATTCCTCGTAAGACTTCTTACAGGACCTGTCTCTGGCTTGGAGAAGTCAAGTAGGGAATTCTAGCAAAATTACCCATCAGACTTGCTCAAATGGGGTATGTAAACCTAGCTTTCCAAATTTGGAGCTGAGAACCAGCATATCCTAATGACATTCTCTGGCAGTCGGTTAAACTGGTTGTTACAAAGACTAAATAGAGCAGCTATGGTGTTAACCACCACCCCCTCCATAAAAATGGATGCGGAAGATCCAGTTAGAAGGCTTATGTAGTAGTCTAGGCAGGAGACTCCGGGGTCTTGGACTAGGGTGCTGGTGGTGAAAATGCAGAGCAATGTGCATAGGGAGAACTCTTCAGGAGGCATTGAACTGGCAGAACTTGATGATTATCCAGTGAGGCAGTGGGAGGGAGTGCAGAGGAGGTGAAAGGGAGAGGAGGTGTGGATGACACCTCCCAATGTCTCTTCCTTGGGTATCGAGGCAGCAGGTGGTGTTATCCTCTGGATAGGAAATCCAAGAGGAGGAACGAGTTTAGAAGGCAGTGAATTCCAGTTTTGTTTTGGTTTTGTTTTTGTTTTTGAGATGGAGTCTTGCTCTGTCTCTCAGGCTGGATTTTTTTTTTTTTTTGAGACAGAGTCTCTGTTGCCCAGGCTCACTGTAACCTCCACCTCCTAGGTTCAAGCAATTCTCATGCCTCAGCCTCCTGAGTAGCTGGGATTACAGGTGCCCACCACGACCACGCCTGGCTAATTTTTGTATTTTTTAGTAGAAATGGGGTTTCACCATATTAGCCAGGCTGGTCAAAAAGTGATCCACCCACCTCAGCCTCCCAAAATGCTGGGATTACAGGCATGAGCCACTTCGCCAGGCCATGAATTTCTTTTGAACATGTCGAGTTTGTGATGCCAGGCCAATATCCAGATGGCAATGACAAGTAGGTGGTTGGACACATGGATCTGGGCTCAGAAGACAGATCTGATGTGGAGATATAAATGTGGGAGGGGTCACCGTATAGGTGGCATTAAAAGCCATGAGAGTGGATGAGATCACTCAGGGAGACACTAGAGTAAAAAGAGAAAATTAAATCTGACAGGAGCTGGAGTCCAGAAAAATTCTTCATGACACCATTGTCAACAGGAACAAAGGCTGAGGGAGAGCATGGAGATGATCCGTCATGCCCAGCAGTGATTCTTCCATGTGGAGCTTGAAGCTTATGGGATCTGCAATGGATGAAGGTCAGCCAAGCAACTTGGCAAGGCAGCCTCAGGGGGAGAGAGAATTGCATGTTTATGCCCTGATAACCCTTAAATCAGTCAATAGCCATGAGGAACAATATTGGAACTCTGAACTTCTCTTGGGTAAAATGTCCCTCCTGTCCTCCTCTTTGCTGTTTTTGCAGCTTTGAAATGCTGTACACCCACAGAGTTGACTTCAAAAGCTGAGGAAATTGAATTTCTCAGACATTAAAGGGAGTCTGGGCTTTGAATGCCAATGCATGCATTGAAGGGCTAACCCAGGAAATTGAGTTGGTTCAATATGAGCTGCCCACAACCAGCAAACCATCTAGCATCTCATCCAGTTGTTGAGTCTCACAGTCCCTAAACTGAATTACATAATCTCAGGAGATTTATTAAGAGGTATTTGTCAATCTAATAGCACAAAACCAAGGAGAGCCAGATTCTGAACTGAGGTTGATAGGTTTACACAAGGCATGACTCAGTTATCTTTTCCTTGCAAGCTCCCTATTAAAATGCGTGGTCAACTGAAACCTATAAATGCTGTAAGAAGATTAGCTTGTACCTTAAAAGTGGCAACCTATAGAAAATAAATTGTTAAAATCTTTATATATGTATCTATACACATAGATACATATATATGCACATATACAGATCTAAGCTTATATCTATATGGATATGTAGATGTGTAAAAACAATTTTTGTAAATGAGAAAAGCATTAGTGGGAGTGAAGTCCCAAATTCTAAGTCTTCCCCATAATGCCTCCTCCTTTGCACAATTTATCATAATGTGTGTAATGTGATGTGTGTGTGTGTGCATGTATATGCACACACACATCCAAAGAAGAAAGTATGTCTTAAACAATGACAAAGATGTGGCAAATTATCTTTTTTCCTGTAAAAGAAAAAAAAAGAAAAGAAAAGCACTTACCTCTGTTCCTAGTGCACTTACTGGAGAGAAACAAGACTATCTGAAGAAGGTAGCATCTGAGCAAGACCTGAGAGGTGGCCTGGGGTTCCTGTAGCTGAGGAGTAGCAGGAGACAGCATTCTAATGGAAGGGACATCTTGAGCAGAGGTGGGAAAAGGTATCAAGATCCTTGGGAAGCATCAGGCTTTCCCTAGATCATCAGATACAGCTTGGAAAGTAATGGAAGATAACATGGAAAAGCAGGTTGGGGCAGAGTCGTATCATGGAGGGTCTAGAATTTCAGGTGAAATAATTTGTTTGTTTGCTTTTATTTTTTTGTTTCATTTTGTTTTAGAGAAGGGGTTTCGCTATGTTTCCCAGACTGGTCTCAAACTCCTGAGCTCAAGTGATCCACTCACTTTGGCCTACCTAAGTGCTGAGATTACAGGAGTGAGCCAGTGCACCCAGCCTGGTCAAGTAATTTGGACTATATCTATAGAAAATGGGGAGTGGAAAACATTTAAAAGGGTTTCAACAGGAGAGTAACACGATCCAAGTTATGCTTCGGGAGGACTAATTTGGCCACAGGGTGGGGAGAAATTAGAAACGGAAAATACAGGAGGCTGTAATACCACGCCAGGCCTGAATTTAAAATAGTGATGTTAATGAAGATCTATTGACATAGAAAGATGCTTGTAATAAAATCTGAAGCTTATTTAAGTCATTGCAAATTGACATATATTATATAATCTCATTTTTATAAACATACATATACATACCTATACCAGGTATATCTGCAGAAACAAAGCCTGCAAGAAATCCACACAAATATAAACCCTGGTTATTTCTGGTTGGTGGGATTATGGATGACTTTCAGTTTTCATTTGACTTCGTTTATTTTATATTATTTTCTACAATGAACTAAAAATTATTGTTTTTAAGAAAAAATACAGGCTGGGAGTGTTGGCTCATGCCTGTAATCCCAGCACTTTGGGAGGCCAAGGCGGGTGGATCACCTGAGGTCAAGAGTTTGAGACCAGCCTGTCCAACATGGTGAAACCCCATCTCTAGTAAAAATATAAAAATTAGCTGGGTGTGGTGGCACATGCCTGTAATCCTAGCTACTTGGGAGGCTGAGGCAGGAGAATCACTTGAACTCGGGGGGCGGAGGTTGTGGTGAGCCAAGATCGCACCACTGCCCTCCAGCCTGGGCAACAGATAAATAAAAAATAAATTTAAAAAAATACGGGGGGTGTGGTTGCTCATGCTTATAATCCCAACACTTTGAGAGGCCAAAGCCGGTGGATCACTTGTGCTCAGGAGTTCAAGACTAGCCTGGGCAACATAGTGAGACCATGTCTCTATGAAAAATACAAAAATTTGCTGGGCATGATGGTGCACACCTGTAGTTCCAGCTACTCAGGAGGCTGAGGTGAGAGGATCGCTTGAGTTCGGGAGGCTGAGGCTGCAATGAGCCAAGATCATGCCGCTGCACTCTAGCCTGGGTGACAGAGCAAGACTCTGTCTCAAAAAAAAAAAAAAGAGAGAGAGAGAGAGATGGAATCTGCCTCTATCAACCAAAAGTCTGTCAAAATGTTTTCCTAAACAATAGAAGTTAGACTGTGGCTCTTTCCTCATTTAATAGCCCAGACTGGAGGTCATGATGACCTAAGCAAAGGAGGCAACCACCGGACAGGAAGGACACAGTCTCTTCCTTCCGAGGTTCCTCAGCAGAGTCAACCCTGCCACTTAAGAACCATAAAATCTGGCTTGGGTGAAAAATGCCAACAGCTGTGAAGCTGGCCTTAAAACTGGACCACTCACAGGCTGAGAACATTTTATTATCAGAAGAGTTCTTAGGATTATTGAGACCAACTGCACCATTTAATAGCAGTGAAAAATAGTGCTGTGAATGTTAAAAGACTCTTTAAACTCTAAAGCACTTTTTTAGTTCAGTGGCAATTAACTCAAGTTGTATCAGAATCACCACACACACCCCAGCCCCACCTCACCCGATGACTGTCCTTCATTTGCAGCAAATAATTTATTAAGCTCTTGCAGTATACCAGGCACTGTTCTAGGTATGAAAGACAGATTGAGTGGAGCCAGGCATGGTGGTTCATGCCTGTAATCCCAGCACTTTGTGAGGCTGAGACAGGTGGGTCACTTGAGGTCAGGAGTTCAAGACCAGCCTGGCCAACATGGTGAAAACCCGTCTCTTCTAAAAATACAAAACTTAGGCAGGTGTGGTGGTGCACACCTGTAATCCAAGCTACTTGGGAGGCTGAGGAGTGAGAATCACTTGAACTCGGGAGTCGGAGGTTGCAGTGAGCCGAGATCACGCCACTGTACTCCAGCCTCGGGGACAGAGCAAGACTCTGTCTCAAAAAAAAAAAAAAAAAAGAGAGATTCAGTGGGTCAGGGCTTTTCAATTTCATATCCTGGAAGACACTTGCCACACTTTCTTCTTTCCCC
The DNA here is from genome assembly GCF_000001405.40 of Homo sapiens. Classification (NCBI taxonomy): domain Eukaryota; kingdom Metazoa; phylum Chordata; class Mammalia; order Primates; family Hominidae; genus Homo; species Homo sapiens. Next base: position 67,542,200 of record NC_000001.11, on the reverse strand, counting down.
TGTTCTTCCTGCTCACCTCCTCTGGCTTCTGGAAAGCGACCTTCACAACAGTTGAGATCTTTATTAACTGTTTTCCATGCTGTATGCAGGACCTAGAACAATTGCCTATGCCATAAGTTCTCAGTAGATAATTGTTGAATGAACAGGTTTCACACATGCTGTGTCCTCTACTGGGAACATGCTCACTTACCTTTTTGCCTCACTTATTTCCACAAATCCCTCTCTGCTCAGCTCAAACATCACGTTTTCTGAGAAGCTTTCTGGGGTAGCCAGGTTCCCCATTAATTATTCTCTTGTTGTACTCTACTTCTCCTTTTAGTATTTGCCACCATTGTAATTATACAACTACTTGATCCGTCTCTCCTGTTAGTTTATAAACTCCATGAAGGCTGGGACCAGGCTGGTCTTAGTTAGCATTCTATCCTCAGTTCTTAGCACAGAACCTGACCCATACAAGTCACTCAATGGACTTTTTTTTATTTTATTTTATAATAGCTTTGTTGAAGATAATTGATATATAATAAACTGAACATATTTAAAGTGTACAATTTGAAACCATCACCAGAATCAAGATATTGAATATACCCACCGCCCCCATGAGTTTCCTTATGCCCCTTGGTAATCTCTTTCTCCTATTCCTCTGCTTCTCCCCATTTCTAGGGTATGATTGATTTGCTCCTGTCATTATATATTAGCTTGCATTTTCTAGAATTTTATATAAATGGAATCATATAATATGTACTCATTTTTTACCTAGCTTATTTCATTTATAATTATTTTGAGTTCATCTACGTTGATGCCTATATGGACAATTCATTCCTTTCCATTGCTAAGAATTATTCCACTGTACGGATATACCAGTATACCACAACTTGTTTATCCACTAACCTGTTATTAGACATTTGGGTTGTTTCCAGGTTTTTGCGATTTCAAATAAAGCTGCTTGTGGTATTTGTGCACAAGTCTTAAAAATATAAAACACTTCACGAATTTGCATGTCATCCTTGTGCAAGGGCCATGCTAATGTTCTCTGTATCACTCCAATTTTAGTATATGTGCTGCCAAAGCAAGCACCACTCAATGGTTTTCGAGTGACTGACTGAATAAATGCATTCTCATATAGTTTGATGCCCACTGAATGCTAGCTGAAACTGGGGTCATTGTCATTGCTGTGGTTATTGATGACAGTCATGGACAGATGGCAGCAGAGCTGGTAACAGCTGCCAACTAAGCACCAGGCATTTTCTACCACCATGTGCTGTTTCTGAGAGTAGATTCAGGAAACTGGGGATGAACTGTAATCACTGATTCATTCAACAAACATTTAGGCAGTGTTAGATGAAGTGCAAAAGTGAGTAAGACAGTCTCTGCTTTTGAGGGGTTTATAGCTTAGTTGGGGTAACAGACCTAAAAACATGAAGTCACTGACATGTCAGAGGCTGTATAAATTTGCTAGGCCTGCCATAACAGAGTACCACAGACTGAATGGCTTAGAAAAACAGAATTTTACTATCTCACCATTCTGCGGGCTAGAAGTTCAAGACCAAGGTGTCAGCAGGGCCATTCGTCTCTGCTCAGCTCAAACATCACTTTCCTGGAAAAGCTTTCTGGAATTAGCCAGGTTCCCCTGTTAATTATTCTCTTGGTGTACTCTACTCCTCCCCTCTGGCGGAGCCGGAGAGGGATCTGCTCCAGGCCTCTCCCCTACTTCTGGTAGTTCCTTGGCTTGTGGAAACCTCAACTCTAATCTTCACATGGCCTGCTCCCTGTGCATGTCTGTCTCTGTGCCCAGATTTCTCCCTTTGTATAAGGACACCAGTCCTATGGGATTAGAGCTCACCCTCATGACCTCATGTTAACTTGATAACATTTATAAAGACCTTATCTCCAGATAAGGTCACATAAGGCACCAGGGGTTAGGATTCCAGCTTATCTTTTGGGGGGACACAATTCAACCCAGAACGGCGGCATGCTGGGAGGCCTGCCAGTGATCCATCGGAGCAGCAGGAGGAAATCATCCAGCGGGGTGAAAGACAGGGGAGGGGAAGAAAAGGTTTCTCAGAGCGGGTAAACCTTGGGCTGAGTCTTTAAGGGTGAATAGCTATTTCAAGCAGCCCAGGATAGAGGTGAGGGTGAGGCCATAGGTGTGGAGTGGGTAGGATAGGTGGGCAGGAACCAGATCATAAAACACATGATGAAACCACTGTTGGTTCTGAATGTCCCCAGTTCCTCAAGCCCTTAGGCATGATCCTTTCATTCAATATTCAAATGGAAAAGCTGAAACAGCCATGCCACCAACAGCGGGAAGCCCAGTATCCCTGAAGATTTGGTGTGGTTCTGGGGTTAAGGCGAGGTGGTGCTCTCCCGGCTCTGAGCTCTGTGGCCCTGATCCTCTGTCCCTCGCTGCTCTCAGCTCTGCTGCTGCAGTCGGCCCCTGAAGTCTGTCCTCTGCATCTTCCTTTCTGGGCAGCAACTCACTTCCTCCATTCCCCAAAACACCAGTAACGTCCGAGTGCTGGGATGGCCAGCTCACACTGCAGGCTTGAGAGAGCCAAAGAAGGCCACAGCACAGACAGAAAACCACTTACAGTTAAACACTGACCGTGGCGGCCCCAACTTGCATAGGCCACCTCCACCATAGGAAGGTTCTTACCAGCCAGCTTTATCTTCTTAAGCACCTGTGACCTCCCTCCACCTCCTCCGTCTCACCAGTTACAATCTCCTAGAAGCTTTTAAAAAGACCAATTCCCAGGTCAGGCGCAGTGGCTCACGCCTGTAATCCCAGCACTTTGGGAGGCCGAGGCGAGTGGATCACCTGCGTCGGGAGTTCGAGACCAGCCTGACCAACATGGAGAAAACCCGTCTCTACTAAAAATACAAGATTAGCTGGGCATGGTGGCACATGCCTGTAATCCTAGCTAGTCAGGAGGCTGAGGCAGGAGAATCTCTTGAACCCGGGAGGTGGAGGTTGTGGTGAGCCAATATCATGCTATTGCACTCCAGCCTGGGCAACAAGAGCGAGATGCTGCCAAAAAAAACAATTCCCAGTACTCATCTCAAATCATTTTAGTCTGAATCTATGAAAGTGGGGCCAGCTGGGCATGCATGTGAAAACTCCCAAGTAATTCTAGAGAATACTACTCTGAAGCTAGACCTTCCTCACATCTCCCCATCCCCACTGTTCTGGCAGCAAGGAAAGCTCTAGTTCCTTACCGTATAGAGCAATTCCTCTCTCTCTCGCTCTCTCTCTCTTTCTCTCTGTCTCTCTCACTTGTTCTCACTTATCCAAGCCTAAGCATATAGGCCATACCTCCTCAAAAATGTAAAATCCATCACCGTGTTTTCCTAAATAACAGAATTCTTTTTTTTTTTTTTTTTTTGAGATGGAGTCTCGCTCTGTCACCCAGACTTGAGTGCAGTGGTGCAATCTCGGCTCACTGAAACCTCCATCTCCCAGGTTCAAGCTATTCGCCTGCCTCAGCCTCTCGAGTAGCTGGGATTACAGGTGCCCACCACCACGCCAGGCTAATTTTTGTAATTTTAGTAGTGATGGGGTTTTGCCATGTTGGCCCGGCTGGTCTCAAACTCCTGACCTCAAGTGATCTGCCCACCTCAGCCTCCCAAAGTGCTGGGATTACATGTGTGAGCCACCACACCTAGCCAGAATTATTTTTCTTTAAAGTGAATTGTATCTCTCCCCTAAAAGGGAAAAATTATAACTCTCAGCTTTCATTTTAAATACCATATTTTAGTGACTTTCAGATTTGAATATTTTTCATATTTTAGTCTATTTGAAATTGGATGTGTTTTATGATCAATGGGATATCATAGTTTCATCAACAGTATTAATTAGCACTTCACATAATAAAACACCTTACAGCTATAAGGGGATTTGATTTGATGAAATCATGTAGTAATAATTTTTTTATTTTTCCTGTCACAAAGGCAAGTCTTGCCAAGGAGTTTGGACTTTATACTCCAAGTAATAAGAGGCTGTCAAGGGATTTTAAAGGAAGGAGCGACATGGCAAAGTTTTGCTTCCAAGAACCTCTTCGTCTCATGCCAATGGGAATAAAGTAGGGATTCTTCTCACTGAGCTGGAATAACCTGCTTAGGGGTTAAAGGATCCAAACTTGCTTCCTTTGGGGCATGAAGGTTCAGTTCCTCGTGTTAAGGCCACGTGTCACTGTGGTTCAGACACCAGCTCTCTCCCAAGAGACCCCAGGAGACCGCATTCATTGCCTTGATGATTTCTCCACTTGAGGAGCCTGCTCTCCTGCAGGCCAGGAGACCTGTTTGTTGGCACTTCTCACCTGGTCCTTCTTCCCCAGGAAACCAGGCATTAACCAGGCACCCCTGAGAGGCCGATATATAACTACAGGAGGCCCATTTATTCGCTTACAAAGCGAAGTTAAGCTGGCAAGCAGACAGAACACTCTAGTACGGAGATCAGTCCATTCTCTCCCTGGAGGCAAATTACTGGAGAAGCCAAGTTATAACCAGAACGCCAATTTATTCATTTATAATGAGAAAATCAGCTTTCGAGAGTACTGGAAGTTCACACAAGCCAGAGCACTTTGTTCTTTCCCTGTTGAAAAACGAATACCCAAGAAGCCAAATTATCCAGAAGAGCGAGCAAGGAATTGTGGCAAAGGTTGAATAGAAGACCTATCTTTCGGCTGAATTGCTCAAAGCGCTCTTACCCACTAGAGGGTTTGCTTTGCCTGGCAAACCTCTTTGCTCAGGTCTGCTTGCCAAGCTTTCTTCTTGCCTGGACACTGAATGGACAGGCCTTGCCAGCATTTGCCCCTGAGACTTGTCATTTTCCAAGCTGCCATGGCTGGTCAGCTTCCTTCTCTTACAATGGGGTCTCCTTCCCCTAAAAGTAATTGAGGCTTGGTTTATTTCCTTAGAGTCTCAATCAAACCCAGTCTAATCTATTCAAGAACACACTTAAACACAATCTCTTAGATTTTTCCCACAAACGGTTTATCCTAACCAGTGTATGTGTGTTTTATTGCTTAATCCCTTACAACTTTTTATTTATTTATTTATTTATTTATTTATTTATTTATTTATTTATTTAGAGACACGGTCTCACTCTGTCACCCAGGATGAGTGCAGTGGCATGATCATGGCTCACTGCAGCCTCAAACTCCCAGGCTCAAGCAATTCTGATGCCTCAGCCTCCCGAGCAGCTGGGACTACAGATGTGTGTCACCACGCCCAGCTAATTTTTTTTTCTTTTTTTTTTTTTTTTTTGTAGAGACAGGTCTTGCTGTGTTTTTCAGGCTGGTCTCAAACTCCTTGATAAAAGCAATCCTCCTACCTCAGCCTCCCAAAGTGTTGAGATTACAGGTGGGAGCCACCACTCTTGGCCTACAAATTTACTTACAAATTCTCTGGGACTCCAGGCAGTCATTTTCTTAGGACAAGCAACAAGAGGAAATGAGCTCTGTTGAATAAGAAACTGAATTCCCCTTTGACACTCTGGGCATGGAAACCCTCCCTTCTCCAAAGGGCTGGAGTAACCCTCAGGGGCTTGTCCCCCAAGGCCCTATGAATGAAGCTGGATTTAGGTACATGGGCGGGAGGGAGAGCCTCAAACCATGGGTGGATTTGGTTTGATATGCATTGCAAGTTCGTCCTATCAGAGGGTGGAGAATACAGACCTTGAAGCCACACACAGCTGGGTTCCAATCCCAGCTTTGCTGAAGATACAGCACTCAACATCTCTGAGCCTCATCTTTAAAATGGGTACGTCATACCTCTATCTCCCAGAAAGGTGAAATTAAATAATAATGCACAACACTTGGCATGTAATAATCATTATTCCTTCCTCTTACCCGTCTCAATTTTTCCCATTACAGGAAATTGTTCCACAAAACGCTGCGACCTCTAGAAAAATGCTCCTTCTCTCCACTCTGCCCACCGCCACCCACCCAGGTATTTTAAAGTCAGTGAGAGAGGCCTAGCAATTACATTCCTTTTCTTTTCTTTTTTACAGTGTCTTACACCAAAATATTTACATTTGTGTATTTGATTCTAAGAAATAGGGTATATAGAGGACAGATGATTGACCATGAGTTGGTAGGTGTTGAAGCTGGATAATGAGTACAAGGGAATTCATTATATTATAGTCTGTACTTTGGGATATATTTGAAATTTTTTGTGTTAAGAATACTTTTTAAGGCTGGGCACAGTGGCTCACACCTCTAATCCCAGCACTTTGGAAGGCTGAGGCACAAGAGTCGCTTGAGCCCAGGAAGCGGAAGTTGCAGGGAGCCGAGATCACGCCACTGCACTCCAGCCTGGGCAACACAGTAAGACTCTGTCTTAAAAAAAAGAAAAGAAAAGAAAAGAAAAAAAGAATACTTTTAATAGAAAAAAATCTTAATGGTAAGTTACTATATGTCAGACACTGGTCTAGGAGATGGGGTTTAAAAGAATAAGTCTAAGCTTGCCTTTGAGGAATTTAGTTTAATGGGAGAGAAAACTGTGTTAATGGTCCTTTCAAGCTGAGTGATGAGGGTGAGTGAAACTTTGTGTTATGCAATGCTCACATATTCCACCCTGACGGAGTGCCAGTATGTCCGGCTACCAACGGTGGTGGCGTCCCCATGTGGCAAAAGTGTGAACACCACCTGCAAGTCACTCAGCCTTCCTGTATTGAACTGGAGAAACTCGACTAATTTACAGTGTGAGAAGCTTCTCTTTTCTTCAATATTTGCATATAAATGAGACTTGATTAATATATTTTGGCACATTGCTTCAAATCTGTGGCATAATTTAAATTTGCATAAAACTTGGCTGCTGAATTGTGATGATCTGTTTACTTCTCTAATAGGGTCCTCTTCCTCACCTCTTCTTTTCCCAATGGAGTAGAAACAGAGAGGGAATGAAGGAGGGAGGATAGAAAGAAAGAAGGGAGGAAAGAAAAAAAGGGGCAGATTAGGCAGAAAGACTGTTTGCTCTTCTCCCTCTCCTACCTCCCCAATGTCAAAGTTATGTTATACGAGGTTTGACATTAGTGATCCTCTCTTTTGTGCTGTGCAGTAATTGACATATAAGTGATGTGAAACCCTCATGCTGACTGGCCTCCCCATCTTGGGCTTATCATTTCACTTTCCAGAACCTATATTATAGATTTCTCCATCTGTTATATAATAAAGGAATAGCAGTACTGACCTGACTTCCCAAGGGTCATAGAAGGGTTACACCAGATAATGCAGGAGAAAGCCCTTTGAGCACAGTACAGCCAGAGACACATGTTAGGGGTGTTATTAGGACCACTGACATGGCAACCACAGCTGCCACTTCCTTATGACTCACTAGCCTCTTATATGAGCCCGCCTCACTATGAGGCCCTGAAGGGTGCTGAGCTAATGTTTGTAAACCACTTTAAAGAGGAGAGGGGCTTTAAAGCAGCTTGGAACACTTCCGATTAGATGACCTCTACAAGAGTACAAAGGAAAATAAATATGGACTTTCCTCTTCCTTTTAATTTTCTTTCAAAAAGAGAGACAACTAGCTCCCTCAGCAGTGTACACCACAGTGTTTGAGTTAGCCATGTGAGTACAGAAGAGTTTTCTGGGACAGGGTCATGAAAAAATATTACGGTTCTTTTTTTAATGGGAAAAGAAGTGCGTGCTTGTTTTTAAAAAATGCAAATGATATAGGAGTATAGAAAATAACAGGTAAGGCCAGGCACAGTGGCTCACGCCTGTAATCCCTGCACTTTGGGAGGCCAAGACAGGCGGATCACCTGAGGTCAGAAGTTTGAGACCAGCCTGCCCAACATAGAGAAACCCCATCTCTACTAAAAATACAAAATTAGCTGGGTGTGGTGGCACATGCCTATAATCCCAGCTACTCGGGAGGCTGAGGCAGGAGAATCTCTTGAACTCAGGAGGCGGAGGTTGCGGTGAGCCAAGATCACGCCATTGCACTCCAACCCAGCCAACAAGAACGAAACTCTGTCTCAAAAAAGAAACCAAAAAAAAAAAAAAAAAAAAAAGCTGGGTGTGGTGGCTCACACCTGTAATCCTAGCACTTTGGGAGGCCGAGGCGGGTGAATCACGAAGTCAGGAGATCGAGACCATTCTGGCTAACACGGTGAAACCCCGTCTCTACTAAAAATACAAAAAATTAGCTGGGCGTGGTGGCGGGCACCTGTAGTCCCAGCTACTCAGGAGGCTGAGGCAGGAGAATGGCGTGAACCCAGGAGGTGGAGCTGGCAGTGAGCCGAGATCGCACCACTGTACTCCAGCCTGGGCGACAGAGCGAGACTCTGTCTAAAAAAAAAAAAGGAAAGAAAAGAAAAGGTAAAAGCCCCATTTTTTCAAATATCACTTCACCCTTTCCCTAGAGGTAGCCACTGTTAACAGTATGGGAGTGTATTCTTCCAGTTTTTATGTAGATAGATAAATAGATCTTTCTGTGCATTCTGTCCTGCAATTTTCTTTTCTCACTTAACTCTAAATAGTAGTGTTTAAGAGTAGACTTTTACAAAGAAATTAAGAAGGAAATATAAATGTTTTACCAAGGGAACTACCCACTCAAATGTATTTCTTAATTTTGCAAGTAAGCCTTATTGTAAATAGGGAAAAGAAATAAAAGAGAAAATATATAATATTTTAAATAAAATCAAATGTGTTTCTTAAACCAAAACATGGAGTTGGAATGTTACCCTAGCTGCTGAGAGAAAACTATGCCCTGTACACATCTTTATCACATGTTTGTCCACCCAAACTAGAATGCGAACTTCTCCAACGTAAGCAGTATTCCCTGGACCTAGCACAATGCCTGGCACAAAGAAATGTTTGCTGAGTGAATAAATGAATAAACAAATCAACCGTGACCCTGGATTCTTGCAGAAGTTATCCATTAATTAGGCCAGGCACAGTGGCTCATGCCTGTAATCCCAGCACTTTGGGAGGCCAAGGTGGGCGGATCTCTTGAGGACAGGAGTTTGAGAACAGCCTGGCCAACATGGTGAAATCCCCATCTCTACTAAAAATACAAAAAATGTTAGCCAGGCTTGGTGGCGTGCACCTGTAGTCTCAGCTACTCAGGAGGCTGAGGCACAAGAATCACTTGAACCCAGGAGGCAGACATTGCAGTTAGCTGAGATCGCGCCACTGCACTGCAGCCTGAGCAACACAGTGAGACTCTGTCTCAAAAAAACGAGTAAGTTCTCCATGAATTAATCTCTCCTGGGCCCCTTCTGTGCTTTATGGCATCTTGTTTTTAGCACTTTTACACATTATGTTATTTTGGTATCACAACAGCCCTTTAATTACGTTACACTTGGTATTTCATCTTGTCACTACTTTACAGATGGGCAAACTGAATCCTAATGAGGTGACAGAGCTGAGCCTAGAACCCAGGTATTTTCTGTTGCACCACTCTTTATATTCTCCATTGCCAGCCTCTGTGGTGTACAATGGTCAAAGGAAAACAGAATTAGTTTAGTTTCTACAGAGCTGAGAGCACACTTGAGTTGGCGAGGGTTAATCCTCATCAGTCTGTGAGCTAGGAAGGCTACTTTAGGCCTGGAGCTGCATTGCTGGGCAGCAAACCTTATGAAGTCCTCTTGTTTGCAAATCCATCTTCTGCCATCTGCTGGATGAATTCAGTATTTCATTACTGCTCTTCCGCCATCATAACAGTTTCCCTCTATTAAGGAACAACTTGGTGCCATGTAATTCCCATGTATAATTTCTATTACTCCTTAAAGCAGCCCTAAAAGGTAGGTCTAAGTTTTAGCCCCATTTTCAGATAAGGTAACTGAGGCTCACAATGTTTAGGTAACTGACACTCTGTGTGTTAATTTCCTAGGGTTGCTGTAAGAAGTTACCACAAACTTGGTGGCTTAAAACAACAAGAATTTATTTCATAGTTATGGAGGCCAGAAGTTTGAAGTCAAGGTGTTGGCAGGGCCACACTCTTCCAAATGCTCTAAGGGAGGATCCTTCCTTGCCTCTTCCGGCTTCTGGTGCTCCAGGCATTCCTTGACTTGGCTGAATAACTCCAGTCTCTGCTCCATCTTCATGCGGCCTTCTCCTTCTCTCTGGGTCTCTCCTCTGTGTTTCTCTTATAAAGATATTTGTCATTGGATTTAGGACCCACCAGAATAATCCAGGGTGATCTCCTCTCGAGAGCCTTAAGTTAATTACATCTACAAAGACTCTTTTTCTAAGAGTCACATTCATAAGTTCCTAGAGTTAAGACATGGATGTATCTTTTTAGAGGCCACAATTTAACCCACTACAATATGTTAGACAGTCAATAAGTTATACAGCTGGCATGTAGCCTCATGTCTATTGATTCCAAAGACTATGCTCTTAATCATTGCTAAGGGGATCTAGGTTTTTGCTAGCCTCACTTCTGTCTCCTCCACCCCTCAAGTCTGCCTTTCTAGGCACCCTCTTCTCTCCTTTTAGTGAACCCCCCTCCCCTTCCACTCTGCACACAAAAAAAACTCCTTCCACCCTGAGACTGCCCCCTGGTGCTGCTTGTACAGGGTGTCCACATGATTTATCCAAATGAAGATATATTTGAGAATGCAAGAGAAAAAATGGGGGTTGATATGGTTTGGCTATGTCCCCACCCAAATTTCATCTTGAATTGTAGTTCCCATAATCCAGATGTGTCATGGGAGGAACCAGTGGCAGGTAATTGAATCATGGGGATGGTTACCCCCATGCTGCTGTTCTCATGATAGTGAGTGAGTTCTCATGAGATCTGATGGTTTTATAAGGGGTTTTTCCCCCTTTTGCTCAGCACTTCTCCTTGCTGCTGTCATGTGAAGAAGGACCTGTTTGCTTCCCCTTCCACCACGATTGTAAGTTTCCTGAGGCCTCCCCAGCCACGCTGAACTGTGAGTCAATTAAACCTCTTTCTGGCCAGGCGTAGTGGCTCACACCTGTAATCCCAGCACTTTGGGAGGCCAAGGTGGGTGGATCATTTGAGGCCAGGAGTTCGAGACCAGCCTGGCCAACATGGTGAAACCCTGTCTCTACTAAAATTACAAAAGTTAGCCAGGCATAGTGGTGCACACCTGTAATCCCAGCTGCTCAGAGGCTGAGGCATGAGAATCACTTGAACTCAGGAGGCGGAGGTTGCAGTGAGTCAAGATTGCACCACTGCACTCCAGCCTGGGCGACAGAGTGAGACTCTGTCTCAACACAAAAACAAAAGCAAAAACACCTCTTTTCTTTATAACTTACCCAGTCTCAGGTATGTCTTTATTAGCAGCGTGAGAACAGACTAATACATGAGTCAATGATTGTCCTGTGACAACAGGTTTAAAGTGGGAGAGTGCCAAGCAAACCTGGATGCAGGGAGTCCCTATCATTGCCTCCCACGGCTGCGCTCTTCTGCTGGCTTCCCCAAGACTCCAAAACTTTTCTTGTACTTCTGTAGTAAATCCCCCTTCCATGGTGCATCCCTACCCAAAATGTGATCAGGAGACTATGAGTCCCACCAGAAATCTAATAAATAATTGCTGCATTTATTTATTTATTTATTGAGACGGAGTTTCACTCTTGTTGCCCAGGCTGAAGTGCAATGGTGCGATCTCTGTTCACCACAACCTCTGCCTCCTGGGTTCAAGCAATTCTCCTGCCTCAGCCTCCCAAGGAGCTGGGATTACAGGCGTGAGCCACCGTGCCCAGCCTATTTTTTAAATATTTGTTAAACTTTTGGAAGATTGTGTGCCGCTAATCACTGGAACACAATCCCTACCCTGAAGGAGTTTACAGACTAATAGGCAAGTTGGACCAACAGATATAGATGCCAAAAGTTTAGAAAAACCTTACCAGCCATTAAGCAAAGATCTCTGGCTGCTGCTTGAAGGAAGTAGTTGGTGCCTTAGAAAAGACTCTTCAGGGAAAAGGGGAAGGGAAATGGCATTAACATAGGGTATTCCAGAAATTCTACTTGCATTGTTTCATGCTGTTGTCATGATCCTATGAGGAAGATATGGGTCCACAGTTTGTTGTCTGAAATCTTTGGGGCCAGGTGTGTTTTGAAACTCAAAATTGTATACATTTTTAAGAAAAAAAATGTTACAAGTATAACATAGTATGTGCCACCCCCAGCAGGGTCTGGGGTTGTACTCCAATTATTAAACTAATACTTTAATAATTGTGTAGCAAAACATGTAGATTAACATTAAATAAAATAAACACTGACTATAAAAAGCCACATGAAAGGGTTTTATGAATAAATTAGTTCAGGTCAATTAGATTTCATCACCAAAGTAGTTAAGAATAGAATATCAGTTTCCAGGCCAGGTGCGGTGGTTCACATCTGTAATCCCAGCACTTTGGGAGGCCGAGGTGGGTGGATCACCTGAAGTCAGGAGTTCGAGACCAGCCTGGCCAAGATGATGAAACCCCGTTTCTACTTAAAATACAAAAAATTAGCCAGGTGTGGTGGTACGCACCTGTAATCCAGCTACTCAGGAGGCTGAGACAGGAGAATTGCTTGAACCCGGGAGGCAGAGGTTGCAGTGAGCTGAGATCATGCCATTGCACTCCAGCCTGGGGGACAAGAACGAGACTTCATCTCAAAAAACTAAAAAATAAAAGAATAGAGCATCAGTTTCCAAAACTTTTGGATTTGAAGATTGTAGAGTTTTATTATTTGCTCCAATTTGTAGACAAAGAAACTGAGGCTCAGAAAAGAAACTTGCCCAAGATACACAATGAGTAACTGATGCAGCTGGACTTGGAGTGAGCCTCAAGTTAATTACAACTATAAAGATCCTTTTTCCAAAGAAGGTCACATTCACAAGTCTGCCTGGCTCACCCACAGCATCATTCTGTTTTAATTTTTGATTCAGATAAGTTACCTGAGCCCTACCAAGCCCCGAGTAATATCATGACTTTTGAAATAATATTGGCTGTTCCAGTCCCACTTGTCTTTGTAGAAACACTTGAATCAAAGCTTTAAATCAGTGCAGCCCAGGACAGCTTTGAGTGCAGCCCAAAACAAATTTGTAAACTTTCTTAAAACATTATTAGATATTTTTTGCAATTTTTTTTTAGCTCATCAGCTATTGCTAGTATTAGTGTATTTTACGTGTGGCCTGAGACAATTTTGCCAGTGTGGCCCAAGGAAGCCAAAAGATTAGACATCCCTGCTTTAAATCCTGTGAACATGAATAATCTTTTTGTCTACCCATATTTGTGACATGCCTTTTTGAGACATTTGTCAGTGTAAATCAGCGCTTTCAGGCAGCAGGGGGACAGTTCTTATTTGTGAACTTGAAAGAGACTTTTAATTAAAAAGTTATGTAGATGACAATACAGGCAGAGTTGCTTAGAAAGCAAAACCAGACAACTCCTCTTTGTTGACCTACTTCAAACACACGTGTGATTACTTAACTTTATAAAAAGAAAGTCCCCAAGAGAGTAATAATTATTCCTAATAACACCTTTAAAAGAAATGGTCTGGGCTGCTCTGCCTATGGAGTAGCCATTCTTTTTATTCTTTTACTTTCTTAATAAACTTGCTCTCACTTCAAAAAATTAATAAATAAATGCTCTAACAGAAATGGGAAAAAAAACTCAATCCAAGAATAGCTTAAAATATTGGCTTCCTCAATTGATACTGCAGATTCATGCTCCCAGCACACCCCCTGGCCAACACTACCACCCCACTCTCACACACACGATGTGTATTGTGAGGATGGTGAAGCTTGGTTAAAATTTGTTCTTTCTTTTTCCTTTGCTGAAAGCTGAAGTGCTGGCAGGATGCAGTGGCTTATGCATGTAATCCCAGCACTTTGGGACACCAAGGCAGGAGGATCACTTGAGCCCAGGAGTTCAAGACCAGCCTGGGCAACATAGCAAGACCCTGTCTCTGAGAATAATAATAATAATAAATTAGCCAGGCGTGGTGGCAACCACCTGTGGTCCCAGCTACTCGGGAGGTTGAGTCCAGGAGGTCAAGGCTGCAGTATGCCATGATCGTGCCACTGCACTCCAGCCTGGGCAACAGAGTGAGACCCTGTCTAAAAAATACAAAAAAAAAAAAAAAAGAAAGAAAGAAAAGTTGGAGTGCTGAACTCTATTGCACATTGCTAATCCCCGGTTAGAGTCAGCAGGCCTAGGATTGTCTTGTCCAGTTTAATTCATAACTTATCACCACTTTTTGGGTCCCAGGGTAGAGAATTCATTCCAGGCCAACTTAGATGGCAATAGTTAAGCCTTTCAGCCTGTCTTCACTACTAGGTTTTTATCATTGTTTTGTCTCGACACAAAAGATGTCATACTCATAAAATTCCCGTAACAGATTAGTTTTGTGTATTCTTCACACTTCAGCAAGGAGGAACAAAATAACAGCTTACCTAAAATAATTCCAGAATTTTCCATTCAAATTATGATTTTATGGATTGAGAAGTTACTATGTGCCATGCTGTGTGATTTATCTTGGGAGAATATAAGTGATCAGAATGCAGCTTTCAGGACTGTACTATACAGTATGCAAATAATAATAAATACCTATGTAGTATTTTCATGTGCCTGGCACCATTCTAGGTGCATAACATATATAATCCTCTCATTGTAAGCCACACAACAACTCTGAGGCAGATTCCTGTGTTAGACTATCTCACACATGAGGAAACTGAGACCCAGAGAGGTTAAAGAACTTGTCAAGATCACACGGCTGGCAAGTAGTGGAGCTGGAATTTTGTTTGACACACTCAGGCCCCAAAGTCCATGTTCTTCCCTTCTATAATGGGAACATTACCTCTTTAGGAACAGGATCTGTGTCTTATTTGTCCCTGTATCCCCGCTTCCAGCACTGTACCTGGCAGAAAAAGATCTTAATACACAGTTGAGGAGGAAGGAAAAGAGAAAGTAAGAGAAAGGAAAGAAGAGAGGAGGGACGGAGGGAGAAGGACACTAGTTTCAGGGGCACACTCATACAGTGCTCCCCATGGAAATGAAGTCCAGGGCCCGTTTAGTAGCGACCGCATTTTTCTGAGAGAGAAGAATTGATGGATAGATCTGTGAAGGTTCATTTTTGTGAGCTGTCAGACTTTGTGCTGTAACCCCACAAAGGGAGAAACAGGGTTTTGTCCCTTGACATAAAAGATGTCATACTCTGGCCGGGCGCGGTGGCTCACGCCTGTAATCCCAGCACTTTGGGAGGCCAAGGCGGGCAGATCACAAGGTCAGGAGATCAAGACCATCCTGGCTAACACGGTGAAACCCCGTCTCTACTTAAAAAATACAAAAAATTAGCCGGGCGTGGTGGCAGGCGCCTGTAGTCCCAGCTACTCAGGAGGCAGAGGCAGGAGAATGGCGCGAACCCGGGAGGCGGAGCTTGCAGTGAGCCGAGATCGCGCCATTGCACCCCAGCCTGGGCGACAGAGTGAGACTCCGTCTCAAAAAAAAAAAAAAAAGATGTCATACTCACCAATGTCCCAAGATCAAAGATCAGAGCTTATCAGAATCTGCTCACGATTCTTTCTTCTTTTCTCTCCCTCCCTCCCCCTCTCTCTCCCTCTTTTTCTTTTCTCTTTTTTCTTTTCTTCCTTCCTTCCTTCCTTCCTTTCTTTCCTTCTTTCCTTTTCTTTCTTTCTTTCTTTCTTTCTTTCTTTCTTTCTTTCTTTCTTTCTTTCTTTCTTCCTTCCTTCCTTCCTTCCTTCCTTCCTTCCTTCCTTTCTTTCTCCTTCCTTCCTTCTTTTTGAAGAAGCTTCGTGGATCATGACTCTAATAGCAGGAGTAAAAGGCTCTACACTGAGTGGGGGCGCAATTTGCGGGACATGGGAGCAGAGCTAGGCGGAGAACAATCATTCCACTGGGCCCATTCTCCAATTGTACAGTATTTTCTAATTTTTTTTTTAAGTCAGGGTCTCACTCTGTCCCCTAGGCTGGAGTCCAGTGGCATGATCTTAGCTCACTACAACCACTCTCTTGGGGCTCAAGCCATCCTCCCACCTCAGCCTCCTGAGTAGCTAGGACTACAGGCGTGCACCACCATACCCGGCTAATTTTTGTATTTTTTGTAAAGATGAGATTTCACCATGTTGGCCAGGCTGGTCTCAAACTCCTAAGCTCAAGTGATCCTCCTGCCTCTGCCTCCCAAAGTGCTGGGATTACAGGCATGAGCCACCACTCCCGGCCTTCTAATATTTTAAAACATTTTGACCTCAAAATTGTGAAGACTATGCTGATACAATGTAAAAGCCAAGCTGTGAGGTGTGGAGAAAAGGTAAGGAAAACAACTGGCCCACTTCTCCCTCAGGTCTCCAGAATATCTGTCATACCTCATTAACGGTACTTGTTTAGATCCACCTGTCCTACTGGCCCATGTTCCTGAGATGCAAGGACCTTATTACTTGTCCTTAGTTTAGCGTAAGTGGTTAAACAGGAAGCCTGGGAAGTCAGATTACCCGAGATAACATTAAGACTTTTTCCCTTACTGCGTGGCATTAGTCAACTTACTTAACCTCTCTGAGCCTCTGTTTTCTTATACATTAAATAGAACATAATAATGTTTTCTATAAGGGAATGTCTCCAGTCCCTGAGCAAAAATCTCTAGCATCCTTAAAGGAGGAAGTTGTAGCTGAGAAAAGACTTACTGAAGGAAAGGAAAAGGAAATGCCACTGACCTAGAGTTCTGCATGCCTTTTTCATGTAATCTTGATGATTGAGAGATTTATGTGTATTGTTCAGCACAGTGCCTGGCTCATAATGCACATGACAAAGACAGCTATATTTCCTAGTATCTGTGCTCTCCTTTCTTTGGTAATAATGTCACTAAAATTTTAGTGGGGTGTGTGTCTAGTTTTAGAAGGATAGAACTTGGGCAGCCTAGCAAAACTTCATCTCTACAAAAAATTTAAAAATTAGCCAGGAGTGGTGGTGTGTGCCTGGGATCCTAGCTACTCAGGAAGCTGGGGCAGGAGGATCGCTTAAGCCCAGGAGTTCAAGGTTACAGTGAGCTCTGATCACACCACTTCACTCTAGCCTGAGTTACAGAGCAAGGCCCTTTCTCCAGAAAAATAAAGAAAGATGGCCAGGGAGTACTGCAAGGAAATGGTGAGGTGCATGTGGCTGTGGCTAGAGGCAGGTATTTACTTAGAGAGACCATTGCCATGATCAAGTGGGGAGGAATGGTCTACACTCAGTTGGAGAGGCATGGTGAGCACTAGGGTGCCTCTGGGTTAGTCAGCTAGAATCTATGAATGCCACAGGGAGAGAGGAAAGTGGGCAGAGAGGGAGAAGGAAGAGAGAGGACACCCAGATTTTCAGCATGGTGACTAAGTCATGGTGACATAATTCACTGAACTGGAGGAGGAACCAGTTTGGGAGGCAAGTGATGAGTGTCACTGAGGACATGTTGGGGTGGAGGGGCCTAGCATGTGTCCCATCCAGATGTCCAGTGGTGTTCCTTTGCTCATCGCCTCTGTGGAGTGGCATTTCATCATCAATGAGTCCCGAAAAAGGGTTTTGCAAAGAGCACTCAAATGTTCTGTGCCTGGGAGATCAAAACAACCCCGCAGAGACAGCAAAAACACGCCCAGCCCACAGAAACCCTCAAGCTGCCTCCCTGCCCTTTCTGGTTTGCTTCCCAAGCCTGCAGCTCAGACAGCCTCACCCCATCCAGGATCCCTGCCTGGGTAGGAGACAAAAGGTGTGTATCCACAGCACAGAACGACCTACTGTATCCACCCAGTCAGCAATGGTTTCTATGAAACATTTGATCACAGGGTGCAGGGGTTTTTGTTTGTTTTCCTTCCACTGGATAATCGTTTCAGTGACAATAGCTAATGGCTGTGATTGTGTCAAACATTAATGATAGTTATTTCCCTGTTGAAATTCTGCCCCCTGCAGACACTTCCCTGAAATTCTATTTTGCACCAACTCTGTGTTGGCTCTCCTAGGTCTTATAAAGCTAAGAAAGACGGGAAGCAAATCTGCCACCTTGACCTCAGACAAGGGGAGGTCAAACTGCAAAAATGGATAAATGTCTTTCTCAGTAAGGAGTTTTAAGGAGGAGCCCACAGTCTTGGAGACCCAGCCCAGCATTTAACCAATGCTTGATAATGCCTGTTACTACACTAAATCCTTTGTATGTGTTATCTCATTTAACCCTTAATACTAAACAACAGGCAAGGAAAATGAGGCTCAGAGAGGGTAAAAAATTTGCCTAACACCACATAGCTAAGAAATGATGGAGATGGCATTCTAAATCGAACCTGTCTTACTCTAGTTGCCAGTGCTTAACCATCAGTCCTGCATTTCACATCCCTGGTGATATGATCACAATCTACCTTGCTGTAATTTAAGTCCAGGTTTTCTAACTCAGTTTGCCCTATTTGGTACTTGCTGTTCTTCAGATGTGGGCTCCCTGTTTTACCAAAAAGAATGTGCATGGTTTCCTATCATCCACCCAGTGCTAGAAGAGCAGAAGTCTTGGCCATGAAGAAACTCAGTAGTGGTGTCTCTGGATCTACTTGCTTCTAGAACTGATCAGTGGGGTAAACAGTGGTGACCAGTCTTGCTGGCCCTGCAAAAAGACGCTGCCTGGTGGAGCTGTTCCTGCAGGTGACCACTTCACCAACAAGTGTAGTGCTTCTCTAACAGTGGGCATAATGGTCTTAAGAACAGAAAAGCAGCCGTGTGCAGTAGGTGGTTCATGCCTGTCATCCTAGCACTTTGGGAGGCCGAGGCAGGATGATAGCTTTAGCCCAGGAGTTCAAGCCCAGCCTGGGCCATATAGTGAGACCCCATGTCTGTTTTATTATTAAATATATACATATATATTTTTTAAATTTACCCATATTCAGTGCACAATTCAACAATTTTTAGTAAATTTACCAAGTTGTGCAATCAGGTAGAACATTTTGAATCTCCTTGCATCCTACCACTAAAACATTCCCAACAGCTAGGTTAGCAAAATCAAAAACCCATGGCCAGCAACTACAACAAACCCTAGCAACCAGATTCTCCTTGAGCTCCAAAATTTGAGTGAGTGGAAACAAGCTACTTATAATTGCATGGTCTACACGGCATCAAGAAGACGGAAGGTAAAGGGACTCGTGATATCCATAAGAACTGAATGACCCCAAATCACCAAAGGAACTCACTGGAAAGTTCAGTGGGCCACTGGAGAACAGCAGCAAAGCTGGCATTGAGAAGAAATGTGGTCACATGGAGACTAGGGAAACCTCTGGCCACGCTGGAGTGGCCTAGAGGTCTGGGCCCTGTGAACTCTCAAACAAACCAAACCAAACCATCTTTCTAGGACAAAGCTCCACCCTGAGGAGAAAAGCCTGGGCATAAAATCCAAACTGAGCAAGATAGGAACAACAAGGCCATAGAAAAGAGGATGTCTCTCAGGTGGCTGGGCATGGTGGCTCATGCCTGTAATCTCAGCACTTTGGGAAGCTGAGACGGGCGGATCACTTGAGCTCGGGAGTTCAAGATCAGCCTGAGCAACATGGCGAAACCCCGTCTCTACCAAAAATACAAAAATGTAGCTGGTCATGGTTGCTGGCATCAGTGGTCCTAGCTATTTGGGAGGCTGAGGTGGAAGGATTGCTAGAGCCCAGGGGCTGGAGGTTGCAGTGAGCCGAGATCGTGCCTCTGCACTGCAGCCTGGGCAAGAGTGAGACTCCATCTCAAAAACAAAAAAGAAAGAAAAAAGGAAGGAAGGAAGGAAGGAAAGAAGGAAGGAAGGAGAGAAAGAAAGAAAAGGGGTCAGAGTAAAAGGTGGGAGGAGAGCAAGGAAGAGGAACTGTTTCGCAGTGGGCAGGTGTGTTTATGCAAACCTACCCCAGATGGCGGCAGACAAGCTGGTGGGTCCCCGTGCCATTACCCCCAGACTCAGGGGTTATAAACCATAGGGGAATGATACACATGCTTCCGCAGGAATAGGTAGGAATTTGCCCTAAGGGCAGGATTTGCAGTAAGTCCATGCTCTTACACAAGGAACAACACATAAACTGGAAATTTCAGCAGCCTTCCTGGAACTGGGGTTAATCAGAAGCTAACATAGTGAGTTAGCATCCAAGATGGACTTGCTTCAGCCTTTACCCTCCACCCCCATAATCTGGCTCTTACAATCCCATGTGTCCTCTTTCACTATGGCCCCTGAGCCTTTAGGGAGGGTGCTTCATATGGTATAGCTTAAACAGCAGTGCCTTGGCAATGGAAAACAGATCAGGCCCAGTAGGATTCCAAATGGAATAGATTCACAGCCTGTTGAATCATCTCTAGTCTTCAGAATACCGTGACTTCAGTTTTCTTGGAAGAAG
The DNA here is from genome assembly GCF_000001405.40 of Homo sapiens. Lineage (NCBI taxonomy): Eukaryota > Metazoa > Chordata > Mammalia > Primates > Hominidae > Homo > Homo sapiens. The sequence continues at coordinate 67,521,916 of NC_000001.11, read as the reverse complement.
CAGAACAATGAGAATACGTACAATTAATAATTTGGGCCAGGTGCGGTGGCGTATGCCTGTAATCCTAGCATTTTGGGAGGCAGAGGTGGGTGGATCACCTGAGGTCAGGAGTTTGAGACCAGCTTGGCCAACATGGTAAAACCCCATCTCTATTAAAAATACAAAAATTAGCCAGGCATGGTGGTGGGCACCTGGAATCCCAGCTACTGGGGAGGCTGAGGCAGGAGAATCACTTGAACTTGGGAGGTGGAGGCTGCAGTGAGCCAAGATGGTGCCACTGCACTCCAGCCTGGGTGACAAACAGTAGAAATACAAGGCTGGGAGTGGTGGCTCACCAAGGTGGGCAGATCACTTGAAGTCAGGAGTTCGAGATCAACCTGAGCAACATAACAAAGCACCATCTCTACTAAAAATTCAAAAATTAGCTGGGTGTGGTGGCACACCTGTAATCCCAGCTACTTGGGAAGCTGAGGTGGGAGGACCTTTGAGACCGGGAGGTGGAGTTTGCCAGAGGTTGCTGTGAGTCAAGATCATGCCACTGCACTCTAGCCTGGGCAACAAAGCGAGACTCTGTCTCAAAAAGAAATGTAATGCACACAAGAATTACAATCAAAAGAGAATTTGTAGACCAGGCATGGTGGCTCACAACTGTAATCCGAGCACTTGGGGAGGCCAAGAAGGGAGAATTGCTTGAAGCCAGAAGTTCTGATACCAGCCTGGACTAAAAACCAAGAATGTCTCTACAAAAAATTTAAAACACAATAAAATTAGACAAGCATGGTGGTGCACACCCTGTAGTCCTGGCTACTCGGGAGACTGGGGCAAGAAGATCACTTGAGCCCAGCAGTTTTAGGCCATAGTGAGCTATAATTGCAACATTGCACTCCAGCCTGTGCAACTAAGCAAGACTATGCCTCTGAACAATAAAAATAAAAATAAAAAATTTAATAAAAAATAGAATTTGTAGCCGGGCATGGTGGTGTACACCTGTAATCCCAGCTATTTGGGAGTCTGAAGCAGGAGAATGGCTTGAATCCAGGAGGGAGGGGCTGCAGTGAGCAGAGATCACACTACTGCACTCCAGCCTGGGCAGCAAAGTGAGATTGTCTCAGAAAAAAAAAAAAAAGAGAGAGAGAGAGAGCGAGAGAGTGAGAATTTTTATTCCAGAACAACAAAAATGAAAAACCTATACCATTAAGGAGCCAACTAAAAGCATCATGAAGAAAAAAAAATTTTTTTTTTTTGAGACAGAGTCTCCCTCTGTTGCCCAGGCTGGAGTGCAGTGGCACAATCTCGGCTCACTGCAACCTCCGCCTCCTGGGTTCAAGTGATTCTCCTGCCTCAGCATCCTGAGTAGCTGGGACTACAGGCACACACCACCATGCCTGGCTAATTTTTGTATTTTTAGTAGAGACAGGGTTTCACTATGTTGACCAGGCTGGTCCTGAACTCCTAACCTCGTGATCCGCCTGCCTCGGCCTCCCAAAGTGCTGAGATTACAGGCATGAGCCACCATGCCCGGCCTCATGAAGAAAATTCACACACACACACACACACACACACACACACACACACACACCTCCAAATAAATAAATAAATAAATAAATAATTTTAAAAAAGAAAATTAGAACCTGATTCTTTTTTAGAGATTTCTTGTAGCTGGGAAATAATTCAGGATTAGTCCAAATTGTAGTCACATAATTTAAAAACTCAAAACAATGGTCAGGGCTAGAATCTAAATTTTTCTCTCTCCAGTGCCCCCATTTCCACCAAGAATTAATCATAGTAAGTCAAATTTATTCGCAAAATACATTTTGGGCCAGGTGCAGTGGCTTACATCTGTAATCCCAGCACTTTAGGAGGCTGAGGCAGGTGGATCACTTGAGGTCAGGAGTTTGAAACCAGCCTGGCCAACATGGTGAAACCCCGTCTCTACTAAAAATACAAAAATTGGCTGGGTGTGGTGGCATGTGCCTGTAATCCCAGCTACTTGGGAGGCTGAGGCAGGAGAATTACTTGAACCCAGGAGGCAGAGGTTTCAGTGAGCCAAAATCGCGCCTCTGCACTCCAGCCTGGGTAACAGAGCAAAACTCCATCCCCAAAAAAATAAATAAATAAAATAAATGCTGGTGTCATTATACTTGGTCTGGTTCCTTACATAAAGTGTAGCAATAATAGCGATCAGCCATATAGCCTCCTTTTAAGTTGGCTTTGGTGAAGCTTTTATAAGGAATTTTGGATTTGACTTTTTAGAAGCGTCACGATCAGAAGCCAAGACAAGGGCTTGCCATTAGACTTTGGCAAACACTTGTGGGAATTATCTCTTTTCACAGAGTAGAGAGAAGGTCCCAGAATATCTTAAGGCTCCTGGGCCTGATAGAAAGTGATATGCTTTTCTCACTACAGTCAGAAACCTTGTAAGGAAACCAAGCTACAAGGCCAGTTTTTCCAAGGGGTTTTGGTTTCTTTTTGTTTGTTTTTGTTTGAGACAGAGTTTCACTCTTGCCCAGGCTGGAGTGCAGTGGTGTTATCCTGGCTCACTGCATCACTGCAACCTCCACCCCCCAGGTTCAAGCACTTCTCCTGCCTCAGCCTCCCGAGTAGCTGGGATTACAGGTGCCTGCCACCGTGCCCAGCTAATTTTTGTGTTTTTAGTGGAGACAGAGTTTCACCATGTTGGCAGAGCTGGTCTTGAACTCCTGACCTCACGTGATCCACCCGCCTCGGCCTCCCAAAGTGCTGGGTGTGAGCCACCATGCCCGGCTTCCAAGGGACTTTTTATTGGCTTTATAAAGCCAAACTCAATTTCTCAGTCTGTTCATATGTGAAGATAAGCCATCACAGTCAAAGCACTGGTAAAATGACCAGCATCTCCAATTGTGTCCTGTTACAAAAGGAAACAGATTCTTACTAAACTTATGCAAATAACTATATTGCCAATAAAATAAGAATACTCACAAATAGTTTTCAAATTTTGAAGAATTCAAGTCTAGAGAAAGGTAAATTTTGCTCACAAAAAAATATATACTTTACCTCAATCATCGTAAGCTGTAAATAGCTCAAAAGAAAACATTTTTTGTTTTTTTGACCCTTCTTCAATCCGAGTAGTAGAAATCCAAACAAGATTTCATTTGTTCACCTTGGAACTACTATCCCCAACCCAAGCAGCTCTTTGTCAATCAGCCCAGAGCTGTTCAGTAGCTTCTCACACAGTTCCAGTGTCGGTCCTAGGGAAAAACAAAAAAGAGAAGCTCCCTGCCTGTGAGTACTTCCTTCTTGTACTCCTCAGGTAGCATGATCCTGTAGCCACCCAATGGGTTTGCCTTGGCTGCTGCCTGGAAAGAACCAATGTCTCAAGACAGGGAAATTGCGATAGAGAAAGAGTAATTCACACAGAGCCAGCTGTGTGGGAGACTGCGGTTTTATCATTACTCAAATTAGTCTCCCCGAACATTTGGGGAGCAGAGTTTTTAAGGACAACTTGGTGGGTGGTGGGGAGCCAGTGAGCCATTAGTGCTGATTAGTTAAGTAGGAAATGAAGTTGTAGGGAATTGAAGCTGTCCTCTTGCATTGAGTCAGTTCCTGGTGGGGAGGGGCCGCAAGATCAGAGGACCCAGTTTATCTATCTGGGTGGTGCCAGCTGATCCATCAAGTGCAGAAGCTGCAAAATATCTCAAGCACTGATCTTAGGAGCAATTTAGGGAGGGTCAAAATCTTGTATCCTCCAGCTGCATGACTCCTAAACCGTAATTTCTAATTGTGTAGCTAATTTGTTAGTCCTACAAAGGCAGTCTATTCCCCAGGCAAGAAGGTTTGTTTTGGGAAAGGGCTGTTACTGTCTTTGTTTTAAACTGTAAACTAAGTTCCTCCCAAAGTTAGATCAGCCTATGCCCAAGAATGAACAAGGACAGCTTGGAGGTCAGAAGCAAGACAGAGTTGGTTAGGCCAAATCTCTTTCACTGTCTCAGTTACAATTTTGCAATGCAGTTTCAGTACTATGTAAACCATTTCCATTTTATCATGGAACTCTTTTGGGCCCTGTTATTTCCATTAGCATACGGGTAGCTTCAGTTAGCATCCCATACCAAGGTGGTAAATGCCCCTCAAGTGGACATTCTCTAGTCCAAAATCCCAGTAGTCATCACTGGGAGGTGTTCATAGGCTTTTGCCATGAGCCCCAGTATGGGCTCTACAAAGGGCAGTCAAGTGGAGAATTTGTCCCTACCAGCACTCCAGCTTCTACTCTACACTCTGTGGGCTCAGACAGTCTTACTTGTTCCCATTTAGTGTGCCCAATTAACATTGCTCAAAGGGCAGATGAACATGCCTTCTGTTTCACAGTAGTAGGTAGGGAAAGCATCCCCTAGTCAGATACAATATTCATTATCAAAAAACATTTAGGTAAAGAGGTTAAAGCTACCTTACATAAAGCCTGTTTAAACTTTTCAACTTTCATTTTAGCTATTACTGATAAAAATAACCAAGAGATTGAATATTTAGCTTTGTGCTTATTGGTTTGCATCTCCTTGTGCATCTAATGAACCAACTTCCCAGAAGTTTGAGCCATCTCTAAATTTCACAGGCAAATTTTATCTTTAGCAGCTGAATGCAGCACAGCTACAGCTCCATACCATGGGTGACTACATGGCCAGCTAGGAATCAAAGGTTCCTCATTCCCCACTTTTTTGTCCTTCCTCTTTCTTTCCATTTAGTTTCATCTGCATCATTTTTTTCCTTCATTTTGAAACAGTCTTTAAATAGCCTCTAAAGTAGACACAATTACTTTTCCTTTAAGCAAAACCTACATCTTGTTTTTTAACATTTACCAAAAACACATCTTCCTTTCTTTATATACTTTCTATGTAGAATAGTTTCTCCTGTATCTAGCAGTTTCAATTACATATATTAACTACTGTTCTAACTCTTAGTAAGCCTATTTCTAGTGAGAAACAGAATTACTTATTTAACATAACGTGACTTTAAGGTTTTAAATTACTGAAGAGAATTTTGAAACTAGTTTTATTTACCAAAGATTACTAAAATCACATAAACTAAAAAGCATTTGAGCTAGTATCTATTTTTCTGAATTAAGTGCTTAATTTTTCTTTAGTCCAATTGATTAGAGCTCTTTCATATAATTTGGTAGTGAAATATCACATACACATGACTTGGATAAACATAACAGACACACAGACAGAAGCAGACCTTATAAATTTATAAGATTTTTCGGCCAGGCGCGGGGGCTCATGCCTGTAATCCCAGCACTTTGGGAGGCCGAGGCCAGAGGATCGCGAGGTCAGGAGTTCAAGACCAGCCTGGCCAACATGGTGAAACCCTGTCTCTACTAAAAATACAAAAATTAGCCAGGAGTGGTGACGCCCACCTGTAATCCCAGGTACTCAAAAGCCTGAGGCAGGAGAATCACTTGAACCCAGTAGACAGAGTTTGCAATGAGCGAGATTGTGTCGCTGCATTCTAGCCAGGGACGGAGTGAAACACTGTCTCAAAAAAAATAAAAAATAAAAAAGATTGTTCACCCAGCCTGGGCAACATAGTGAGATCTGTCTCTACAAAAAGTTTTTTCTTTTTTTAATTAGCTGGGCTTGGTAATTTTTGACCATATGATAATTTTTCGCAGGCATGGCACACACCTGTAGTCCTAGCTACTTGGCAGTCTGAGGCGAGAGGATCACTTAAGCCCAGGAGGTTGAGGCTGCAGTGAGCTGTGATTGCACCACTACACTCCAGCATGAGGAACAGAGTGAGATCCTGTCTCAAATGACAGTGAATAAAATTGAATTCACTGCCATTTGAAAAATTGAAAAAGTGAATAAAAATAATTTTTAAGAAAAGATTTTTCATTTGCCAGTTTTCAGTTTCTTCCTCACTTTAGGCTAGTAATATCTTGCATACCTGTTCCACTCCCTAAACAATTGTTAGAGAGGCAACTCCAAATTTGCATCTTCAAAAGAGGACTCAGGCAAAAGAAAGTAGAAAATTTACACCTCAAAGGCACAGAACTTAGATCTACACAAAAGCAAGATTTGTTACATAAACTTTAAGCCATTGTCTTTCCCAGAGTTAAAGTTCCTAGTGGTTTAAGTGCAGAGACAGAAATGCCCTTACAAATGGAGATTACCTTTAAAGATGTAAATTTCTTCCACAAAGAGTTTCAAACACTGATTTTGTTTGATAGGTAGTCTTCAAATTGGCTTGTTTAGATTACTGGCTTTAGAATGGAGCCCAATAAGGGACAGGGCCAAGAAAGCATGCAATCTTCAGGGCCCAAACCACACTTTTCTTAAAAAGCCCAAAGAAGCGGGTAGCCACCTGTAGTAATAAACGTTAACTGCAAACTGCTATCAGCTACCCCTAACACTGTAGCTCTCACCAGCCATCACACCTTCAGCCATCACACACACACCAAGGTCAAATGCTCTCACAGTACCAAGCTATCTCTGGTACTCACAAAAGCCAAAGAGATCAGATAACACCCTACAAAAGAGAGCAGAGTCTTAGGTCTGAGAGGAATCTGTCCACTTACAATCTTAGGATTGCATGAGGAAAAACAGCTTCCTCTCAAAAAGAGGAGTCTGGTGCTTTTTCTGTTTTTTTACTACAAACTGAAGTTCAAAAAAACTTTTTTCAAATTAAAAATGAAAATTAAAAAAACTTAAAACTACATATTGCACAGACACATTGCATATATTGGGAAAAATCAACCCACAATAGTTCCATTCTGAAACTATTGGATTTTAGAGAAAAAGAAAAAAAAATTATTGTGCAAACAGGCAAAAAAAAAGTATTTTTAAAGAAAAAGAAAATTAGAATGTCACCAGACTTTCAACATCAATGTTTCATGCCAGAAATCAATGGAGTAACATTTAGAATACTCAAAATGTGAGCCAAGAATTTTAAATCCAGCTCAGCTGATATTCAAGTATTAAGGCAGCAAACACACTTTGGCAAACAAACGAGGATTTGAGAAACATTATTTCCAGGGACCATTTCTGAGGCTCTATTAGAGAAAGCTTCAGGCAACGAAAATGGCTAAAGAGGCAGCAACATAAAGACTGCTTAACTGATTCAGCTAGTAAAGGAAGATCAATGAAAATATTTTCATTACACTTGGAATACTATTATTTCACAATGCCTAATGAATTAATAAATCTATTCAATGATTATCAGTGGCAACGAATGAAATGGCTCCATTGTCTGGGGTATATACCCTGGTTCTTTGTCTCACACCGAAAGAACTCAGGACACAAACACACACAAGGAATGGGTTTAGGAAAGGAAAATTTAATAGAGAAAAAAGAAGAGAAAGAGCAAAGCCTTCCTCATGCTGAGAAAGCAGGTTGCCCAAGAGAGGGCGTCTGGGTTGTGGCAGAATGCAATCAGTTGTATACAGAGGCTTGAGGAGGCAGTGACTGATGTACATAGGGTCCAGGGGATTGGCTTGACCAGGAGTGACATTTACACAGCCCAGGAGAAGACTGGCCCTCAGACCCTGGTCTTTTATTATTGGGGGAACCCACCCCCAATATTTCAACGTAGGTTCTTTCTATTTTCCATAAGTGTCAGCCGGCTGAGAAATAAAGAGAGACAGTACAAAGAGAGGAATTTTACAGCTGGGCTGCCAGGGGTGACATCACCTATCAGTAGAACTGTGATGCCCGCCTGAGTCTCAGACCAGCAAGTTTTTATTAAAAGTTTCAAAAGGGGAGGGGATGTAAGAGCAGGGAGTAGGTACAAAGATCACATGCTTCAAAAGGCAAAAAGCAGAACTACTAGTAAGGGTCTAACAAAGATCACATGCTTCTGAGGGAACAGGACAAAGGGCAAAGCAGAACTACTGATAAGGGTCCAACAAAGATCACAAGGCAAAGGGCAAAAGCAGAACTACTGATAAGGGTCTATGTTCAGCGGTACATGTATTGTCTTTATAAACATCTTAAATAACAGAAAACAGTGTTCGAGAGCAGAGAACCGGTCTGACCACAAATTTACTGGGGCAGTTTTTCCTCACCCTAGCAAGCCTGAGGGTACTGCAGGAGACCAGGGCCTATCTGAATCCTTATCTCAACTGCATAAGACAGACATTCCCAGAGCGGCCATTTATAGACCTCCCCCCAGGAATGCATTCCTTTCCCAGGGTATTAATATTCCTTGCTAGGAAAATAATTTAGCAATATCTCTCCTACTTGCACGCCTGTTTATAGACTCTATGCAAGAAGAAAAATATGGCTCTTTTTGCCCAACCCCACAGGCAGTCAGACCTTACGGTTGTCTTCCCTTGTTCCCTAAAAATTGCTGTTATTCTGTTCTTTTTCAAGGTGCACTGATTTCATATTGTTCAAACACACGTTTTACAATCAATTCGTACGTTGACATAATTATCACAGTGGTCCTGAGGTGACGTACATCCTCAGCTTATGAAGATAACAGGATTAAGAGATTAAAGTAAAGACAGGCATAAGAAATTATAAAAGTATTATTTGGGAACTGATAAATGTCCATGAAATCTTCACAAGTTATCTTCCTCTGCCGCAGCTCCAGCCAGTCCCTCCGTTCAGGGTCCCTGCCTTCCTGTAACATTTAATTATGCAAATGCAGCTTCTACCTGGCTGCCATGATACCTGCACACATGGTTTTACCTAGAGGCTGCCATGACACAGGAACACATGGTGACAAGGAAAAGAGAGCAGGAACTGCCATATTGAATGTAACCTGGCTCCCAAGTGCAGCTGCCAGCATTTACTTATAAAAGCTCCTGGCCAGGCCGGGCACAGTAGCTCACACCTATAATCCAAGCACTTTGGGAAGCCGAGGCAGGTGGATCACCTCAGTTCTGGAATTGAAGACTAGCCTGACCAACATGGTAAAACACCTTCTCTACTAAAAATACAAAATTAGCTGGGTGTGGTGGTGCATGCCTGTAATCCCAGCTACTTGGGAGGCTGAGGTAGGAGAATCTCTTGAACCCATGAAGCTGAGGTTGCAGTGAGCCGAGATCCCGCCATTGCACTCCAGCCTGGGCAACAAGAGAGAAACTATATCAAAAAAAAAAAAAAAAAAAGCTCCTGGACTGGTGCAGTGGCTCATGCCTGTAATCCCCAGCACTACGGGAGGACAAGGCAGGAGGATCTCCTGAGGTCAGGAGTTCAAGACCAGTGTGGCCAACATGGCGAAATCCTGTCTCTACTAAAATACAAAAATTAGCCAGGCATGGCAGCAGGCACCTGTAATGCCAGCTACTCAGGAGGCTGAGGCAGGAGAATCACTTGAACCCGGGAGGCAGAGGTTGTAATGAGCCAAGATCGTGCCACTGCACTCGCCTTGGCAACAGAGCGAGACTCCATCTCAAAAAAAAAAATTAGCTGGGCGTAATTAGCTGGGCGCAGTGTTGTGCACCTGTAGTCCCAGCTACTTGGGAGGCTGAGGCAGGAGAATCACTTGAACCCAGAAGGCGGAGGTTGCAGTGAGCCAAGATCTCACCACTGCACTCCAGCCTGGCTACAGAATAAGACTCCATCTCAAAAAATTTTAAAAAATTTTAAAAATAAAATAAATAAATAAAAGCTCCTAGTTTGCATATCTTTCAGGCTGCTTTCTGTTAGAGAAGAAATGGTTTGGGGTTGTTTTTTATGAAAGGAAAATTCCACTGAGAAATTATTTATTAATTTCTTTTTTTTTTTTTTGAGACAGAGTCTCACTCTGTCATCCAGGCTGGAGTGCAGTGGCACGATCTCGGCTGACTGCAACCTCTGCCTCCCAGGTTCAAATGATCCTCTTGCCTCAGCCTCCCGAGTAGCTGGGACTACAGGCACCCACCACCACACCCAGCTAATTTTGTTTTTTGTATTATTAGTAGAGATGGGGTTTCACCATATTAGCCAGCTGGTCTTGAACTCCTGACCTTGTGATCCACCCACCTCAGCCTCTCAAAGCACTGGGATTACAGGCATGAGCCACCACGCCTGGCCATTATTTATTAATTTATTAATTTATTATTAATGTATTATAATTGTTTGTTTATTAATCATTGATAATCTCCCATACTCCTGTATTACTAACATCACAAAAGCAAGACAAAGGTAACTTACATGCCCCATAATGGAAATACAGTGAACTCTTGAACAACAGGCATTTGAACTGCAGGGGTTCACTTATATGCAAATTTTCGTTTCCCTCTGCCATCCCCAAGACAGCAAGACAATTCCCTTCTTTTCTTCCTCCTCAGTCTACTCAAGGTGAAGACAACAAGGATGAAGACCTTTATGATGATACACTTAAACTTACTGAGCAGTAAATATATTTTCTCTTCCTTATGATTTTCTTAATGACATTTTATTTTCCCCAGGCTACTTTTTTGTAAGAATATAGTACATAATATATATAACATACAACATACATGTTTATTGACAGTTTATATTATCAGTAAGGCTTCCTGTCAACAGTAGGCCATGAGTAGTTAAGTTTTGGGGGCTTCAAAAGTTATATGTAGGCAGGGCATGGTGGCTCACACCGATAATCCCAGCATTTTGGGAGACCAAGGTGGGTGAATCACTTGAGATCAGGAGTTCGAGACCAGCCTGGGTAATGAAACCCTGTCTCTACTTAAAAAAAAATACAAAAATTAGCCGGGTGTGGTGGTGCATGCCTATAATTCCAGCTACTGGGGAGGCTGAGGCAGAAGAATTACTTGAACTTGGGAGGCAGAGGTTGTTGTGAGCCAAGATTGTGCCGTTGCACTCCTACCTAGGTGACAGAGTAAGACTCCATCTCAAAAAAAAAAAAGTTGGCTGGGCATGGTGGCTCATGCCTGTAATCCCAGCACTTTGGGAGGCTGAAGTGGGCAGATCACCTGAGGTAAGGAGATCAAGACCAGCCTGGCCAACATGGTGAAACCCTGTCTCTACTAAAAATGCAAAAAATTAGCTGGGCGTGGTGGCACGCATCTGTAATCCCAGCCACTCGGGAGGCTGAGGCAGGAGAATCGCTTGAAACCAGGAGATGGAGGTTGCAGTGAGCCAAGATCATGCCATTGCACTTCAGCTTGGGCAACAAGAGCAAAACTCCATCTCAGAAAAAAAAAGAAAAAAGAAAAGTTATATGTAGATTTTTGAATGCATGAGGATTTGGTGCCCCTGACCCCCGTCCACCTTGGGCAGTTGTGCTATTAATTATTAAACACTAAAACTGGCCAGGCGCAGTGGTTCATGCCTGTAATCCCAGCACTTTGGAGGGCCAAGGCTGGTGGATCACTTGAGGTCAGGAGTTCGAGACCATCCTGGCCAAAATGGTGAAACCCCATCTCTAGTAAAAATACAAAAATTAGCCAGATGTGGTTGTGCACGTCTGTAATCCCAGCTACTCGGGAGGCTGAGGCAGAGAATCACTTGAACCCAAGAGACAGAGGCTGCAGTGAGCCAAGATCATGCCACTGCACTCCAACCTGGGCAACAGAGCAAGACTCCATCTCAAAAAAGAAAAAAGAAAAAACATAAATAAATAAACACTAAAGCTTTGGCAGTTTCTGCATAAAATTGTCAAATTTTTTAGTGTATTTTTGTGAAGTCCTATTTTTTTCTTGCCATTTATTTTGTAGTAGTTGCTGTTTGGTAAAAGTTGCTGTGTAATTTTTTTATTAGAAGAACAGTAAATCTTTCGATTATAGTTAGTCTTGGTGAAGTACGATATTTATAAAGTTTAGGGTTCTTTAATTCTCAGCACAAAGTGACTGTTGCGGTAACCCCAAATAGTGTGTTGGCAATATTTTTCAAATGGCTAAAAACACCTAAAAATTGTTTATTCAGAAATATCTGTCATTGCTGTTGCCAAAACTCAGAATAGAACTTAGACTTATGTCTAAGTCCCTGAGATCATATGCTAAAATCAATGAAAAGCAACCATTGACACTTTCTTGTGTTACAACTTTTACAGTACACAAAATAACAGAATAGCTTACTGTAATGAGGCATTTGTTAGAGTTTTGCATGAGATTCTAGTACTTCATGGTTGGGTACGGTGGCTCACACCTGTAATCCCAGCACTTTGGGAGGCCAAGGCGGGTGGATCACTTAAGGTCAGGAGTTCAAGACCAGCCTGGCCAACATGGGGAAACCCCACCTCCATTAAAAATACAAAAATTAGTTGGGCATGATGGTGCATGCCTGTAATCCCAGCTACTTTGGGGGCTGAGGCAGGAGAATCACTTGAACCCAGGAGGCAGAAGTTGCAGTGAGCCAGTCACGCCACTGCACTCCAGCCTGAGTGACAGAGCAAAACCCTGTCTCAAAAAATGAAGAAAAAAAAGAGAGATTCTGATACTTCAGGAGGCCCCTACATGGTTCATCTACAATGGTTACTGTATTAGTTCATTTTCACACTGCTGATAAAGACATACCCGAAACTGGGAACAAAAAGAGATTTAATTGGATTTACAGTTCCATATGGCTGGGGAGGCCTTAGAATCATCGTGGGAGGCGAAAGGCACTTCTTACATGGTGGTGGCAAGAGAAAAATGAGGAAGAAGCAAAAGCAGAAACCCCTGATAAACCCGTCAAGTCTCATTAGACTTACTCACTATCACGAGAATAGCATGGGAAAGATCGGCCCCCATGATTCAGTTACCTCCCCCTGGGTCCCTCCCACAACATAAGGGAATTCTGGGAGATACAATTCAAGTTGAGATTTGGGTGGGGACACAGCCAAACCACATCAGTTACCATAAAAAAATTTGGCAGGATTTTAAAACTCAATTACTCCATCTTTCCATTTAGCTACTGGTTGGAAAAGAAAGAGATAAGGAAAAGAGACCATATTAAGTCCATGCCAGTTGCTTGGCTAGAAATATGATAAATGACTTGTAGTAGACTTGAGTTTTTCAGAAATACTATTTTACTTAAACTGTTTCTTATCTAAATTCTTACAGAGTAACAAATTTATCATTGATTATAGAAGACAGGGATAATAACTCTTAACTTTTGCCACTCAAAAATGCAGTGTCAGGAGTGCTAAGCCTAGAGGCCAATATTGATGACCTGGAAGGCGATCCAAGTGATTGTCACCACAAAGTGCCTTTATACAACAAAAACTTGAAAAGTCAAAAAACATGAATTTTAAGTTTCCCATATCACCAGTCTTGGTGTTTATATTGCAAATTTATAATAATATTAAGAAATAATTTGTCCCGTTTGCAAATTACATGGGAGACATAAAGGAGTAAAATCCTTCTGTAATAAAATGAGTTCACCACTGTGGTTACCCATCTACAGAGCCTCTTTGATGAGGCCAATGGGTTGTGCTGCAGGATTTACCCTCAAATCCCCCGCACACACTGGGTTGTGACCAGATCAGCCAAAACCTGCATGTAGGATGTTTTCAAGCCTCATACATGGCAAATGGAAATGATATGGTTGACTGCATTTGTAGGAGAGTCGTAACTGAGGCAGGGGTTGGCCTCCTTTAAGTAATGGAACGATTTCAAAGGCAGGTCTCCCTGACCAAAAATATCTATGAGTAAAGGTGCCTGAAATCCTGCTATGAAAAAATTTAAAAATTAAAACAAATAGGCCAGGCGCAGTGGCTCATGCTTGTAGTCTTAGCACTTCGGGAGGCTGAGGTGGGTGGATCGCTTGAGCTCAGGAGTTTGAGACTAGCCTGGGAAACATGGAGAAACCCCATCTCTACAAAAAATACAAAAATTAGCCAAGAATAGCAGCACACACCTGCGGTTCCATCTATTCAGGAGGCTGAGGTAGGAGGATCACTTGAGCCTGGGAGGCAAAAGTTGCAGTGAGCTGAGAATGTGCCATTGCACTCCAGCCTGGGTGACAGAAAGAGCCTCTGTCTCGAAAATAAATAAATAAATAAAAATAAAAATAAATAAATGTGACAGTTTAGAGATTTAAGAATAATCAGAAGGCATACTAAACAAGTTGTAAATCTTCTTTTGTCCCAATTCAAGTTAACTACTATAAGGAAAAAAATGCTTATAGAGAAATCAAGGAAACATGAATATTCACTAGATATTTGATGATATTAAGACCTTTTTTAGGTTGATCCTGGTATTGTGGTTATATTTTAAATGAGTAGTCATTGCCTTTTAGAGATTCATAGTGAAATATTTACAGATAAAATTATATGAGGCCTGGGATTTGGTTCAAAGTAGCCTGGAGTGAGGACTGAATATTTATTTATGTATTTATTTATTTATTTATAATAGCGATGGGGGGTCTCACTATGTTGCCCAGGCTGGTTTTGAACTCCTGGCCTCAAGTGATCATTCCACCTCAGGATCCCAAAGTGCTGGGATTACAGGTGTGAGCCACTGCACCCAGCCTAAGGGCTATATTTTAGATGAGAGAGTAGAAGCAGCAGGTAGGCCAAAGGTTGATCCTCATTGAGGCTGGGCAATGAGTGCATGGAGGGGTTCTTTTGCTAGTCAGTCTCTACTTCTGTTTATGTTTGAAATCTTCCATATAAAGCATTTTTAAAGAAAGAAAGAGTGTACACACTTTTTGAGAGAGAGAGATTGAAAGATTAAGAAAATACAAAACCAGGCTGGGCACAGTGGCTCATGCCTGTAATCCCAGCACTTTGGGAGGCCGAGGTGGGTGGATCACGAAGTCAGGAGATCAAGACCAGCCTGGCTAACATGGTGAAACCCCATCTCTACTAAAAATACAAAAAATTAGCCGGGTGTGGTGGCATGCGCCTGCAGTCCCAGCTACTTGGGAGGCTGAGGCAGGAGACTCACTTGAACCTGGGAGGCAGAGGTTGCAGTGAGCCGAGATCGTATCACTGCACTCCAACCTGGGTGACAGAATGAAACTCCGTCTCAAAAAAAAAAAAAAAAGAAAAGAAAATACAAAGCTAATTGGAAGTTCTGGGTGTGGCTTTGTGACTGGCTTCATTATCAAGTGATGTGCCTGAGTCATTTGCTAGGAACCTTCTCATTTCAGTATCTTTAGTCCTTTTAACTTGGGCTGTTCATATTTCCCAGAATACATTCTTCCTATTGACAGATGTAGGCGGTAAAGCCCTGGTGGCCGGCTTTCTAGGAACTGAGTTGTGTGGGGTGAGGGCCTCAGCAATTCCATTTGAACAATTCTCCTGAGCTTGTTAGGGAGCTCCCATCTTCACCTGTACCTGGTGTCTCCCAATCTGGAAACCCTGAATTTTGCTTCCTCTGGAAAATAAACCTCCAATCCTCTGTTTGGAGAAGGAAGCAACAGTCATCCAAGTCATCCAGCAGTCCTGGGTGAGGGAAGGAACCTGGGGGCTGTCAACAAATCCTCCCTATATTAATAGCTGCTTAACCCTATTTCTGAAGACTCCAGCTACCACAAATTCCTGAGCCTTTTCAAGATTCTGTGGTGAAAATAAAGTTGGTTCTCAGCTGTTTTCATTGACAGCTTAGGATTCTGTTTCCTTGAGCCTGTTGAAAGGTTTGCCACTCACTCATTTATGTTCTCCTCTCTTGCTCTCCTGGTTTCATGAGTCCACAGAAAATACACACATACACACACAAACACACACACATGACGCTTTTAGCTAGGTTCTGGAAGACAGCAAAAATAAAATATAATGCTCAATATAACATCTTCACTTGTAAATCCCCACTTTAGCCCTCACCCCCTTTTTATTCTTTAATTTAAAAATATCACAGAAGAGTGCATAAAATACAAGTATAGCTTAATGAGAGGTTATAAAACAAAGGCTCATATGACCACTCCTTAGGCCATGAAACAGAACATTCCAGCACTCAAGGAGCCTTGATGAGCCCCACTCTTACCTCAGGCTCCATCGCCAACTGGGTAACCACCATACTGACTTTTAAATGCTTTTCATTTATTTTTCACTTTCTCTGCAGTAGTTATGCTATAACATAGAATTGAGCTTTGCCTGCTTTTGGACTTCATTTGACAGGAAATATGCTGTTGTATTCTTATGTGTCTTGTCTCTTTCCTTGAACAGGACATTTGTGAGGTGTATCCATGTTGCATGTTCTTTGCAGCCTGGTATCCCATTATTAATGCACAGTAGTTTTGCTTTTCCATCTTATTTTTGATGGGCATAGGATTGTGTATAGTTTGGGTCTTGTCTTAGTTCAGGCTACTATAACAAAATACCATAGACTGGATTGCTTCAACAACAGACATTTATTTCTCACAGTTCTGGAGGCTGGGGAGTCCAAGATCAAGGTACCACTCAGACTCCTTCAATCCATAACAGGTCTATTATAAGTAATCATCCTGTGCACATATATACAAATTTCTCTAGCTATATACATAAGAGCAAAACTACCATGTAATAAGCTATGTGAATCTCCAACTTACCCAAAAACTCCCAGTTTTCCCAAGTAGGCCACGTCCTTGCACAATTGAAGGGGGTTGCTATGACCCCATGTGTTCTATGCAAATGGAAACCTCTCAAATGTAAGGTGAATTGGCAACTTTTTTGGGGGGAGCGGGGATGGGATGGGGTCTGTTACCCAGGCTGGAGTGCAATGGCGTGGTGGTAGTTCACCACCATCTTGAATTCCTGGGCTCAGGGAATTCTCCAATCTCAGCCCCCAGCTACACATGTAGCTGGGACCACATGTGTGCGCCACCGTGCCCAGCTAATTTTTTGTAGAGATAGGGTCTCGTCATCTTGTCAAGGCTTGTCTCTAACTCCTGGGCTCAAGCAATCCTCCCAAAGTGCTAGGATTACAGGAGTAAGCCACCACGCCTGGCCTGAATTGGCAACTTTTTGGCTGTGTTGATTTGTTATCCCACGGGCAGTTTTTTGTTTGTTTGTTTTTGAGACGGAGTCTCGCTCTGTCGCCCAGGCTGGAGTGCAGTGGCGCGATCTCGGCTCACTGCAAGCTCCGCCTCCTGGGTTCACGCCATTCTCCTGCCTCAGCCTCCCAAGGAGCTGGGACTACAGGCGCCCGCCACTATGCCTGGCTAATTTTTTGTATTTTTTTAGTAGAGACGGGGTTACACCGTGTTAGCCAGGATGGTCTCGATTTCCTGACCTCGTGATCTGCCCGCCTCGGCCTCCCAAAGTGCTGGGATTACAAGCGTGAGTCACTGCGCCCCCATGGGCAGTTTTTGAGAATTGTCCCCATTGTTTCATATTTTGCTACTCTTGGAATTTTCAGACTTTTTAATTTTGGTGAATCTGATGGGCATATAGTTGTGTTACCTTGTGGTTTTTAGTCACACTTCTGTGGTTACAAGTAAGGTTAAGCACATTTTCATATGTTTCTTGGCCTTTTGAATTATTTTTCTCCCCTTTTTAACATTGTTTTGAGATTATGTCTTAGTTTCTGTAATCTAAACTGTGTAGATAAGATCTTACATATTTAATACAGCATATTACCCCAGTAAAGATCAGAGAAAAAAGTTTACTGTTTCTAAGCCTATGTTAAATTCTGAATAATGCCAGGTTAACATAGCATAGGTGAATTCTTTTTCCAAAGTTGACAGCACAACTAAAACTAACATTTTTATATTTACCTATAAAAATACAACCAACCTCATTCTTTAACCTACAGAAATCTGATTTCCTCATCAACTTTCTTCTTAATGTGTTTTCTAAAAAGTTTGCACTAATTTGCTGTAATCAAATTGTCTCTCATACTGTTCATTCTTTTTGACTGCTCCATAGCATTTGACCATTTATGTCTCCTCTCTTCTTTAAATAAGCTCTCTTTTCTCTTAGTACCCGTGATTTTTTCTCTTAGTACCCGTGATTTTTTCTCTTAGTACCCATGATTTTTTCTGTTAGTTTTCCTCCTGATTCCCTGGAGAAACATTCTTTGTCTTTTTCTATGGTTCTGCTCTCTGACATCCAATGAATGTTGGTGTTTTCCAGTTCTCCATCTTTAGATCCTGTAATAGATAACATTTAGGGTATTTTCCTGGCCTGCAGGCCAACTCTTAATCCCTCTTCCTGGGAATATCCTTCTCCTTCTCCCATATCCACGAGAATGAGCCTTTAACAGGTTATGTTGGCACTGCCTTCCTGGCCTTAGCAGATTGACCCAGGGTGGACAACTGACCAAAGATGGGCCAGTCAGATTCTTGCTCCTTAAAATTAGGAACTACGACCCAACATCTTGTTAAGCTCTTTGGGTGGAACTATGGCATGAGAAGCTAGGAGCCAGAGGCAGCCTCATTCTATCAAGTTAGGCTAAGAAGTGAAGGAAGCTGTCAGGGAGAGAACAGAACAATGCATACAAGTGTAGAGAAGCAGAGACAGGAGACAGTGAGAATCCCTGGCACAACGTTTCAGTTGCCCGGCCTTTTAATGGCCCATGACATTCCCACCCTTGGCCTCCAAAAGACAGTCACAGCTCCATCCTCATTTCAAGTTTCCCATTGTGTTCAGGCTCACTCAACATGGGACTGCTACTTGCAAATTTAAGTCCCAACTGACCTCTTCTCTTCTACTCACTATCCCTGGATGATTTCATTCACATGAGAGCTTATTCCAGAACCCTAACTTACCCAGTTAAAGGACACCATTGCTTTGTATTTCTTGAGAAGAGAGCTCAACAGCTCAAGAAAAATCCCAGCTAATGCACCTGGTTGGACCTTGCCTTATCTCATCTCGGACTTGAGGCTTTTCTGCCGTGGCTTTCTGACCAAGAAATCATGAGTTCTGTCTTTCCTCTTTGGCCCTGCCATCTTCCCCCAGCTTGGTAAGCTTAGTTTAGTTCCCCAAACTGATGCCTCTGATCCAGAATTTTCTCTTAGCCTGGCTAGTTTGACTCAGCACCTGCCTCAGCAAGAAGAGCCATGTTCTCAGCTATGGCCCTCACTGGCTGTTCACTCATATTGGCACCTGTCAGCACATGTTCTCAGAACCCAGTTCCTTAACACTTCTTAGGACAAAGCCCACTCCAGAAATAGCAGACTCATGGCAAGGCTGCCATTTCCTTCTATTACAGTGACAGAAATATTAATGAATTGATCATATCACCATTTCTTGCTGATGCTGGACAGGACAACATCTCAGAATCTTTCAGCACCAACAAAGTATCAATCAGAGTTGAGTCCTGTTAGTGTGAGAGAACAATGACATTATTGGAAAGGAAGAGACATTTAGAGAACTATTGGGGGAAATGTGTTGAATTCCACTTTTAGCATGTAGACTTGAAAAAGCACAATTTTCTTTTTTCTTTTTTTGAGAGAGCATCTTGCTCTGCTGTCCAGGCTAGCATGCAGTGGCACAACCATGGCTCACTGCAGCCTTGACCTCCTGGGCTCAAGTGATCCTTCCACCTCAGACTCTGAGTAGCTGGGACTACAGGTGCGTGCCACCACACTTGGCTAATTTTTTGTATTTTTTGTACAGACAGGGTTTTGCCATGTTGCCCAGCCTGAATTCCTTGGCACAAGCAATCCACCCACCCACCCACCTCAGCCTCCTAAAGAACTGGGATTATAGGCATGAGCCACCATGCCCAGCTGAGAAGGAATAATTTTCAAATGTAGCAGTCTCATAGGCAGCTGGAACACCAGGACTGAAAAGGAATGGGGCTGAGGGGTCGACACCTTCCTTCCCACATTGAGATCTTTCTGCAGACCAGGCTTGCTTCTTTCAGCTGTTGAAGACAGCTTCTTTCAGTTGGTCAATGACCTCTGTGTCTCTGCAGGAACTATTTGCTCTTTGCATAATGTAGTGGTTAAAAACTCAAGTATTAGAGCCAGGCTTCCTGGGTTTGAATCCCAACTCTAACATTTACCAAATGTAGGATTTCAGGTGATTTACTTAGCACCCCACCTGCCTTGTACCATGATTTCTTCATTTGCAAACTGGGATAGTAATTATCTGTATCTCATTGGGTTATTGTGAGGATTCAATGAGTTCATATGTGTAAAGGCTTAGAACAGTTCTCAGTAAATGTCAGTCACCATTATTATCTCATAAGGAGATTATAATATAAGCTTCTTGAAGACCCAGTTGGTGTTCTTCATCTTTTCCTGGCACAGAGATGGTGCTGAATAATAATGAACAGCACAGGCTTTGCAGTCCCAGAGGTCAAATCTCAAATCAGTATTCTACTCAGTAGCTGGGTGAGAATAAGTGTCCTCCTTGTAAAACTGAGATAATAGGCTGGGCATGGTGGCTCACGCCTGTAATCCCAGCACTTTAGCAGGCTGAGGCAGTTGGATCACGAGGTCAGGAGTTCGAGACCAGCCTGGTCAACATGGTGAAACCCTGTCTGTACTAAAAATACAAAAAATTAGCCGGGCGTGGTGACCGGCACCTGTAGTCCCAGCTACTCAGGAGGCTGAGATAGAAAAATCGTTTGAACCCGGGAGGCAGAGGTTGCAGTGAGCCAAGCTCGAGCCACTGCACTCCAACCTGGGCGACAGAGCTAGGCTTCGTCTAAAAACAAACAAAAAAAACACCTGAGATAATAATACCTACTTTGTAGAATTGCTGTATTGAATGAGATAATGTATGTAAATCTCCAGGGACACAGCAAACCTTAAAAAATGCAAACTCTTATTATCCGGGCTAGGTATAGTGTTGTGGGTGTGGAACCAGACTGCTTGGTTTTGAATTCCCGTTCTGCTATACAGTTGCTCTGGGATCTTGGCAAGTTACTTAAGTTCCTTGGACCTCTGTTTTTCTCTCTGTAAAGTGGGAATAATGGTAATAGGGTTGTGGTGTGGCTCAAATAAGAAAATGCATATATTGGCCCAGAGCTTGAGCCAATGCCAGCTTCTTATGATTTGCTTTATAAATCGATGAAGTGTTGAGAAGGTGTTTTAAAATGCACTTGCTAAAGAACAAAATCCATGAGCTCCATAACTGCAAAGACCCATCCTGAAGTCAGATTCTTATTGAGCCAAACCTCGAAAGCAAAGATAGCTCTGAAAGGCAGTAGCCAGGGAACTAAGCCCCTTCTCTAGGTAAGACGTGGGGACAATTAGCACCTAGAATCATAGGCTGCTAGAGCCAGAAGGATCTTTGTGGCTAGTTCATTGTGGGTTGTTTCCTCCTGAGTAATTGAAACCCAGGGAGGTCAGGGGACCCCACCCTAGTTGTGGACTGAGCCAGGACCAAGATTCAGGTCAGTTTAGTGGTTTCGTCACTGCAGCACGATGCTTCCCCATTCCGCAGCCCCCACCTGTGAAAATGAAGCTTGTAGATGCTGCCTATCGCCTGTTCCAAGGCGCCAGGCAGCCGCGAACTTCAAACTCCCCCTGGGCTAAAAGTTCAGCCAGAGCAGTAGATTCAAGCAAGAATGGTGTGGGATCCACTCTTGGCCTGTAGAGGGCGCTCTGAGCACAGGCCAGGGAGCTCGAGCCTGGGACGCGCCACGGCTACGTGGCCTCCAGGGCGAGTGAGGATGGCTGGCTGATTGCTTTTCGCGGGGCATGGGGAAAAGCCTTCAGCCCTTACGCCATCCAGCAGGTGAATGCACTTATGTCCAACAGTAGGTATCACACTTTTTGGTCTCGTGACTCTTTTATACTCTTATTATTGAGGATCCCAAAGAGCTATTGTTTATATGGGTTATATAGATATTTACCATATTAGAAATTAATAATGAGAAATGTTTAAAACATATACCCATTTAAAAATAGCAACAATAAATAATTAAATATTAGCATAAATAGTATTTTTGCAAAAAAAAAAATTTCCAAAACCCCCCAAAAATGCATTTTTTACAAATCCCTTTAATGTGTGTCTTAATAGAAAAGACCTAAGCCAGGGGCGGTGGCTCACGCCTGTAATCCGAGCACTTTCGGAGGCCAAGGCAGGTGGATCACGAGGTCAGGAGTTCGAGATCAGCCTGACCAATATGGTGAAACCCCGTCTTTACTAAAAATACAAAAATTGGCGTGGCGGCACGTGCCTGTAATCCCAGCTACTCAGAAGGCTGAGGCAGGAGAATCGCTTGAACCCGGGAGGCGGAGCTTGCAGTGAGCCGAGATGGCACCACAGCACTCCAGCCTGGGCGACAGAGTGAGACTCCATCTCAAAAAAAAGAAAAAAAGAAAGAAAGAAAAGACCTGAATTTTCCTTTTGCAGTGAGTCCCTATCAATTTCACAAGTCAGGTAACCTCTGAAAAACTCCACTATGTACTCTGAGAGAGTAAGAGTAAAAAATAGTTAAATCTTGAGAATTCCCTGAAAGTATCTCAAGGACACCACTCCGGGACATACTTGAAGAACTGCTGTGTACGAGAACGTCTATCTAGGCTAGGCGTGATGCCTCACACCTCTAATCCCAGCACTTTGGTAGACCTTGGCAGGAGGATCCCTTAAGCCTGGGAAATTGAGGCTGCAGTGAGCCATGATCATACCACTGCACTTCAGCCTGGGAGTCAGAGTGAGACTCTCTCAGCAACAACAAAAAACCTTTCAGCCAGGGATGGTGGCTTACCCCTGTAATCCCAGCACTTTGGGAGGCTGAGGCAGGCGGATCACTGGAGATCAGGAGTTCAAGACCAGCCTGGCCAACATGGTGAAACCCTGTCTCTACTAAAAATACAAAAATTAGCTGGGCTTGGTGGCAGGCGCCTGTAATCCCAGCTACCCAGGAGGATGAGGCAGGAGAATTGCTTGAATCTGGGAGGCAGAGGTTGCAGTAAGCCAAGATCGCACCACTGCACTCCAGCCTAGGCAACAGAGCAAGACTCTGTCTCAAAAAAATAAAAATAAAAATAAATAACTTTTATCTTAGTGTGATTTATAGAAGGGAGACTCTCCCCCGCTCCCTTCTCACTGCCACCAGCCTGCTTCAGACTTGGATTACATCGGTCAGACTTCAGAAAAAGCCTCAGAACTGGTTTCCTTGCCCCTGTCATCTCACCACCTCAATTTGCGAAGATACTATAATTTTTATAAAATACTGCATGATTAAGTTACTGTCCTCCTCAAAACCCTCAAATGATTCTTCAGTGCCTGGTCAATGAGGCTGACATGCCTGAAGGTCAGGCTCCATGATCTGATTGTAGCCCAAACTTCCAGGCTTCATTCACACTCAGGCCCATACGGGGGCCTCATGGGCCTGATGGGTTTGGTTCCACTTGTCCCTTCACTCGCAACACCTTCTGTCCCATCTCCTCCCATTCTCCTTTTGCTTTCAGACTCATGCCCCTTGCTGGAGATTTTTTATTTTATTTTATTTTATTTTATTTTATTGCCAGAGTCTTGCTCTTTTGCCCAGGCTGGAGTGCAGTGGCATGATCTTGGCTCACCGCAACCTCCACCCCCCAGGTGCAAGCGATTCTTCTGTCTCAGCCTCCCGCATAGCTAGGATTGCAGGTGTGCACCACCACACCTGGCTAATTTTTGTATTTTTAGTAGAGACAGGGTTTAACCATGTTGGCCAGGCTGTTCTCGAACTCCTGACCTCAAATGATCCACCCACCTCGGCCTCCCAAAGTGTTGGGATTACAAGCATGAGCCACAGCGCCCAGCCTGGAGATCTTTTACACGATTCTCAAACGGGGTTTGCCCTCCTACACAAAACCTGGTGTTCTGATGTGGTGCTTTTCATCCAGCTGTTGCCAGATAGGTCCCCAAAAAAGTTGCTTTGTCAGTTTCTTATTCCCACTGTAACAAAATGCCACAAACTTAATGGCTTTACATCACAAATTCATCTTATCGTTCTGGAGGTCAGAAGATGGATATGGTTCTTGGGGGCCACAGTCAAGCTGTTGGCAGAGCTATATTTCATATGGAAGCTCTAGGGGAGAATCAATTTCCTTGTCTCTTCTGGCTTCTAGAGTCCTCCTGCATTTCTTAGCATATGGCCCCTTCCTCCATCTGCAAAGTGCATCACTCCAACCTCTGCTTCCCTTCCATCCTCACCTCTCCCTCTTTCTCTGACTCAGCTGCCTTCCTCTTATAAGGACCCCTGTGATTACACTGGACCCACCTTACTAATCCAGGGTAATCTCCCCATCTCAAGGTCCTCAACTTAATTACATCTTCAAAGTCCATTTGCTATGTATTATAACATATCAGAGGCTCCAGGAATTAGGATGTGGAACTGGGTGGTGGACAGAGTGGAGGGACATTATTCAGTCTAACACAGTCATTAATGCCAAAAGATGAAAGTCAAAATCCACCCACCATGAGCTGTACAAGTTTAGCAGTCAGACATATGTCCCTACGTGGAGATAATATTCATCCAATTGCTTTGAAGATTAAATGAGATAATCTACATGAAGCATGATGACAGCTGCACAGTGATCACTTGCCAAGTGCCTGTGACTATTATTATTAGCCATTATTATGGCATTTACCACCAGGTGACTTAGGGTCCTCTTCACAACACCCATCATACTTCATAACTAGATATTTATTTTGGGTGATTGTTTAGTACTTGATGATTTTTTAATTGATTCTAAAGTACGTAAACATTACCTTAATGCATTCATGGGTAAAAAAATGAAGAAGACACCTGGGCGCGGTGGTTCACGCCTGTAATCCCAGCACTTTGGGAGGCCGAAGTGGGTAGATCGTGAGGTCAGGAAATCGAGACCATCCTGGCTAACACAGTGAAACCCCGTCTCTACTAAAAATACAAAAAAATTAGCCGGGCGTGGCAGCATGCCCCCTGTAGTCCCAGCTACTCGGGAGGCTGAGGCAGGAGAATGGCATGAGCCTGGGAGGCAGAGCTTGCAGTGAGCTGAGATGGCGCCACTGCACTCCAGCCTGGGCGACAGAGCGAGACTCCATCTCAAAAAAAAAAAAAAAAAATGAAGAAGACAAATTCCTGTTCTCAAGATTAAGGCCATGTGGATGAAATATATATGCTTTTATTAGGAACCAAGATAAAACTCTTTGTAAGGAGCACAGAAGAACGGTTTCTATCTCTTAAAAAGGATGGAAAAAGATGCTGTTAAAAAATAAATTCTTCTTACAAAAAAATTAGTTTGTTTAACGTATTTCTCTCATATTAGATAATGAGCTCAATATGGGCAAGGACTGTTTTACATACCATCAAATTCCCAGAACCTAGTCCAATAGCTCATACATAGTTAACACTCAATACATATTTGTGAAATTAATGAATTAAATCTAACTTTAGGCCAGGCGAGGTGGCTTATGCCTGTAATCCCAGCACTTTGGGAGGCCAAGGCGGGCAGATCACTTGAGGTCAGAAGCTCAAGGCCAGCCTGGCCAACATGGTGAAACCCCATCTCTACTAAAAATACAAAAATTAGCCAGGCATGGTGGCGCATGCCTGTAGTCCCAGCTACTTAGGAGGCTGAGGCAAGAGAATCGCTTGCACCTGGGAGATGGAGATTGCGATTGCAGTGAGCCGAGATTATGCCACTGCACTCCAGCCTTGGCGACAGAGTGAGACTCTGTCTCAAAGAAAAAAAAAAAAGAGTCCTATCTTGCGAAACAGAGCAAGGTCATGGCTCCAGTGGCAGAAGAAAGGACGGTCAGTGGCAGGAAATAGGTGTGAACGGAACAGTCACCAGGGCACCCAGACACCCCCAGGGAAATGGCAGGTGCAGCTTTATTTCCCGCATTATGGAGAGAGGGAAAAAAAGTGTCAGTCTCTTATTAGGGAGAGTAATTACATCCTTTATAACTGTGTACCTAATTAGTTTCTTTCTAACCATTCTCATCATGAACAAACACATTAAATAATTGGAGAGAAGAGGAGATAAGAAAGAGAATTAACATTTGAGAAGAGACTACCATGTGTCAGACAAGCACTGTGCTCGGCATCCTTCTGTATGTTAGCTCTCTAACCCTCACTAAAACAAACACACAAACCAAAGATGATTCAGTAGTTGATATTTTATCAGCTACATCTCCCAGGGCCTCAGAAAGTTTTAAGTCATTACAGAGCTGGCAGGCAGCATTGCTACAATTTGAACCCAGTTTCTACAAAACCCATGGTTGTTTATTGTTGTTGTTGTTTGTTTGTTTGTTTTTTTGAGACGGAGTTTCGCTCTTGCTGCCCAGGCTGGAGTACAATGGTGCGATCTCGGCTCACTGCAACCTCTGCCTCCCAGGTTCAAGCAATTCTCCTGCCTCAGCCTCCCCAAGTAGCTGGGATTACAGGCACGCGCCACCACACCCAGCTAATTTTGTATTTTTAGTAGAGATGGGGTTTCTCCATGTTGGTCAGCCTGATCTCGAACTCCTGACCTCAGGTGACCCACCCGCCTCGGCCTCCCAAAGTGCTGGGATTACAGGCGGGAGCCACCGCGCCCAGCCAAACCCGTGGTTTTTATATTACAGTTTTCCATTATTGAGCAGTTGCTATATGACAGGCACTTGCAAATGATATTCCACAGAATCTTCTCCACTGCCTATGGGAAGTGATTTCATACAACCTTTTGATTTATTTATTTTTTTTTTTTTTGGGACAGTCTGGAGTGCTGTGGTGCAATCTCTGCTCACTGCCAACTCCACCTTCCCAGTTTAAGCGATTCTCCTGCCTCAGGCTCCTGAGTAGGTGGGACTACAGGTGCAGGCCACCATACCTCGCTAATTTTTGTATTTTTAGTAGAGATGGAGTTTCACCATGTTGGCCAGGATTGTCTCAAATGCCTGACCTCAGGTGCTCTGCCCAACTTGGCCTCCCAAAGTGCTGGGATTACAGGCATGAGCCACTGCACCTGGCCCATACAACCATTTTATAGGTGAGGAAGCCAAGGCTCAGAAAGGTTAGTACCTTGTCCAAGTCTATATTTACAAATCTGAAGATTTCACATGGAAATTTTGAAAAAAAATTACAAGATAAGAGAAATAGCTCTAGCTATGTTAAGCTATAAACAATGACAGACATATTGCATGTTTGTAAAATTGGTGGAAAGGCTGGAGGAGTGGGCTCTAGGCTGGGCCCCTAGGGATGGCACCAGAACAACATCCAGAGTGGCTGGCCAAGCTGGTATCCCAACTGCTGACTCCAGGCTCCTTCCACCTTAACCACAATCCAGGATCAGGCAGCTGCCATTGTCAGTGCTGGTTCTGCATTGGCCAGACCTACACTAGCAACACAGGTGACCTGGGTGACTCCACCTTTATTCCCATTTAACTCGACTCTAACTTTGACTCTTCCGCAAATACATCTGGATGATGGGTTCTAATCATACCCAGAAACAGTAAAGGAGGCTGAGAAAGGTGGATTTTACCTTCCTAGCCTCTGCAGTTCAGGAAGGCACCAGGAGGAAGGAGGGAGAGATGCTAAGCAAGTCATTCTACTGTATCTGTCATAGTCTGCATTCCCACGGGCCATCCATCTGCTGGAGCTGAGAAGCCCTCTTCAGAAGAAGCCAAGGATCAAGTCTTCCAACTCTCATTAGCACTTTGTATGTTGTTAATCTGTTACTTCTGTCTGCCAGACAGTATCCCATTGTGTGAATGTCCCACTTTTTAACCTATCCACTCTGCCAGCAATGGAACCCAAACTGCTCTTTGGGCCTCCTGGGAAAAACATATGCTTGGATTCTATGGGATTTTGAGGTTGCATCACCTGACTTCAGTTGCATCCACTGTAGAATGGAGATAATAACAGTAATAAGCAACATGTATGAAGCAGTTACCATTAATTCAGGCTCTCTTTTAAATGCTGTCCGTATACTACTTCATGTAACACACTCCTCATGGAATTATCATGAGGATTAAATTAAGTAAAGTAGTTAGATAATGGTGACTGCCTGATCCTGGATTGTGGTTAAGTTCGTAGGAGTCTGGAGTCAGCAGTTGAGATACCCTTTTGGCTAGCTGATCTGGGTGCTGTTCTGGTGCCATTTGTAGGGGCCCAGCCTAGAGCCCGCTCCTCCAGCATTTCCATTAATTTTTTATAAAAGTGCAATATCCTGTCATCTTTTATAGCTTATATAGCTAGTATTTTTATTTTTATTTTTTAATTCTTTGTTTTGTTTTGTTTTGTTTTTTGTTTTTTTGAGACGGAGTCTCGCTCTGTTGCCCAGGCTGGAGTGCAGTGGCGTGATCTCAGCTCACTGCAACCTCCACCTCCTGGTTCAAGCAATTCTCGTGCCTCAGCCTCCCAAGTGGCTGGGATTACAGGCATGCACCACCACGCCTGGCTGATTTTTGCATTTTTAGTAGAGACAAGGTTACACTATGTTGGCCAGGCTGATTTTGAACTTCTAGCCTCAAGGCATCCACCCTGCCATCCACACCTCAGCCTCCCAAAGTGTTGGGATTACAGGCGTGAGCCACCACACCCAACCTAGAGCTGTTTTTCTTATCTTGTAATTGTTTTCAAAATTTCAATGTGAAATCTTCTGATTCATAAATAACGGACTTGGGCATAGTCGTGGTCAATAAGTAACAGTTATTATCATCAAGCAGCAGATCAAGAGCTAGATACCAGAGCCTGGTCTTGGTCTGACAGCCTGGAATGTTCCCCGAGGCAAGGTGCCTTGGTTTGCCTCTGTGCACTCACCCTATGGCCTGTGCAATTTTGATTCTAGCCCTTAAAACAAAGATAGCACTGATTCATTTATGTTTCTAACGTCCCACAAGGTTAGGATGCCTTTGAGGCTGGGATGGGTCTCATTATTTTCTGTATTATAATCCCAGCACCTAGTACAGTGACTGGCACATGTCAATCAAATATTCAATCTATGCCTGTTGGATGAAGACAGAAGTGTTTAAGGGTGTTTATGACTAGGCCTGAACCTTCTAAGAGAAAGACCTTGGCAGATATAAATTCCACTGGAGTTACAAAGAATATGGACACATTGGCCTCTGAAGGTCAAAAAAGGAATTTTTTTTTTTTTTTTTTTTTTTTGAGACAGAGTCTTGCTCTGTCACCAAGGCTGGAGTGCAATGGACCATCTTGGCTCACTGCAACCTCTGCCTGCCCGGTTCAAGTGATTCTCCTGTCTCAGCTTCCGGAGTAGCTGAGATTACAAGCATGCACCAACACACCCGACTACTTTTGTATTTTTAGTAGAAACGGGGTTTCACCATGTTGGTCAGGCTGGTCTCGAACTCCTAACCTCAGGCGATCCACCCACCTCCGCCTCCCAAAGTGCTGGGATTACAGGTGTGAGCCACCACGCCCTGCAAAAGGGATATTTTTTAATATGCCAGGGAATGTCTTCCCCCTTAGGGGATGAACCGTTGGGAGAAACCAAAACCCAGGGCTGTTTCCTACATGCCTGGCAGAAGCCTTGTTTGGGGGTTGAGGGTGGAACAGAGGGAGGCTAGCACTTTTCACAATGTTGAAGCAGACCTGCTGTTCTCAAAAATGAGCTTTTCTAAAGGGCTTATTCACAGATCAACTGGCTACTTTATTTATTTATTTATTTACTTACTTATTTATTTATTTTAGATGGAGTCTCACTCTATTGCCCAGGCTGGAGTGCAGTGGCACCATCTCGGCTCACTGTAACCTCCTACTCCTGGGTTTGAGCGATTCTTCTGCCTTGGCCTCCCTAGTAGCTGGGACTATGGGCACGTGTCATCATGCCCGGCTGATTTTTGTATTTTTAGCGGAGATAGGATTTCACCATGTGCCAGGTTGGTTGGTCTCAAACTCCTGACCTCAAGTGATCTGCCCACCTCAGCCTCTCAAAGTGCTGGGATTACAGGCGTGAGCCACTGCGCCCGGCAGAAACTGGCTACTTTATATGCTTCAGATCAGCATGCCTCAAGATCTTCAGTCACATTGCCAGGGACTGATGGGTTCAAGGTTAATTACATGATTCTATCCAACCAGGATTTATCGTGCCCACCTTGCGGAAGAGTCAATTAACCCCTCTTGAGCTTCTGCTGCCTGTGAGGCACTCGTGGACAGTTCCATCTACAGTGCTAAGCTTAATCCTTCTTAGCCACCCTGTGGGTGCATGCTGTTGCTACCCACTTTTTCAGATGAGGCAACCGAGGCTGGAAGAGCCTGAGAAACTAGCTCTAGGCCTCTCCCCTGAGTGGTAGAGAAACCAGGCTTTGAACCTAGGGCTGTCTGACTGCAGGGCAGTGTGCAAGTCACAGCAGGAGCTAGCACCTTGACTTTGTCCTTTAATAACACCTCTCACAATTGTAATTCATCAATTGTATCATCATGAGTTTATTGTCTGCCTTCCTGGCCACACTGTCTGCTCTAGAACGACCAGAGCCATGCCTGTGTCGTCCACAGCTATGTCCTCAGCACCAGCAAATAATGGGCCTGGCACAAAATGGAAACCTGCTTTCATTCATTAAAAGAATTTTTAAATGAATGAATGAAATTAACAAACAAAAATGACATAGATATCCTGCTCTGTAGCATGTGATGATGGTCACATTCTCAGCTCCTTGCTAACTCTCACCTGGCTTGTTAAAATAATTTCCTTATTGTCTCCACATTTCTGCTAATTTTACCCTCCTGCATAAGGGAATAAGCTTGATCTTTCCTTCTTTTTTTTATCATTAAATTACACTGGAAGGCTTGATCTTTCTTAAAAAGCACACTTGAGCGTGTGTGGTGATTCAGCACTTTGGGAGGCCAAAGTGGGAGGATCCCTTGAGCCCAGGAGTTCAAGACCAGTCTGGGCAACATAGCAAGACTCCATCTCTACCAACAACAACAAAAAATAGTTGGACACAGTGGCACACACTTGTGTTCCCAGCTAATCGGGAGGCTGAAGTGAGAGGATCACTTGAGCCCAGGACGTCAATGCTGCAGTGAGCCATCATCATGCCACTGCGCTCCAGCCTGTGAGTGACAGAGTGAAACCCTGTCTCAACAGAAAAAGGGGAAGAAAAAGCACACTCATAGCACATTGCAGGCCTCCTGAAAGTTGTTACCAGTGCCCCATTCCCTGCAGGACAGAGTCTGAGCTACTGGGAAGGGCTTCTAAGGCTATGTGCTTCCCATCTGCCTCTGGAACCTTAGTTGGCTGCTCTGAGGCCCAGGCCTTGCCCCCGGCAACCTCAAGCACTTTATAACACCAGCCTTTCTGAGCTACCTCACTGGTTCCCAACCTTGCTTTCTTTACCAGAAATCTCCTCCCCACCTCCTATCAAACCCCAACCCCATGCCTTGCTTTGTGTGCCTGATAGACGTTAGCTCACTCTTTTTCCCCAGATGTGGTAAAATTCACAAAACATGGGACGGGTGCAGTGGCTCACACCTGTAATCCCAGCTCAGGAGTTTGAGACCAGCCTGGGCAACATGGCGAAACCATGTCTCTACCAAAAATACAAAGAAATATAGCCAGGTGTGGTGGCATGTGCCTGTCGTCCCAGCTACTCCAGAGGCTGAGGTGGGAGGATCACTCGAACCCGGGAGGCGGAGGTTGCAGTGAGCTGTGATCGCACCACTGCACTCCAGCCTGGGTGACAGAGTGGGACCTTGTCTCAAATTTAAAAATAGACAAATAAATAAATCGAAAAGACCCAAGGCTTCTTGGAAGAGGTAGGAATCAAACTGGTCATTGAAAGTCATGTGGGCATCATTCAAAGAGTGGATTTGAGGAGGCACAGAGAGGACCAAGAAAGCACATTAGAGGCCCAGAGAATGAGGCTTGAGCAAACCCTGTGGGAGAAGGGGTGTTGAGCAGATTCTAGAAGGATGTGGCTGAAGCAGAGGACATGTGGGCACAGTTGGAGATAGGCCTGGAAAAGTAGATTGGGACCAAGTGTGTAATGAATCTGTAGTCAATGAGGAACTATGAAATGTGAAAATTGCGGCTGGGCACGGTGGCTCACACCTGTAATTCTTTCACTCTGGGAGGCCAAGGCAAGAGGATTGCTGGAGGCCAGGAGTTTGAGACCAGTCTGGGCAACATAATGAGACCCTGTCTCTCCAAAGAATTAAAAACTTAGCTGGGCATGGTGGCACACACCTGTAGTCCTAGCTACTTGGGAGACGGAAATGGGAGGATTGGGTAAGCCCAGAGGTTTGAGGCTGCAGTGAGCTATGATCACACCACAGCACCCTGGGACAGAGCAAGATCTTGTCTCTACAAATAAATAAATATGATCTGAAAATTGAGTATGAAATACTCAGAATACTGAGATCATGGTTTAGGAAGATAACTGCAGGGTCTACAGGAGGATGGGTTTAAATGGGGAGAGACTAACTACTAGGTTTGCACACTCAGATGCCTACAGAGGGCAGACAAGGAACAAAATTGCAATAGGTACCTGGTCAACTGAACCACACATACCTTCTCATCAGTGGGCTGCCGCTGCTCAGTTCCAGCCAATGCTGCCATGTAGATTATGAGTCCAGTGTTATCAGATTTTTCCATTTTTCAGGGAAAGCCAAACAATACAGATTTTCATGAGATGCTAACTTGTTTAAAATTTTTATTTTTAATTAATTTAATTTAATTTTAATTTTTTAAATTTATTTATTTTTTCTTGGGAGACGGGGTCTTGCCCTGTCATCCAGGCTGGAGTACAGTGGCGCGATCACAGCTCACTGCAGCCTCAAACTCCCTGGTTCAAAGGATTTTCTCACCTCAGCCTCCCAAGTAGCTGGGACTACAAGCACGTGCCACCACACCTGGCTGATTTTTGTATTTTCAGTAGAGATGGGGTTTCACCATGTTTCCCAGGCTGGTCTCAAACTCCTGGGCTCAAGCTGTCTGCCCACCTCGGCCTCCCAAAGTGCCGGAATTACAGGCAAGAGCCACTGTGCCTCGCCCAGGACTCTAACTTTTAAGTATGAACTTGTAAGTTAAAATGACTCTCAGACCACCTGTGTGGAGTCTCTGAGAAAAGAGTAAACTATTTTAATAGTCCAGGAAGAAGTGACCAAGTCCTTATCTAGGGCAGTGGCAATGGGAACCAAACATGGAAACAGACAGCACAAAACCTGGTGGAAGTAGGATCCACTGAATTTGATGACTAACTGGATGTAGAAAATGAAGAAGAAATGTTGAGAAAGACTCTGATGTTTCCAGTCTATATGCCTTAGAGGAAGCTGATGCCCCAGGCAGCTTCATAAAATGGAACAAGAATAGATGTTGAATCAGAGAGAACTAGCTCAAACGCAGCTCTACCACTTACTAGCTATGTGACCTTGAACATGTTACCTAACGTCTCTGAGCCTTGGCTTCTTCGTCCATTATATGAGGTTAATCTGAATGCATCCCTCTTGAGTCATTTATACAGATCAAATGGGGTCATGCACCTAGTGTGCTTAGCACAGAGTGTGGCACATAGTAAGAGCTCAAAGGTTTGTTGTTGAAATTTATTGGCAACATTCCTTTACTCTACGTTCAGCAAGAGCCTCCACTGTTTTCTTTTCTTTTTTTTTTTTTTTTTTTTTTTTTTTTGAGATGGAGTCTCGCTCTGTCACCCAGGCTGCAGTGCAGTGGCACAATCTTAGCTCACTGCAACCTCTGCCTTCCGGGTTCAAGTGATTCTCGTGCCTCAGCCTCCCGAGTAGCTGGGATTACAGACACAAGGCACTGTGCCAGCCTCTTTTTTTTTCTTTTTTAAGAAAAACTCTCACTCCATCACCCAGGCTGGAGTGTAGTGGCATAATCTCGGCTCACTGCAACCTCTGCCTCCAGGTTCAAGCGATCCTCCCACCTCAGCCTCCAGAGTAGCTGGGACTACAGGCACACACCACCACACCCGGCTGTATTTTTTGGTATTTTTGGTAGAGGCAGGGTTTCGCCATGTTGCCCACGCTGGTCTCGAACTCCTAACGTTAAGTGATCCACCCACCTCAGCCTCCCAAAATGCTGGTATTACAGGCATAAGCCATTGTGCCCAGCTTAGGTCATGTCATTTTTGGGTTGGATTTTCTGACATGTGTCACCAAAAGATTCCTAACTGATTTGATTACAACTACTATTACCATGACTTTTCCACTTTGATTCCAAATGATGTCATAGGCTTTGTAGAGTTTAAAGCTGGCAGCCCCTGGGAAGGCTATCTCTAGTGGTGGTACCTCGAAGACGAGGTCCTGTTCTTGGATACCTCTAAGATGAGAGGATGAACAGAACACGTATTTGTGAAAGGTCCAAGGTACTCTGTGAAGGTGCAGTGAACCTGTCAAAGCTCAGCACACCTTACATCAGTTCAGCATACTTTCAGCCCCATTTTGCTTGTTAGAGAATGACTGTATCAAGGAACCAGTGGTGTGAACTGGATTAGTTCACTTATTAAAAACATGTTTTTATGTTTACATTAACTGCCTTCCTCACTAAACTGTCCGCTTTGCATATATGGACTTTCTCATCTTTACAGACTTTGCAGACAGAGAGAGCCTTTGAGATCATCTAGGCCAAAGTTATCCAACGTATAGTAAAGGGGTCACTCTTTTCAAAGTTGAGAAGTGGAGTCAGGCACTGTAGCTCACACCTGTAATCTTAGCACTTTGGGAGGCCGAGGCAGAAGGATTGCTTGAGAACAGGAGTTTGAGATCAGCCCGTGCAACATAGTGAGAACTCATCTCGATTTTGTTTGTTTGTTTGTTTGTTTTTGAGACACAGTTTCACTCTGTTGCCCAAGCTGGAGTGCAGTGGCGTGATCTTGGCACACCTCTGCCTCCCGGGTTCAAGTGATTCTCCTGCCTCAGCCTCCCAAGTAGCTGGGATTACAGGCAGCCACCACCATGCCCAGCTAATTTTTGTATTTTTAGTAGAGACAAGGTTTCACCATGTTGGGCAGACTGGTCTTGAACTCTTGACCTCAGGTAATCTGACTGCCTCGGCCTCCCAAAGTGCTGGGATTACAGGCATGAGCCACCGTGTCTGGCCCCATCTCTATTTTTAAAAAAAGAAAAAGAAAAAGAACTTGGAAGCAGGAGGAAGGAGTGGAGGATAGAAACTGCAATACAGATTCGTGGACCTTACCTTGACCTACTGGATCAGGATCTCAGGGATGGGCCTAGGAATAGTAGTAGCTTCACGGGGTTGGGTAAGTCAGTTGATGTCTTTAAACCTGAGTTACTATGTGTATAAAATGGGGGCAATAATTCTTCTTAAGTTTGTTGGGAAGATCAAAGCCAATGATGTAAGTAAAGTGTCCAACCAAGCCTGGTATAAAAATGGCTTCTGAATTAAAGTATGTAATTCAAGCTATACCCTGACTTCAGGGAGAACCCTGCCCAGGGAGTGTATATCCCCACCTTCACTGCCATCTGAGGTATGAGTGGGGTACAGTAGCTTACCTGTGACAATGACAGCAACACATTTGTTGAATGTTTATGTGATAGGTACTTAGCTCTAGCACTTAACTAACATTGACTTATTAAATTCTCACAATAATCCTATGAGGTAGATTGTTTTTTAAAGGCCTGCTTTACAGATAAAAAACTCAGGTACAGAGCAGTTAAGTAATATGCCCAAAGTTATAGCTTCCAAGTATCAGAGCTAGGACTCTAACCTAAGCAGTCTGGCTCCAGAAAACCTAAAGAATTTGTAACAGTAAGCTTTACCAAGGCCTGCTTGTCCTAAAATAAAAGGGTAGGGTCCCCAAGTCCCAAAGTGTCCTCCTTTCTTTCTCTTTTTTGAGACAGAGTCTTGCTCTGTCACCCAGGTTGGTGAGCAGTGGCGCCATCTCAGCTCACTGCAATCTCTGCCTCCCAGGTTCAAGCAATTCTTCTGGCTCGGCCTCCCCAGCAGCAGGGATTACAGGCATGTGCCACCATGTCTGGCTAATTTTTGTACTTTTAATAGAGACAGGATTTCACCATGTTGCCTAGGCTGGTCTCAAACTCCTGACCTCAAGTGATCTGCCCACCTCAGCCTCCAAAAGTGCTGGGATAACAGGCGTGAGCCACCATGCCCAGCCGTGTCCTCCTTTCTTGATGAACACGTGCTAGCCTGCCTCAGAGATACAGCTGAAGGATGAGACCCAAAATGAATTGCAGATCCCGACAAAATGAGTTCTCAAACTCTCACCAGGGGCATGTTGGGATCAAACAAAGGGAAGCACCAGGAAGCACCGGGCCTGGGGCAGAAGGATTCTTTCTGGGGAAAGCAGTCTAGATGGGGACCTGGAGACTCCCCCAGAGCATGGTTAGTTTATTTCAGTTTGCCTGGGCTGACTTCAGCTTTACACAATTCATTTTCCTCTGCTTGGAATTCTCCCTTGGCTTCTCTATCCCTTATAGTCCAATCCTTCAAATCCAATCCTTAACATCCTCAGAGAGGCCCTCTCTGATTATTCCAAAGTCAATGTCCTGTCCCATCCTCCACTCTTGAGTCTTCTCTGTAATAGCCAATTCTTTATTTCCTATCAGCAGTTACCATACTTGTAATTATTTACTGTCTCTGTTTCTTTTCAGTCTTCCCTACTGCTCCCACATGGCAGGCAGGAACCATGTCTGTCTTCTTCACTATTGTAAACTCCAGGGCCTGATTGTAACCAAGGTGTGGCATGTAATTGGTTCAGTCAGTGTTTGTTGAGTGCATGGGTAATTAGTTGAAAAACACAAATGGATTATGTTGGCCTTTCCCTCTCCCGCCCTCTGTAACACCTACACCTCCACACTTCACCCTACACCTTTCCCTTTGAAGGAAACTGCTGACCTAAGGCAAGAGACATATCACTGTCTTCAGCAGGGAACTTCTCCCACCTCTCAGCCCCAGCTTTGCCAAAAGCACTCACATCTTTTGGGAGGAAGGCTGCAGCAAGCACAAGAGTGGAAGAGTAGATGAGTGGCTCAAAACACCCACTTACGGGTTTTTAAAATGCACTAGCTTTGGAGCTCCGAAGTCTTCATTCCTAGAAAGGAAAATAGAATGGAATGAGGTGATTCATACTATAGGGAGCAATGGCTTTTTTTCAGGCCAGCACCAGCATCAGTAACCACTGTACACAAAGTATCTTTAACTCAATCCATTGAATAACACCCAAGGTTCATTTTTTTGTTTTTTTTTTTGTGTTTGTTTCTTTGTTTGTTTTTGTGACACAGTCTCACTCTGTTACCCAGCCTGGAGTGCAGTGGTGTGATCTTGGCTCACTGCAACCTTCAACTCCCGGGTTCAAGCAATTCTCCTGCCTCAGCCTCCCAAGTAGCTGGAATTACAGGCACATGCCACCATGCCCGGCTAATTTTTGTATTTTTAGTAGAGATGGGGTTTCACCATGTCGGCCAGGCTGGTCTCAAACTCCTGACCTCAAGTGATCCACCTGTCTCAGCCTCCCAAAGTGCTGGGATTACAGGCTTGAGCCACTGCGCCTGGCTGGTTCAAATAAATTAATCCACAGCTGAGATC
The DNA here is from genome assembly GCF_000001405.40 of Homo sapiens. Taxonomy (NCBI): domain Eukaryota; kingdom Metazoa; phylum Chordata; class Mammalia; order Primates; family Hominidae; genus Homo; species Homo sapiens. Next base: position 67,484,777 of record NC_000001.11, on the reverse strand, counting down.
ACAGCTGGAAACAAGAGAGGACAAAAAGAAGGCACCAGAGCTTCATCCCACCATCCCAGCTGTAAACAATCCATGCTTCTATTGACCTTGCCAAGAAAAATACTGAAACACGGTTGGGGGCAGGGAGCAAGTTTGCTGTTTGAATGTGTTCTCCTCCAAAACCCTCCACCCCCACAGAGCCCTGGGAAAGTAAAACTGAAAACTCAGGATGACTTCAAAGTGGCAAATGGTACAATTCAATGAGGAAACCAGGCTTACATGATCATTAAAACAGCAGAGTCTCCCAGAAGGCAATCCCTAGAAATAAAATGCCAAGCACAGTCCAAGCCATCAGAAAGCCTCCGGAGTAGGCATTTGCAGGTTGACAGAAACTATCCCACTTAATGCTCACAGAGAAAAGTAGAATATAATCCCAACTCCTTGGACTTATGTTCTTTCTGAGGCTTGGAATTAATTAGTCAACAGTTGCTCTGAAATTAATTCAACATTTTTTTTAGCTCTGTGACTCTGGGCAAGTTACTTGACCTCACTGGGTTCTATATTATTCTACAGAATGAAAATAATTGTCCTTTACATAGGGATATGTAAAGATTAAGTAAATTATAATAAATGTAAGTGATTTGTACTGTTTGACACATAGTCAATGCTATGAAACTGTTGAAAACCAATTTCTTTTGCAAATGTTGATATGGTTATAGCAAATATAATGAGGCTTGAACATGCATCCATCATATTGTATGCTAATACTAGTTTGCTTTTCATTTCCATGCTAGAATAACCTGAGGGCAAGGACTCAGTCTTTTTCCCTGTGTATCCCAGTGTCAGCAAATTATCTGGCCGATAATAAACATTCAATAAGTATTGGTGATCAATAATAAAGGTGTATTACTCTGAGGTTGTAAAATGAATAATATACAGTACTTGCCTTTAAAGGCCAATAGGAAAAGGCCAATAGGAAAGAAAGATATTAAACAAAACTCTATTAGGTGTTTAGAGTTATAAAAGAGGTATAAAAAATTAATCTTAGAATTTGCCTAGGTAGAGGGATAATGAGGAGGAAAAGAGGTGATATTCAAGCCAGCTTTAAAGGAGGAAAGCTAGGTGGGCTTAAAGAAGGTGATAGCTGAACTGAGTTGAAGGATGAGGAAAAGTTAGCCAGACGAAGGTAGAGAGGACTCTCCTGGCGGATGAAGTTGCATGGCTGCCCTCAGGTTCTTGGGTGGGGAAAGTGTGTATATCTGCATGTGTGTGAGAGAGACATTTCCCCCATTAGACTGTAAATTCCTGTAGCACAGGAGTTGGCAAGCTTTTTCTGTAAAGGGCTGAAAAGTAAATATTTTCAGCTTTGTGAGCCCTCCAGTCTCTGTCACAACTACTCAGTCAGCCATACACAATATATAAACAAATGGCATGGCCAGGTGTGGTCAGTGGAAGGCCATATTTGGCCTGTGGGTCTTGCTTTGCCAACAGGACAAGGGAGCTGCCCTTCTGGTTTCCCAACGATTTGGTGTACATGGGTGCTCATACTAAGGAGCTCTTGATATAATCACACTTGCTCTTTGCACTGGTTATCAATTGCTGTGTTACAAATTATCTCAACACTTCACAGCTTAAATCAACAGTTTCTATCACAGTTTCGTACAGTAGAAGGAACTTGAGTGGGCAGTTCTAGTTGAGGATCTCTTTTGAGGTCGTAGTCAACGGGTCTTCTGAAGGCTCAATTGGGGCTGGAGAATCTAGTCTCAAGGTGGTTTACTTGCTTAGCTGACAAATTGGTGCTTGCTATTGGCAGGAGGCCTCAGTTCCTCCTGACACGGGCCTCTCCACAGAGCTGCTTGAGTGTCTCTCTCAGTATGGTGGCTGGCTCCGCCCAGAGCAAATGACCCAAGAGATCAAAGTGGAAGCTGTGTTCTAGCCTAGTCATACACTGTCACTTTTGCCATATTTTACTGGTCATACAGACAAACGAATTCAATAGGGCCAGACACTATGCAAGACATGATACCAGGAGGCAAAGATTACTGAAGGCCATTTTGAGGCTGGCTATCTCACCCTTTCTTTATAACCATAGTGAGATGGGCCTCACTCTTGTCCCTATCTCTCTTCTATTTCATTCAAATGTGACCACACAACCCCAGAGAATCTGAATGTCCCAAAACTCTTACAGTAATCACAAAAGACAATAAGGTCACCTGATTAATATGGAAACATCAAAAAATTAAATGAGGTCTTATTACCTTTGCTCTCCTGAAGAGCACGACAGAGACTAGGGTACAAACACAGTAAACTCATCTCTGGAATTCTCTCTCAAGGAGATAGCTTATTGGATAGAGCCATTAGTTGCTCTCCAGTTACTTTACCTTCCATAAATAAACTCCAGAAATTGCCTTAAAAAACAACACAACAGGCCGGGTGCAGTGGCTCATGCCTGTAATCCCAGCACTTTGGGAGGCCGAAGCGGGTGGATCATGAGGTCAGGAGTTGGAAACCATCCTGGCTAACACGGTGAAACCCCGTCTCTACTAAAAATACAAAAAATTAGCCGGGAGTGGTGGTGGGCACCTGTAGTCCCAGCTACTCGGGAGGCTGAGGCAGGAGAATGGTGTGAACCCGGGAGGCGGAGCTTGCAGCAGTGAGCCGAGATAGCGCCACTGCACTCCAGCCTGGGCAACAGAGCAGGACTCCGTCTCAAAAAAAAAAAAAAAAAAAAACATAGAACAAAATAAAAAAACAAAATCAAAACTTTACCTAGAAACACAGTATACTGGTCCCTACCAACCGAATAGAAGCTATTAAAGCCAACATCTCCTAAAGCAAGTCCATTGCTATCAAACTGTTTGGAACACAGGGTTCTAACATTTTAGAACTGAATAAACTTTACCATTCTTTCCAGCTTCCAGCCTGATGTAGCACCAGTTTCCCAGCATTCCTGACCAATAGTCTTCCTGTATCTGCTCACAAAAATCACAGGTCTTTTGTGGCTGGGCAGGGGCTAGGGAGATGCTGGGCAACATTTTTACAGAGGGTATCTTTGCCTGGCACATCGAGGCTCTGTGTTTTGTGGATGGGAGAAATGAGGTTTTATAAGTTATTTTGGTTGTCCAGGTAACAGGAGACAGTTGAGAGAGAAATCAAGGTGACAGAGGGGGATACTTTGTCATATGACCCAGCTCCAAAGTAAGACTGTCTTTGAAATTCTGTAACCAGGGAGATGAGGACCAGTAGTTGAGACAGACATCTTGTTGTTGAAAAATGGTAGGTCAGGTGCAGTGGCTCATGCCTGTAATCCCAGCATTTTGGGAGGTTGAGGAAGACAGATCACTTGAGCTCAGGAGTTTGAGACCAGCCTGGGAAACATGGCAAAACCCTGTCTGTACAAAAAAATTTAAAAATTAGCTGAGCTTGGTGGCACGTGCCTGTAGTCACAGCTACTTCAGTGGCTGAGGTGGAAGGATCACTTGTGCCCAGGAGATTGAGGCTGCAGTGAGCCATAATTGTGTCACTGTACTCCAGCCTGGGCAACAGCATGAGACCCTATCTCAAAAAAAAAAAAAAAAAAAAAGAAAGAAAAGAAAGATAGATGGTGGGCTCTGGCCAAAAGCATTGTTATTGGTGGGGGATCATTCTCCACAGTTCTGCTTGGAACCCAGCAACACATGGGCATCCTGAGTCCTAGGAACCAAGGGCACATTGCGAGGAAATCCCCTTGGCACAAAGGTTGGGGTCCTCACAATGAGTATAGTTGGCAGAGGCAGCAGTGAGGCTGCTTGAACAGTGCTGACAGCAGACACATCACTAAGAAGGAAGAAGCCACAGTGCAAGAAAGAAAATCGTACTATACACTACGTTACAGGCATTGAAAAGCACTCCATGAGGAATCCTGGAAATGACTACGCCATATCCAAATCAGAGCATAAAGCCCTATAATTTGACATGGAGGGGCCTACAATCATGTCTTGGTGTATTAATATAAATATGACCTTACTACAATAGTTAAAAGCATGGATTTTGGAGCCAGACTACCTGGGTTTGAGTCACAGTGTGGCCCTGAGCCACTTACTGAACCTCTTTGAGCCTTTTTTTTTTTTTTTTTTTTTTTTTGTAAGAGATGGAATCCTGCTATGTTGCCCAGGCTGGCCTCAAACTCCTAGACTCAAGATCCTCCCACCTCAGCTTCCCAAGTAGGTGGGATTACAGGCACATGCCAGCAAACCCAACTGGGTCTTATATTTCCTCATCTGTAAACTGGAGATAATAATATATTTGTTTCAGAAGGTTGTGTTAGTATTCCAGGAATTGGTAGTATATAAAAAGTACTTAGAACAATGCCTGGCACATAATAAGAGCTACATAATTGTTGAAAAATATTTTGTACTCTCGAGTTACTAATGCCTGCCACAAGCTTCTTACATGGCCTTCCTGGGATGGAACTCACCTCCTCAACTATGGAGACTGTTGCATGTTAGAAAATTCTAGCTATTAAAATTTCTTGCTGGCCAAGCTCGGTGGCTCACGCCAGCACTTTGAGAAGCTGAGGTGGGAGGATCCCTTGAGCCCAGGAGTTCAAGAACAGCCTTGGCAACATGGCAAAACCATCTCTACAAAAAATTAGCCAGGTGTGGTGGTGAGTGCCTGTAGTCCCAACTACTCAGGAGGCTGAGGTGAGAGGATGTCTTGAGCCCAGGAGGCGAAGGTTGCAGTAAGCTGAGATCGAGCCACCTCACTCTAGCCTGGGTGACAGAATGAGACCGTCTTAAAAAAAAAAAATTCTGATGTTAAGGCAGCTTTCTTCCTTGCAACTTCTCCATAGTGGTTCCAGTTTTTCTCTGAGACATTCCAAAATAAACCTTTCCATGTTAACAGCTCATTGAGACAACTCTCAGGAGCTTCCGGCGTTTTTTTTTTTTTTTTTTTCTCCAAGCTAAGCAGCCCCAGATCCTTCACTATTTCCCCAGAGAGCAGGCTCCAAACCCCTCTCCATCCTGGGTGCACCTCTGAATGCACTTCAGATGATCAATATTGAGGAGGGATGTGGGCCCCAGGAGAGTGGCCTCAGGGCTGTCTCTAAAAGATCTCCGTCCCCCAGCCCCTCAAATGCACACATGCTCCTCGGAGGGAAAACGACAGATTAACCCAACTGCTTCAAATTAATTTTGTTTGGAAGAGCAAGGGGAAGAAGATTTCCAAACAGGGCCAAGGACTTTGTCAAAGCTGTTCCTCTAAGATAGAGATGGACAACCGGCTGGCCTGGACAGAGGCCAGCTGGGAGGTGTAACCCCAGCCAGGGACCTGAGCTCAGCACTGGCTCCTCCTCTTGGGAGGTAAGAAGGAAAAGCTGGTTTTCTCAGTAGAGATAAGTACATGGTGTGTGGTCAAGGAAAAAAATAAAACTTCTCCTTATATCTGGCCCAGGCTATAACTCACGGCTCCAGTGGGGACATAGGCCTCCCTCACTCCACTCTCACTGTTGGAGTCCCGGTGGCAGTGGACTGCCCCTCCCCTCCACGGTGTGAGGCTACCAGATGGAAGCACGTGGTTTCCAGGTTTTACTTGCTCAGGACTTTCTGAATCATTTTCTTTTATGGGTCTGAGTGGTGGAGGAACAGGGGGTAAGAGGCAGTGTGGAAAACATCATTTTTTTATCTCAATTAGACTTTGTTTTCTGCAGGATGACAGTTGAAACTCTCTTCAGTTGCTTACTGTTTGGCCATATTTAATGAGGATTACACCCAAGGACTGCTTTGGAAATAGGTCTCCTCATTTGTTTCATTAAAAAACATTTATAAAAGTAAGACCTGCTCAACAAAGGAAAAAAACATCAACCCTAGTTCACCACCCAAAAGCAACCTTCATTAACACTTTGGTGGGGTTCTTGTCGGAGTTTATGTCAGAGCTTTTCATCTCTTTTCTAAATAAGTATAATCGTAGTTGTACAATACATAATTCCAAATCATGCATACACTTTATGAACATTTCTCCCATTAGTATATACTTTACACAAACATACTTACAACTTTTATTAAGATATAATTCCCATATCATATAATTCATGCATTTAAAGTATATAATGTAATGGTTTTTAGTAGAAACACAGAATTGTGTGACCATCACCACGATCAATTTTAGAACATTTTTGTAACCCTGCAAAGAAACCTCACACCCATTAGCAGCCACGCTCCACTCCCATCCTGCCCTACCCCCAGTCCCAGGCAACCACTAATCTATCTTCCATCTCAAAGATCTGCCTACTCTAGACATTTCATATCCATGGAATTACAGTCTTCCCACATAACGATGTCTTAGTCAACAACAAACCACATATATGACAGTGATCCCATAAGATTCTAAGGGAACTGAAAAATTCCAGAGCTGGATGGAGCTGAAAAATTCATCTAGTGCCATTGTAGCAGTCATAATGTCATATTGCAACACATTACTCAGGTGTTTGTGGTGATATTGGTGTAAACAAACCTATTGTGCTGCCAGTTCTATAAAAGTATAGCACATACAATTTGTACAGTATGTAATACCTAATAGTAAGTGACTATGTTAATGGTTTATGTATTTACTATACCTTTTTTTTTTTTTGAGACAGAGTCTCACTCTGTCACCCAGGCTGCAGTGCAATGGCTCAGTCTCAGCTTACTGCAACCTCTGCCTCCTGGGCTCCAACCATCCCCCTGCCTTAGCCTCCCAAGTAGCTGGGACTACAGGCATGTGCCACCATGCAGGGCTAATTTTTTTTTTTTTTTTTTTGAGATGGAGTCTCACTCTGTTACCCAGGCTGGAGTGCAGTAGCGTGATCTCGGCTCACTGCAAGCTCCACCTCCTGGGTTCACACCATTCTCCTACTTCAGCCTCCCTAGTAGCTGGGACTACAGGTGCCCGCCACCACACATGGCTAATTTTTTGTATTTTTGTATTTTTTGTATTTTTAGTAACATGGGGTTTCACCATGTTAGCCAAGATGGTCTTGATCTCCTGACCTCGTGATCCGCCTGCCTCGGCCTCCCAAAGTGCTGGGATTACAGGCGTGAGCCACCACGCCTGGCACAGGGCTAATTTTTTTTTTTGTATTTTTTGTAGAGACAAAGTTTCACGATGTTGACCAGGCTGGTCTTGAATTCCTCTGGCTCAAGTGATTTGCCCTCTAACCTCCCAAAGTGCTGGGATTACAGGTGTGAGCCATGGCAACTGGCCTATACTATACTTTTGATCATTATTTTAGAGTGTACTCTACTTATAAAATATATATTTTTTACATATATGTAAAATCTGGTTACAAGTTCCTTATTAGATAAACAATTTGCAAATATTTTCTCCCATTCTGTAGACTGTCTTTTCGTTGTTTTGTGGTGTCCTTTGAAGCACAAAAACTTTTAAACTTTGATGAAATACAGCTTGTGTACTTTTTTTCTCTTATTGCTTGTGATTTTGGTGTCATACCTAAAAGGCTTTGCCTAACCCAAGGTCACAAACATTTACTCTTATATTTCTTTTTTTTTTTTTTGAGATGGGGGCTCACTCTGTCACCCGAGCTGGAATGCAGTGGCGTGATCTCAGCTCACTGCAACCTCCGTCTCCCAGGCTTAAGCAATCCTCTAATCTCAGCCTCCCAAGTAGCTGGGACTACAGGCACACACCACTATGCCCAGCTAACATTTTGCATTATTTCGTAAAGACAGGGTTTATGCAATGTTGCTCAGACTGGTCTCAAACTCCTGAGCTCCTGCCTTGGCCTCCCAGAGTGCTGGGATTACAGGCATGAGCCACTGCCCCCAGTGACTCCTATATTTCTTTTGAGAGGTTTATAGTTTTAGTTCTTACGTTTAGGTCTGTGATCCATTTCAAGTTAATCTTTGTGTATGGTGTGAGAAAGGGGTTCAATGTCATTCTTTCACATGTGAATATGGATGTGTTTTTTAATGACTGAAAAATATGCCATTGATTTGAAGATATTGTAATCTTTCTAATTTGGGGATGCTATAATAAATTCCATGAAGACTTTACATCTATAATTATTTTTTTTCTGTTTTTTAAGAGACAGCATCTCCCTCTGTCACTCAGGCTGGAGTGCAGTGATGTGATCATAGCTCACTGTAACCTTGAACTGCTGGGCTCAGGCGATCCTCCTGGCTCAGCCTCCCAAGTATCTATGACTACAAGCACACATCACCACATCTGGATAATTTTTAATTCTTTTTGCAGAGATGGTGTCTCACTATGTTGCCCAGGCTGGTCTCAAACTCCTGGCCTCAAGTGATCCTTCTCCCTTGACCTCCTAAAGTGCTGGGATTATAGGCATGAGACACCACACCTGGCCAATTTTTTCAAATAAATCAATAAAACCTAGAAAAACCAATAAATGAGTATATAACAATCTAGAAATGGAACTGTCAAGCAAAGGGAATAAGCACATTAAAGGTGCTTAACATGTGCCAGCAAATTGCTTTCTCAAAGGGTTTTATTGATTTACAATGCCTGTGGCAATATATGTAAAAGCTCTTTTTTTCCTTTTTGCCGTAATTGCAAGGGATTTAGTATGTTTTTAAGTCCTTGCTAACTTGATTAGCAAACATTTCCCTCACTAGTTTGTTTTCCAGTTTCTTACTCTGTGAATTTTCTGATTCTGTCCTCCCCCACATCTGTTTTGCTTGCCCCTTTGTTTGAACTCCTTACCTGACCCATCTCATTTTTGGCTCCCTAGCCTTCATCACCCTGCAGCGTACTGATGGAAAGTTCCTCCACTGTGAAAACCTGCAAAGGCTTAAGTTGGGTTTTTTCCAAAACATGTTTCAGTTTATTTTTTTTTAAACAACTGTTCCCACTGTTCACCTTGCAGTATTTCATTTAGGCTCAGCTCAAATAACACCTCTTTGGACCATTCATACTAAAATAGGAGGCCCTTCTTTCCCCAGTTTATTCTGATTACATGGCTTGGCTTTCCAATCTTCTCACCACTTCTCCCTATCTAAACTTCTCTTGCTTCTTTATTGGTTGACTTGTTTATTGTCTGTCTCTCCCCCTAGAATTGCAGTTCTATAAGAGTAAGAACATTATCTTTCATGCCCACTTCTATGTCCCCAGTGCCTGGCACATAGGAAGAAAGGCTAATAAATCTTTTTGCTGAATGAATGATGAAATGACTAAATGAAAAATATAATCACAGATGTGTGTTCCTGATTTTATGTAATATAAATGATCTTAGAAATATGAGTTTAAGTCGAATTTTATAAAAATTAAACTGTAAGAGAAAAACTACACTGTATTATACCTATTTTATACCTATTACACCAAATTAAACCATATTAAGAGGCCAGGTGTGGTGGCTCATGCCTGTAATCTTAGCACTTTGGGAGGCTGAGGCGGGTGGATCATTTGAGGTCAGGAGTTCAAGACCAGCCTGGCCAACATGGTGAAACCCCATCTCTACTTAAAAAAATACAAAAATTAGCCAGGCATGGTGGTACACACCTGTATTCCCAGCTACTCAGGAGGCTGAGGCAGGAGAATTGCTTGAACCCGGGAGGTGGAGGTCGCAGTGAGCCGAGATTGTGCCACTGCACTCCAGCCTGGGCGACAGAGCAAGACTCTGTCTCAAGAAAAAAAATAAAAAATAAAGTCAGTTAAACCTAGAGCATCTTAATGCTTTAGGGCTACGCTGCCCAATGTGGTACCCACTAGCCACCTGTTGTTATTGAGCATTTGAAATGTGGCCAGCCCAAATTGCCAAGTTCTGTAAGTGTAAAATATATACCAGATTTTGAAGACTTCACAGCAAGAAGAATGTAAAATATCTCAATAATCTTTTTATATTGGAATGATATTTTGGATATACTGAGTTAACATATATTATTAAAATTAATTTTACCTTTTTTTACATTTTAAAATGTGTCTACTGTAAAATTTTAAATTACATATGTGGCTATGTGGCTCACTTAATATTTCTTTTTCTTTTTTTTCTTTTCCTTTGAGGCAGAGTCTTGCTCCGTCATCCAGGTTGGAGTGCAGAGGCACCATCTTGCCTCTCTGCAACCTCCGCCTCCTGGGTTCAAGCGATTCTCCTGCTTCAGCCTCCTGTGTAGCTGGGACTACAAGTGCGAATCACCATGCCCAGCTAATTTTTTTATTTTTAGTAGAGACGGGGTTTCACCATGTTGGCCAACCTGGTCTCGAAGTCCTGACCTCAAGTGATCCACCCTCCTCGGCTTCCCAAAGTGCTGGGATTACCAGTGTGAGCCACAGTGCCCGGCCATTCACTTGATATTTCTAATAGGCAGCTCTGCTCTAGGACAACTGACCATTCAGGAGTGGTTGATACACCTGTATCTCAACCCTTTGGGAGGCCAAGGTGGAAGGATGGCTTGAGGCCAGGAGTTCATAGACCAGCCTGGGCAACAAAGCAAGACTGTGTCTCTACTAAAGATAAAATAATTAGCCAGATGTGATGGTGCACACCTGTAGTCCCAGCTCCAAGGGAGGCTGAGGCAGGAGGATTGCTTGAGCCCAGGAGTTCAAAGCTGCAGTGAGCTACAATCACACCACTGCACTCTAGCCTGGGTAACAGAGTGAGACCCTATCTCTAACCAAATAAATAAATAAGTAAAAGAGGGCCGGGCACTGTGGCTCACGCCTGTAATCCCAAACCTTTGGGAGGGTGAGGGGGGTGGACAGCTTGAGGCCAGGAGTTCGAGACCAGCCTGGCCAACATGGTGAAACCCTGCCTCTACTAAAAATACAAAAATTAGCTGGGCGTGGTGGCAGTCACCTGTAATCTTAGCTACTTGGGAGGCTGAGGCAGGAAAATCACTTGAACCTGGGAGGCGGAGGTTGCAGTGAGCCAAGATTGCACCATTGCACTCCAGCCTGGACGACAGAGCGAGACTCCGTCTCTAAATAAATAAATAATAAAAGAAATTTTTATTGTGACTTTTTTTGACTAGCAAATCTCTACCTATTAATTTATCTTTTAGGCAGAGGCAGAAAGGGAGGTTGGAACTTACAGTGGTTTAGGAATTAAGGCAGGCTGGGTTTGGTCCCTGCTGTGTCATTAACTGTCAGTGTGACCATAAGCAAATCTTTTAATCTCTCTGGGGCAGAAAGGTCCTCATCTGCTCAATGAGGGGGTTGAACTAATGAGTTCTATAGACCCTCTTAGCATCAGTTATTCTATTCTAGCCTTTCATCAGATTGTCTTAAAGCAAGGTAGAGCTACAGAGCATAGATGGAGTCCATCTTCCTTCAGAGAATCAGAGGCCTTATACCATACCCAGGTGACTAACTACGAAGACACTATTTTGACAGAATGGATTTCTGGCAAAATTGAGAAGCAGACTGAACATGTCTTTATAACCCTTCCAGCATCCTTTCTGTCTCTGTCCCTTTGCCCTAGACTTAAAGGCTTTTCCGGCCGGGTGCGGTGGCTCACGCCTGTAATCCTAGCACTTTGGGAGGCCGAGGCGGGCGGATCACTTGAGTCCAGGAGTTCAAGACCAGCCTGGCCAACATGGCGAAACCCCATCTCTACTAAAAATACAAAAAGTTAGCCGGGAATGGTGGCAGGTGCCTATAATCCCAGCTACTCGGGAGGCTGAGGCAGGAGAATTGCTTGAACACGGGGGACGGAGGTTGCAGTGAGCTGAGATTATGCCACTTCACTCCAGCATGAGCAAAAGAGCGAAACTCCGTCTAAAAAACAAAGAAAGAAAGAAAGAAAGAGAGAGAAAGGAAGGAAGGAAGAAAGAAAGGAAGAAAAGAAAGGCTTTCCCTTCCTCTCCAAGGTACTTATGGCTTCTACTTGGCACCTGACTTTTTCTGTGCACCATAATATTTTTGGCCTTTTGCTTTCTTTTAGAAACTTATCAGTCCTGTGATCTGTGCTTCAAAGTTCTTATTGTTGACTCACTAATTAATTCAACTTTACAAATAACATTTATGCCTGATAAAGAACTTACATGCATTGTCTCGCTTTAGCTCACATAAACCCTGAGAGATAGTTACCACTCTCATCTCTAAGGTACAGGTGGAAAACTTGAAGCACAGAGAGGTTAAATACCTTACCCAAAGCCACACAGCTAGTTAGTGGTTGAGCCAGACTTTGACCCTAGGCTATCAGACTTCAGAACCATTGGGGTGGCTAGTTAATCTGATCCATGTAATCACTTCAAGGTAAAAGTGGTTGATAGGGCCTGATGTTACTATTCTAGATAATGACCTCAGCCCAAAGTTGTGACTAGTTCTGGGTACCATGACAAAATTGGTACAGTAGAGGAGCTATTTTGGGGTCAGCTGCCATTGTTTTCCCTCCCTCAAAGTGTATTGTTTTGATCTATATTGTATCTACACTAAATAGGTACAAGCCTGGCACAGAGTAAGTGCTCAAGAAATGGTGGTTTTTCTGTCCTCATTTCCTTGGCCCCCAGGCAGATGCTCTATTAACATCAGTGAAGAACTTTACTGATGGTCTATCAGCTTCACTAACAGCCTAATCATAAGAGCTACCTCCTGAGTGCAGTCTGCTGCCAGGAACTGGGCCAAGGACTTCATACGCCCTGCCTCATAAACTCTTGCCAATCTCATCACATACCTGAGAAGTCAGTCTTTAAACACATTGTCGAATCACATATTAAAACAACCTGGAAAGCAGATCCTGTTCCACATACACTAGATCATGTTATTACCCTTCTGCTCAAACCCTCCAGTGGCTTCTCAGCTCCTTTAGAGTAAAATCTAAAGGCTTTACATGGGCTAAAATGTTCCAGCCACCTCAGACTTCTCACTCTTCCTCAAACATTCACTACAAGCATACCACCCACCTTGGAGTCCTTGTACCTGCTGTCTTCCCTACCTGGACTCTACACTTAGAGATGGCGCCACTGCACTCCAGCCTGGGCAACAGAGCGAGACTCCGTCTCAAAAACAAAACAAAAAAAAAAAAGAAAAAAGAAAAAGAACTTTGGCTGTCTTTGTTCACTGCTGTATTTGTTTCCAGAGCCTTCAGTTGCACATTGCCCAAAAAGTATTTGTTGAAGGAAAGGAAGGAGTAAGAGAGGAAGGTGGGGAGGAAAGAGTGAACTATTAATATCTTCATTTCTTTGATAAAGAGTCAGATTGTTGGCCGGGGCGCGGTGGCTTACGCCTCTAATCCCAGCACTTTAGGAGGCAAAGGTGGGCGGATCACGAGGTCAGGAGATAGAAACCACCCTGGCCAACAAAGTGAAACCCTGTCTCTACTAAAAATACAAAAATTAGCTGGGCATGGCAGCGCATGCCTGTAATCCCAGCTACTTGGGAGGCTGAGGCAGGAGAATCGCTTGAACCTGGGAGGCAGAGGTTGCAGTGAGCCGAGATCACGCCACTGAACTCCAGCCTGGTGACAGAGCTAGACTCTATGTTAAAAAAAAAAAAAAAAAAAAAAAAAAAGAGTCAGAGAGTTAAGCAACTTGCTCAACTTTACATAGCCAGTTACATGGCAAAGCAGATATCTAAGACTTCTTCTCTCAACTACTATCTTACTCTGCAATTAAATACCACCTTATACATACTTGAGCATTAGAGAGTTTATTTGCAAAGTTAAATGACTTTTAAAATAAAGGAGGCCTAAGTAGATGTCATTTATAGATTATTTGCTTTAAAAATAATAATAATTGGCCAGGCGCAATGGCTCACGCCTGTAATCCTGGCACTTTGGGAAGCTGAGGCAGTAGAATTCCTTGATCCCAGGAGTTTGAGACCAGCCTGAGCAACATAGCAAAACCTCATGTCTACAAAAAATACTCTAAAATTAGCCAAGTCTGGTATCATCCACCTATAGTTTCAGCTACTTGGGAGGCTGAGGTGGGAGACTGAGCTCCCAGACGTCAAGGCTGCAGTGAGCTAGGATCATGCTGCTGCTCTCCAGCTTGGGGGACAGAGTACGATCCTGTCTCAAATAAGTAAATTAATTAAACACACACACACAAAAACACAAAAAACAACACACACATTCTGGGTGAAAACACAGTTAGAACTGCTTGAATGCCATAGTTGGTCTTGGTTTAGTACCTTATTTTCATTCCCCCCCTTTTTTTTTTTTTTTTGAGATGGAGTCTCGTCTGTTACCCAGGCTGGAGTGCAATGGTGGGATCTCAGCTCACTGCAACCTCCCCGACCTGGGTTCAAGCATTCTCCTCCCTCAGCCTCCTGAGTAGCTGGGATTACAGGTGCCCACCACCATGCCTGGCTAATTTTTGTATTTTTAGTAGAGACGGTGTTTCACCATGTTGACCAGGCTGGTCTCGAACTCCTGACCTCAGGTCATCCACTTACCTCGGCCTCCCAAAGTGCTGGGATTACAGGCGTGAGCCACCGTGCCTGGCCCATTCCTTTTTTTTTTTTTTTTTTTTTTTTGAGATGGAATCTTGCTCTGTCGTACAGGCTGGAGTGCAATGGCATGATCTCAGCTCACTGCAACCTCCGACCCCCGGGTTCAAACTATTCTCCTGCCTCAATCTCCTGAGTAGCTGGGACTACAGGTGCATGCCACCATGCCTGGCTAATTTTTGTATTTTTAGTAGAGACGGGGTTTCACCATGTTGGTCAGGCTGGTTTCCAACTCCTGACTTTGTGATCTGCCCGCCTTAGCCTCCCAAAGTGCTGGGATTACAGGTGTGAGCCACCACGCCTGGCCTTCATTCCTTTTTATATACACTTAAAAGGCATGGAATAATCCTTTTTTCTGTGAGATGGGGCATTTGTTACAAATGCCTGGGCTTAGGACTTATCTGAAGGCCACAATCCAGGCATCTTCTCAGAATGCTGATCTACTCTTTTTATTTGGTCCAAGGTAATAAAAGCCTTTAGATATCCAATTTGTAAGTCTGTAACATGATTGGGAATTGGAGGCTGGATATTATCCTTTTTCACTCTTTTCAGTTTGTAGTAAACAAAAAGTGAAATGCAATGCCCAAAATACATAAACCAGAGAACAGAAATGCTAGAAAGCCCTTTAGGGAGCATCTGGTCCACCCCCTCATTTTCCAGATGAGGAACATAAGTCCCTGGGAGGTGAATTTCCACATATATAATAATCGTGTTTGACATTTACTTTTAAATTTAGCATGGAGATATGCCAAATGAGCCAAAAAGCTGAGAATATATGGCCAAAAAATTACATGTGTTTCCTCAGGAACTGCACTGAATCATAACATCAGTTTTCTTCTCAAGTCTCTAAAATCTGAGTCCCACTAAAAATGATCTCACACCTCAGAAGGGAATAAACCTGTGGGACTCTTAACCTCGTGTTATACAAACTGGCCAGATATTGGCACTCCTTATGTATCCTGGATCGCTTGATTCAACCACCAATCTTTGTTGAGCTCCGTCTCTGTTCAGGCGTGTTGACCACACTGCAGATATGAGGGTTTTGTCCTTCAGCCAGATCTGAATTCGAGTCTAGAGGCAGTCTATGTAACTGCAGTGAGATCCTCTGCACAGGAAGCTTATTAGCATGGATGACCAGAGACAAATCTAAACAATTTATTTTCCTTTGTTTTCCCCCATCCCATCATTCTCATATTCTCCACTTTTCCTCTTTTACCCTTCCTTTCTTTCTTCCTAATAAAAAAATAAATACATATTTGATGTAAAATAATCTGGAAAGAACAGTTAAGGACTGACAACATTATGTCTATAATTCCAAACTTTCACACTTTCATGTGTGGCACTTAAAATTTCATTAATTGGGAAAACAAGGCTGTTTGGGAATAATTCAGAACCTTGGATTCGATGTCATTAAACAGAACCTCCTCCACACGTTCCCAGGTCCCACGCTGAGAAAGAATCTTCGCATGGATAGTTGAGTCTAGGATGAGACATTGTAATGGTCATACTGAAAATACACTACATCAGGTTATGTTGAGATTGCACTTATGGTAGGGGAGATAGAAAGGTTTAAGGCCAAGTCACGGTTAAGCCCCTTGGGGCTTTGGGCCCTGACTGACAGGGTTAGAATCTCATCTCTATTACTTTAGACAGGTAGGTTACTAAACCCCACAGAGCCTCCTCTAATGAAGACAAAAATCCCTTCTCTGTAGTAAGATTGGAAGCATCCCATGGGATGGGCCTGCAGATCCGAGTGCAGAGCCAGGTACATAGTGTGTCCTCACTCTACATGAACCATTTTTGTACAGTGGCCTTTGGTGCAGTCTCATGGCAACCAGAACTGAAGGAAGAGTCAGGAAAGACTGGTTTCCTGCTCTGAATCATCCACATTTTCTGCTGGCAACTTCATGGCAGTTTATTTATGGAACCCTGGCTGGAATCAGGCACAGCCTGCCCACTGCCCCAGGCTTAGGAAGCCAGGGCAGCAGCTGCCTGGGGTGCAAAGACATCTCCGTGGGCTGCCCTGACCCAGTTGTCCCTTCCCTCACCCCTACATGCTGTCCAGATGAAATCCGGTGAAAATGAGTCAGGACACCAAGGAGCAGGGGGAATAGAGGGCCCAGAGGGACATTTGGCAGCCTGGGGAGAGGGTGGTATGGAGCCAGGAAAGGGACTCCCACCTCCATGGCTCTAGCAATAGAGCAAGAAAGGAAAACCAAGTCAGTCTGCTGGTTCCTATGACAGGAAAGGGGCCTCCCAAGTTAGAGCCCTCAGGAAATCAGCTTAGAAAATTAGGCACGGCTTAATTTGTTAAATTATTGGAAGGATAAAGATACCAGGCAAGGGTCTTCAGGTATCTTGGGAGAGGGGGTGGCCGGTGGCACACCCTCTGCAGAGAGAGATTCAAATAAACACGTTTCTTCTTCTGTTGTCTGTTTTTCAGTGGAAAGGAAAAACACATACATACCCTGCACTCCATAATAAGAGGTTTGGTCTGTGCCTCTCTGACTTCCTAAAAACAGCCACAGGGAGCAGACAGACTCCTTGGATTACTCTTTTTTTTTTTTTTTTTTTTTTTTTTTGAGGTGGAGTCTCACTCTGTCGCCCAGGCTAGAGTGCAGTGGCGTGATCTCGGCCCACTGCAACCTCTGCCTCCCAGGTGCAAGCGATTATCCTGCCTCAGCCTCCTGAGTAGCTGGGATTAAAGGCACCCACCAACATGCCTGGTTAATTTTTGTATTTTTAGTAGAGATAGGGTTTCGCCGTGTTGGCCAGTCTGGTCTCGAACTCCTGACCTCAGGCAATCTGCCCGCCTCGGCCTCCCAAAGTGCTGGGATTACAGGCATGAGCCACTGCACCCGGCCTCTGATTACTCTCGACCTTGGGAATTGACCCTTGGAAATGCATTCTACTTCAAGATCTGAGAAAATAAAACCCAACTCAACCCAACGATGGCTTGTGAAAGACAGTTTGTTTCTTCTGGGGACCCTATTTCTCTTCTCTAATCCATTGCCACTCCATAGTTAAGATAACTTTTATAAACACACACACACACACGCACCCCAGATCATCCCTCCTCCAGTGAAAACTCTTTACAGCTTCCTACTGTCCCTAGATTAAAATCCACACAACAAACTGTGGACAATAAGGTCTTAAATGATCCAGTGCTTGCCCACCTCTCAGACCTCATCCCATACCACTCCCTGGCTATTCATTACATTCCAACTACCCTGGCCTTGTTCTTCTTCCTGCCAGACTTGTTACCACTTAGGGCCTTTGTACCCGCTGTTTTCTGGGTTTGAAATGCTCTTCCCCCTGATTTTTGCATGGCTAACTTCTTCTTGCCTTTGGTATCCCACTTAAATGTCACCTTCTCAAGGAGGCCTTCCTGAACCACCCAATCTGCAGTGCCCACTCTGTCACTTACCGACACTTAACGTTATGTGGCATCTTTCTTGCATACTTGTTTGCTGATGATTGTCACTCCTACAAAACATAAGCTCTATGTTCACAGGGCCCTATTTGTCCTGTCCACCTCTGTATCCACAGAGTCTAGTGTATTGCCTATCACACAGCAGAGCTCAAACTGACAAGAAGAATGAAACTCTGCTGGAGGGCAGTGGTGTGATATTGGCTCACTGCAGCCTCTGCCTTCTGGGTTCAAGTGATACTCCTGCCTCAGTCTCCTGAGTAGCTAGGATTACAGGTGTGTGCCACAACACCCGGCTAATTTTTTATATTTTTGTAGAGACAGAGTTTCCCCATGTTGGCCTGGCTGGTCTTGAACTTCTGGCCTCAAGTGATCCGCCTGCCTCAGCTTCCCAAAATGCTGGGATTACAGGTGTATGCTACCATTCCCAGCCAAGAAGAATGAAATTTTTATCCTCCTGTTCTTCCCACCAACCCAACCATCTTTGATGACTTCATCTTCTACTTCAGTGACATTTGATCACTTCCCATCTTCCTTCTACACAGCACAGCGTAGCCATCCAGGTACAGCATAGTCATATTCCAGCCTTCATCATCATAATCTGGGGCTCTCATTCAACCATCTCCAGCTTGGAATTTCTCTGTTCTTCAAAACCCCCATCTTTTCCAAGCCTCCTTTACCCCACCTCCATGAAAGCAGACAATCCAATTGCTCCATTTTCCTCACATCTCCAAGCCATTAGCCTTCTCTTGACTTGATTCCCGGCACAGATTTTGGCATCATGGCTAAGAACACAGGGTTGTATCCACAGCAGTGATCAGAGTTTGAGGTCTCTTTGTAAGGGCTGAATGTAAGGCACAATGCTTGGCACAGTGTAAGTGTTCACTAAATGTTAGCCAATCTTACTACTACCACTATTATGATTTAGGTTTCTTCTTGCCTCTGCCTCCTACCCTTTCTTCTCCCTCTCCCCTTCCACTTGCATTTGGTTAGTTTTACTCTCCTTGGTTCACTTATATGAGGTGAAGCTGGGATCTCACCAGGTCTTCTTGGTGATGATACAGAGTTCTGATGCGTAAAACCAGTTCTGTGCAGGTTGGAGAAGAGCTGAGGAATTTCCACACTCCCTGGGAATCATACACACTAACCTCACTATAGTCCCAGGGCTCTGGCTGTCTGGTTTCTGCAGGTGGGCCTCTAAAGCTGTTGGTGGGGATAGAGGCTCCCCGAGCAGGGTGGGTTGGGATGATGTACACCTGTGTTTTCCCTTATTGGCTGCTCAAGAAGCCAGTGTTTACCTGTTTTCATCATCAACTCAGGGCTTACTATAATCCCTTCAATTTTTTAGTCATTCTTGTTCAAGGTCTCAAGCATCCGGAGAGGCAGTCCTTGGAAATGATTGTCATTCCTGGCCTGGTTCCCTGTAAGGAAGAAGAGTAAGGCGAACACAAACAGGAAGCTGCCTAGGTCTTTGGCTGTGGTTCTGTGACCAAGGCAAACTGAAATTGTGAGATCCTTTCCTTGCCTCGCCTCAGATATATCTCAGATCCCAATAGTGAAGAATTTTTAACTTGAAAAAGTCCAATTTTATTTTGAAATGATTAGTACCTATAATATACCAGATTCTCAAATTTTGTTAAGAGAATGTACAGATGAGTGAATAAAGGAACTCAGAAATGGATATGACTAGAGACCTTGCTACTACAAAGGACTGGCAAGTCCGGAGTAACCAGGGTCACTCTATAAAACTAACTAGTGATTTCCATAAACACTGTGAGCACACACTATGTGCAGACACTGTGCTAGATGCTGGGGGTTCAGGGGGAAGCAAGGCAGGCCCAGCCCTGCTCTCATAGTTTCAAGTCCAGCAGAGCATTCAGGCAAGGATGGTATAGGATGACAGGTGCTACGGCCAGTAGGCAAAATGCAGAGCAATCTCTCTGGAAGCACATGTGGGAGGCAACTAACCCAGACCCGGAGCACCAGGCTGGTGGAGGGCTTCTTGGGGCACAACGTGATGCCCCAGTTGAGGCTTGATGGATGAATGAGTCAGCCAGGTGGCAGGAGGGGAAGCGAGGTCAAGGGAAAGTATCTCAGTCAAAGCCAAGAGTGTGTGCAAAGGATAAAAGATGAGAGAGTGGGTGTTGCTCTGCTGGAACTCAGAAGCAGCCTGTTAGGGCTCCACGGCCAGAGGTTCTGGTTTCATTGGTCTTGGATAGAGCCCAGCCTTGGGTATGTTTTAAAAGCTTCCCAGGTGACTTTAATGTGCAGCCAGGTTGAGATGAGAGCCACTGGACCAGAACATAGATGAAAGGGAGGGAATGATGAAAAGTGAGGCTGGAGAAGTAAGCTTGGCACATTACGCTGGGCCTGGAAGGCCATGTCAAGGAGCTTGAGTTTTCTTCCCTAAGGACTGAAAAGCTATTTAAACATTTGAGCAAGGAAATCCGTGGCCTGATCAGACTTGCAAACTTCAGAACATCCCTGTTGTGGAACATGGATTGGTGGGGGGAGGGCTGGAGTAGGAGTGAGAAAACCAGTTGGAAGGCTCTTGCAATAATTCAGGTAAAAGATAATCACACCCTGAATTTAGCTAGTGGCAGCGGGGATGGAGAGAAGTAGATAAATTCCAGAGATATTGAGGAAGTACAATTGCTAAGGCTTGATGAAAGATGGGCTGTAGGAGGGAGATTTCAAGGGCCATCCCTTTGTTTAGATGACTGGGTGGATGAAGTGTCATTCACTAAGATAGAGATCACTGGAAAGAAAGTACCAGAAGGAGGGCAGAAGCTGGTTTGTGGATATGTGGATGAGGACATCCACCTGGAACCTGTTGAGTTAGAGGTGACAGTGGGACATCCAGGTAAGACAAGCGGTGGACAGATGATAGCTTAGACCAGAGATGAGACATCTAGATTCAGGATAGAGATGTAGAAGTCATCAGAAAAGGCTGGGAAAAAATGAGATCACTCAGGTGAGAGAGTGTGGACTGGGAAGAGGAAAATAGGTTCATAGAATCTCGTAAGTCGTTCACTTCCTCCAGGTAGACAGCCCTAAACCCATTAAAGGTAATTATGCTAAGTGGTGAAGTGACTTGTCCTAGCTAGTCCTCTTCAAGTATATGAGCTGGCTTACATTCAGCCAGTATGAACCCCTGCTGCTGGCCTACATTCAGCCTGTCGCTGTCAGTGCAATTGGATCAAGCTGATTTGCAATGAAAAGCAGCTGGCAGTTGTGTCGTGTACCTATGGAGCTTGGCTGCGGGAAGCAGTTCCAGATTCCGTGGCTCTGCTCAGAGGTTTCTAAATACAGTGGTAGTTACGTGTTAGACATATGAGGCATTTTAAAGAAAGCAGGTCTGAATCATCTGAGAATAAGAATATTCAGCAAGTAGCTCAATGCAAAGGTCCTGGGAAAAATTTACTGTGGAGAGGGAAGGATGGGTAGGCAGCTAGTAATGCTTTTATTCTAGGCTCTGTGCAATGGTGATTCTATTTTTGGTTTTTGGTCTGCATAGATCTAAGTTCCCAGTTATGCCCTCAGATGCCAGAATCAACCTCTGTTGTATTGCAAATAAAGACGACAAAGTGCTTTTACGTTATGTTTCATTTACTCCTAACAACAAGCCTATAAAGTAAATAAGGCAGATGTTAGCCCCATTTTAAAGATGAGGAAACCAAGATTCAAGCTAATTAGCTGGCCCCAAATTGCAAAAATATATATATAAATGTGCTAAGGATCTAATCCAGTTTCACAATCCAAATCTACTCCAACTTCCCAACTGTGGCGTTTACCTCTTTAAAAAGGGGCTTTCTCTTTTTAACCCACTCTAGAGAAAGCTTCAGAAGGGGAGAGGAGGCTGGGCGCAGTAGCTCAGGCCTGTAATCCCAGCACTTTGGGAGGCTGAGGTGGGTGGATCATGAGGTCAGGAGTTCAAGACCAGCCTGGCCAACATGGTGAAACCCCCTCTCTACTAAAAATACAAAAATTAGCTGGGCATGGTGGTGTGTGCCTGTAATCCCAGCTACTGAGGAGTCTGAGGCAGGAGAATCGCTTGAACCCAGGAGGCGGAGGTTGCAATGAGCCACTGCATTCTCACCTGGGTGACACAGTGAGACTCCGTCTCCAAAAAAAAAAAAAAAAAAGTGGGGGTGCGGGATGGGAAGATTTGGAGAGAAGCTTAGCTTAGCAGACACCTTCTGTTATTACTGTGTTTGTGACTTTTTCTTTTGCACTAAATCTTACCCCAGCACAAATTACACAGGCCTACTACCAAAAAGATTGAAGAAAGTTGTCTGGGCCAGGCATGGTAGCTCACGTTTGTAATCTCAGCACTTTGGGAGGCCAAGATAGGAAAACAGCTTAAGCCCAGGAGTTTGAGATCAGCCTGAGCAGTATAGAAAGGTCCTGTCTCTACCAAAAAAAAAAAAAAGGAAAGTTGTTCAGATGTTCAGAGTGGGTTGATGGGTTAGGGAACCCACTTCTAAAAGAATTATAGACCCACAGGACTGAAAAAGACCAATGGGTAATTTACTTTAATCCCTGTCTTGCAGATGGGAGAAAGTGAGGGCGTAAAAAGAATGTAACTCATGCATGCTCATATAGCCAACTGTGGCGAAACAGAGACCAGAACCCTCACCTGCTGATGTATGCCCAGAAGACAAAGTGAAGATGAGCTCAGTCTCAGAGCACTGAGACAAACAAAGTGAAAAATATGTGGGGGAATAAAGAGCTGACCTAAAAGAAACATAAACACTCTGCTACACATTCCTCTTGTCTTTGGCACACATCTTCATGGGACTCTGATTGAGAAAGTTAATTAGAAAAATTATTATGGTACTCTCTTTCTCTTGTCATTTATTTAAGTCATAGGAGGAAGTAGGTGGAAGTGCCTAGAAGGTAGAGTGGGTGGAACTGGGAAATTGCTCTGTAAGATTTAGTTGGTGACAATGGGATTGTTGGTTCCACCAGTTTATTATTCACTAGTCACTAGAATTATCCATAATAATAGCTTGCATTTGTATAGGATATTCTAACTTATAAAAGGCTTTTATGACATTGTCTCATTTGATCTCACTGACAACCTTGTAAGCTAGACAAGGCAGGTATAATTATCCCACTTTATGAATGAGAAAACTGAGACTTAGAGAAGTTCAACGACTTGCACACTCAGTCATTAAACTAGAGTCTGAACAAGAAACCAGGTGTTCTTACTTAGAAAGCTTCAACTTTACCAAGGTCATATGGCTAAGCAGGACTTGAATCCCAGTGAGGCCATCTCCAGAGCCTATGCTCTTAACCACCGTGTTCTGCTAGTCATTTAACAGACATTTGTTGAGTGTGTCTTATTTACTTAGTTCCTTGCTCTTTATAAATACAATCCAGGTGCTCTCGCTAAGGCAGGTATTCATTAATGAAGGCATGTTTGGTAAATGCTTCTAGTACCTTCTCCCATGCCTCAGCAACTCATTTGACCGCAGAAGCAAACACAAGCTGTGGCCTAATCCCAGAGTCCCCACAAGCAGTAATTGCAGAGAAGTTGAGCCAAGAGGAGACTGACTCGCAGCCCAAAGCTACCCGCTCAGGTCCCCTGAGCCTGCAGGCTTTGGGCTAATGGGAAGCGGGTGTGGTCCATTTACAGCCTGGATCCAATAGGAAGTGAGGAGGCTAGATGAAAACTTTTTTTCACAAGAGTTGCTGTGTTGTCCTCCCCGTTACCCTGTTGGCATTTTTTCTTAAAACCCAGTAGCAGCTGTTGGCTAGTTTTGAAAATTGTCCAACCTTAGTAGAGCCTGTCCCCAAGCACGCAGGGCCTCCTTGGGGCTGGACCCTGGGGCCAGGCAGCTTGCCCAGGCAGCTCCATAAATAGCACCTGTGATACGTGCAAAAAGAGGTGAATCAGGGAGGGCTGCTGGTACTCCTCAGTGATGGTAAGCCAGTGAGTCTCAACAGCGAGTCTCGGATAAAGGCAGTTCCTATTACACATGTCTAACACTGAGGATCTAAAAATCAGTTCATATTAGGAATGGTTTAAGACTTTCTTTTTTCCTCATTCCTTCACTCCTCTTTCTCCCAGCCCTCTAGTAACATGCCTTTTCCATCATGTCTGTCAGATGATATTGTATAAGAATCCAGACTGAGTTTTTCTGACTATTTATAGAAGACAGTTGTGCTGCGTTAGCCACTACAGGAACTAAAGTTTGGTTCTGGGTTATGTGACATGAGAAAAACTTACAGAAATGTGTTTGTTCTCAAATGTGCCTATCCCATCCTTGTCCTATCACATCAAACAGGCCTGTTGGAATAACACATTGCTCTACTATGTCCTTTTATAATTAAATTTTTTTCTGATTTTCAAAGCATGTTTATACTAGTTAAAAGTTTCAAAGACTATAATGTATATAGTCTTTTACATTTTGGGGTTTGTTTGTTTGTTTGTTTTGAGATGGTGTCTCACTCTGTTGCCCAGGCTGGAGTGCAGTGGCGCGATCTCGGCTCACTGAAACCTCCACCTCCCGGGTTCAAGCAATTCTCATGCCTCAGCCTCCCAAGTAGCTGGAATAACAGACACACGCCACCATGCCTGGCTAATCTGTGTATTTTTAGTAGAGATTGGGTTTCACCATGTTGGCCAGGCAGGTCTCGAACTCAAGTGATCCACCCACCTTGGCCTCCCAAAGTTCTGGGATTATAGGCATGAGCCACCATGCTGGCCTATCTTTTACATTTTTAGCTATATAATGTACAGCTTGTTAATCTTTCACCCAGAGGTAACAACTGCTAATAGTCAATGTGTTTTTTAGTTTAGGGGCTCCTGAACTGATGGGAAAGGTAAAGAGCACTGACAGTGGTTATAGAAAGGAGGTGGCAAATGCAAACATGTTTCTAAATAGAACCAATGGGATGTTAGGGGAAGAGGAAGGTGAAGAAAATTAGCCCCAATCTTTTAGCCTGGGCGACTGGGAAGGTGTCTTGTGAAATAACCCAGAGGCCACATGCCAAAAGATAGAACTAGGAAAGATATCTAGTCTGTTAGGCTTGCTGGTCATTTTGTATCAATTATTATCATCCAGGAGTCACAATTACAAATGATTAAAAGCCTACAGCTGGCCTCACAGATATGCTGTTTAATATTTCAAACTCAGACCACTTCAGCATCCCAACAGGATTTAGAAGCTGAGACGCAAGGGGAAAGTTCAAACGTAGAAGTGACTGACTCATCTATTGGAGGAGATGAAAGTTTTCAATCATCGCCTCCAATCAGCTGCTTGGAACATTTTAGCTCTGGAGTCCACATTTTCTATGAAGTCACCCATCACCATCTCAAGGTTTAAACACTCTTTAATAAATTCAAAATCAGCTTCAAGAAAATGCTCAGAGCTCTAATTTAAGCCAAATGTACACCTTAAAGCTAAAGTAAGAGGTAGACTGTTTCTAAGTTAGAAATGTGACTTTGTCAGTCTACGTGGGTGCTACATCATCTAATAATGACAGCAGACCACGAGTCAAACTTTTTGATCCCATCACTCTTGCCACTATTTAATGTTGCTGACACTCATTTTGTGGTGTGTATAACCAGGAAAATTCTAGTTTTAGGGCCTGACAAACAGGTCCCACTAGTCTTTCCTTTTCTTAATGTACAATCCTGGCAGGTAGCACACACTATTAAGTAGACTATAATAATGCTGGTTGCTATGCACCTTGAGTGAGGCTGGTGAGGTTAAGTCAGCCATGGGTCCTGCTGACTTCACAGTGGGAGGGTAATTGCCGCTGACTCGCAGCCCTGGCTCCCCCAGGCTTTGAGTCCCTCTGGTGAGGTTTTTGATGGGGGTGATGATTGCTGTATCTGTACTTGCCTTGCTTTTTAATTATCAAAAAAGAAAAATAAAAGCGCAGAGATAATGTTATTGTTGCTGCTACATGGTTCTTTACTTCATTTAGTTTGTCATTTTAGGTTTTTAACATTGTCTTTACTAAAGCTCAAATTTTCTCACCATAGCTCCAAGGAGTAGAATGAGGATCAACGAGAAAAAAAGGAAATGGCAAGTTTTAGCATTTCTAAAGGCACCAGCCAAAGACTGAAAGTAATCTCATGAATACTGAGTTCTCTCTTTCTAACAGGAGTCAGGTATAAGCAGTGTGACCTATTGTTAGGATGTGGTCATCTGAATAGAGAGGCCTGGGATAAAGTCATATGTTACTTAGGCAAGGCAAACTGGCTGACCATCTAGCAAGTTTACCAAAGGGTGGCATCACTTGAACATAGTCACCAGATTTCTTGGAAGGGTTATCCTCTTTGTGGGCTCACACATTAAATTACAAGTACACTAAGAGACAAAAAACACTAAGATACTAATTTACCAAACTCACGAGAGACACGTGTATAAAAACAAGAGAGCCATTTACTTACTCCCATTGAGAAATATAACTACGTAGGATATTGGATATATCAGCCAATTGACTGCATTATCAATTGTGAAGGAAAAGAATGAGATGTAAACACATCTACAGAATCTTGGAAATACATTGTCAAGACTGTGTATAGTTAGGGATTTTATTGTACTTTAGGAATAAAATCAGCCTTATGTAAGACTATTGACAGATTTTCTCATGCTGGCATTTAGAAACGTGTTTTCAACTTTTGACTATACCTATGTTTCCAAAAATATATTTGCCTTTATGTGTTTAGTAGAAATGCTTGTTTTGGGGGATTCACAGCTTCTCTCTTAGTTCACCTCCTCAGTTACTAAACTTAGTCTTACATTTTGATTCATACTAATGCTCTTCTCAGAGGATTTTGAGTCCATTCTTTGTTTGTTTGTTAGGTTTTGGTTTTGTCTTTGAGATAGGGTCTTGTTCTGTCCCCCAGGCTGGAGTGCAGTGGTATGATCATGGCTCACTGCAGCCTTGACCCCCTGGGCTCAAGCAATCCTCCTGCCTCTCAGCCTCTCGAGTAGCTGGGACTACAGGTGTGCACTACCATACCTGGCTAATTTTTTATTTTTTGTAGAGAGAGGGTCTCACTATGTTGCCCACACTGGTCTCGTACTCCTCCAGGCCCACCTCAGCCTCCCAAAGTGCTGGGATTACAGGCATGAACCTACTGCACCTGGCCAAGTTGAGTTGGTTCTGAGAAAAACTTATAGCTCAACCCCATGTTAACTATAGGGTATTTAGGTTTTAAGTGGGAAGCCACACTAGATGACCTTTATTGTCCTTCTGAATTGAGGTTTTATGGTTCTATGAATAGAGCAGGGGAAAGAGAGATGCATGGGAAAAGTTGGAGAGTTGAGGCAGGGGAATAAGAGGAGGCCAGAGGCCAGATCTGATTTAATTAACTAAAGAAGTTATCTTTACCAAACTGGACAGAGATATGGAATTGTGTATGTTGAATTTTCTCTACTTTCATTGTTTATTGGCAAATGCTACTTTTGGCAGCTATATATCCAGGGAGGCTCTTCTGTGAGACAAACTAGGCAGTTGCTCAGAATTGTGCCTGTGCAGTGGCCCCCATTGTGTAACGGCCCAGGTACCTTGCATAAGATCACTAAAAACACTTCCCAACTCCATGCAGGAACTGGTTTGGCCTCAATTCCATTTAGCTAAGTAGCTTGTTCTGTCCAGTAATTCATTTATTCAAATAACTTTTACTGAGCACTGAGCCAGATGCTAGCATAGAAAAATAAGGAAGATTGTTTCCACCCACAATCTAAGGAAGAAGAAAGATGCACAAATAATGGTTTTAAAATAGAAAGTTTAGTGTTTTGCAAAAGGAACATGAAAAATGCTGGGGGATTCAGAGGACAGAGATATACCTCCAAGTACTGCTTTAGTTGTATCCTGCAAAGTTTGATATGTTGCACTTTCATTTATTTCAATGAATTTTTTAAAAGTTCTCTTAAGACTTCCTTTTTGACCCAGGAATATTTATATGGATGTAGTTTTGCTTTCAAGTGTTTGGAGATGTTTCTGTTATCTTTTTGTTATTCTACTTATATTTCATTGTGATTAGATAACACATTTTGTATGTTTTCATTTCTTTTAAATTTGTCAAAGTTTTATGGCCCAACGGATCACGAGGTCGGGAGATCGAGACCATCCTGGCTAACACGGTGAAACCCTGTCTCTACTAAAAATACAAAAAATTAGCCAGGCACGGTGGCGGGTGCCTGTAGTCCCAGCTACTCAGGAGACTGAGGCAGGAGAATGGCGTGAACCCAGGAGGTGGAGCTTGCAGTGAGCCGAGATCGCACCATTGCACTCCAGCCTGGGAGACAGCGAGACTCCAGCCCAAAAAAAAAAAAAAAAAAAAAAAAAAAAGTCTTATGGCCCAGGATGTCGCCTATCTGTATATATGATCCATGGACAATTGAAAAGTTTGTTTACTCTGTTGTTATGGGGTGGGACAGTCTATAAACATCAGTTAGAGCCTGTTGATAGATGATATTGTTGAGTCCTTGTTAATTTTTTGTCTACTTATTATATTGGTTGTTGAAAGAGGTGTACTGAAGTCTCCAATTATAATTGCTAATTTGTCTATTTCTCTTCTCAATTTTGTCAGTTTTTGCTTCACATATCTTATAGCCCCGTTGTTTGGTGCACACACATTTAGGATTGTTATGTCTTCTTGATGTAATCCTCTTGGTATAGTGTTCCTTTTATCATTATACATTATCCCTCTCTCTCTCTCCCTCTCTCTTTAATAACTTTTTTTGTGCTGCAGTCTACTTTATCTGATATTATTATGGCCCACTCTTTCTTTGGATTAATATTTACATGATAACATTTTTTCTATCTTTTTACTTTCAACCTGTCTCTGTCATTATATTTGAAGTAAGTTTTGTTTTTGTTTTGTGCTAACATGCTCAGCTAATTTGTTTTGTTGTTGCTGTTGTTGTTGTTTTTCTTTTTTGGTAGAGATGAGGTCTCACTATGTTGCCCAGGTTTGAAGTAAGTTGTTTATAGACAACACTTAGTTGAATCACGATTTTTAATTCAGTTTTCCACTCTCTGTTATTTGATTGGTGTATGTAGATCATTTACACTTAACGTAATCAGTAACATGTTAGGTCTTAAGTTTGTCATTTTATCTTTGTTTTCTGTTTGTTCTGTCTGTTGTCATTTCTGTTTTCTCTGTTTTCTTTTTTATACCTTCCCATGAGCTACTTGAACATTTTTGATAATTCCATTTTGATTAATCTATAGTGCTTTTGAGTATGTCTCTTTGTATAAGCTTTTTAGCGCTTGCTTTTGGTAGCAATATTAAATACACATAACATATCTACTGGCATCATCTTTTTACTAGTTTGAATGATATAAGTGATTGAATCAGGTGAAGTTCTTTCCAAAGTCTTTAGTATTTAACAATAACACGTCACTTGAGAAGGTCTTGATGTCATAGAGGCCCAGATTTCTAACCTTCCTCAGGTCTTCAGAGGTGGCTGTCTATGAAATCCAGGCTGTCAACTCCATAGGAAAAGGAAATGTACTGAAATGTTCACCTAAAAAGCTATCAGTTATCCATGCTGGTGAGCAAAGGGAAGACTAAATAATTAAAATTCAAATGGAGCTTCCCAAATTCCAAATGTTAGCTGCATATGCCAATTTGTTAAAGTTTTAAGAGGAAGGCTTAAAAATAGCAAAATTGAATTACTCAAAAATTTCACCTGATTATTTTATTCTCTTGCTAACTTTTTTTTTTTTTTTTTTAGACAGAGTCTTGCTCTGTTGCCCAGGCTGGAGTGCAACGGTGTGATCTCGGCTCACTGCAACACCTCCTGGGTTCAAGCAATCCTCCACCTCAGCCTCCCGAGTAGCTGGGATTACAGGCACCCACCACCACGCCCTGCTAATTTTTGTATTTTTAGTAGAGATGGGGTTTCACCATCTTGACCAGGCTGGTCTTGAGCTCCTGACCTCGTGATCCACCCGCCTCAGCCTCCCAAAGTGCTGGGATTACAGGACTGAGCCACCATGCTCAGCCTCTTGCTAACATTTTATGTAAAAAATGAAATGGATCATAAACGACTCACACTGTACTTTGAGTAAAGCTGTATGAATTGGCTATTTGGACTTTTGGAAGATGTTGAAACTTAAATGTCAGAGAGCTGTAAGGTTGAATCTCAGCTTTGCCACTTGCTGTCTATGTGACATTAGATAAATTACTTAACTTTTTGGATACCTTGTTTCCTAATTTGCAAAGGTTAATCACTTTTCCTGCATATAAATTATGAAAAAAGCCTAGCCGAGAGAAGGTGATCAGCAAAAATGAGTTCCCTTGCTATGCTCCTGTTGACTTTTCACAGAGAAAAAGCAAATATCTCTGTTTCCCAACTCCATGCAGGAATTGGTTTCAGTGTATGTGTATTTCCAAACTAGACCTCTCTCACCAACCAAGGTTTGTATTTATTTATAGCATCTTGATGCATAGGCACGAGGTGGCTATCAGAGAGCAGAAAGGTATGCTAAATAGTTAATATTTTTGTAGCAGTAGAGAAGGCCCTTCTTGGCCAGGCGTGGTGGCTTATGCCTGTAATCCCAGCACTTTGGGAGGCTGAGGTGGGCAGATTACTTGAGCCTAGGAGTTCGAGACCAGCCTAGGCAACATGGTGAAATCCCGTCTCTATCTTAAAAAACAATTTTTTTTAATTAAAAAAATAAGGAAGGCCCGTCTTAAAGAGCTTTTTTTTTTAATTTTTTCATTTTTTTTAAATTTATTTTTGAGATGGAGTCTCGCTCTGTTGCCCAGGCTGGAGTGCAGTGGTGTGATCTCAGCTCACTGCAAGCTCCGCCTCCTGGGTTCATGCCATTCTCCTGCCTCAGCCTCCCGAGTAGCTGGGACTACAGGTGCCCACCACCACGCCCACCTAATTTTTTTGTATTTTTAGTAGAGATGGGGTTTCACCGTGTTAGCCAGAATGGTCTCGATCTCCTGACTTCGTGATCTGCCCGTCTCGGCCTCCCAAAGTGCTGGGATTACAGGCGTGAGCCGCTGTGCCTGGCCCAAGAGCTTCTTTTTTTTAAAACCAGCATTTACTGATCACTGACTATGCGATAAGCAGGGAGTGGGCACTTTGACATCTGACATCATGGGTGTCTTTTCTTGCATCCCTCTTGTCATCTCTGAGATCCAGAAAGACAAAGAGGCAGGCAGAAAAGGAGATGACCTGAAAATTAAAGTCTGGGATCCAGACTGAAGCTGCTTAGGTAATTGTTTGACCTTGAAGGAGTTACTTAGCTTCTTTACACCGCAGTTTCCTCATTTAGAAAATGAGGCTAGACCTGTCTTTGAGCAAGTTGTAAGGGAGAATTAGGTCATGTCCATAAAATACTTGAGGTCTTTGGAAGAAAAGCATTTACAAACATATAAATGGCATAATTAATGTCATCATCACCATTATTATTGTTGATGATGGGGAATAGTTCAATGCACATGCCAACTTCAGAGTTGGGAATATTTGTTACAGAGAATGTGAACCTAAAGACTACTATGGATCATCTTTTTCCCACTCCATTTTCTACTGGATTAAAACATCCCACTGTCACAGAAGTATTCTTGTTCATAGAATTGGTGTTTTATAGCTGGCAACAAAATATGTGCCTACAAAGTCTCCTGACCCATCACCCTTCTTTTTCAAAATGATTCAGAGTCCCTTAGGAGTATCTTAGATGGAACCAGAAAGATTTTCACCTACTTAAAGCCTTATCTGTAATGCCATACTTTCTATGTTAATATTAACAACTAACACTGATAGAGCACCCAGTGCATTCCAGGTACTGTGCTAAGAATTCACCTGTGTTATCTCATTTAAATCTCATAACAACCTGATACACTCTTCACTCTCTCACTTTCGTTAGTCTCTACTCAAAGGGGAGGCTTTTCAGATCACTCTATATAAAAAAGTAACCTACCCCCTCACTTCCTTTCCTTTTTCCTGGCTTCCCCCCTCCCCCCATAGCAATAGTCACCATCTGACATATTTACATTTCTTGGCTTATTCTCTGTCTCTTCCATTGAAATGCGAGGTCTATACAGGTAGAATTTTGTTTGGTTAACTGGCTATCCCCATCATATAACACAGTGCCTGGCATATACTGGGTGCTCAAAAAATACATATATTTGTGAGTGAATTATTGGCCCTGTGAATTAGGTGTGATTATACCATTTATTGATGATCAAAAAGAGGCTTCAAGATGTGCCCATGGTCACTCGATAAGTGGCAAAGCCGGGAATGGAACATTTCTGATTATGGCCTGATCACCAACCACTGATCTCATGCCCCACTTCCTTCAGGGAAGAACACAAAGGTAATAATTTATTGCTGTGGGATGTTTCCATCAGAAGAGTCATGAAAGCAATAGAAATGAAATAAAGGCAAGTGTTGTGTCTAAAGCATCAGATAAACTGGAGGAAATAATTAGATTCTAGTAAGTGGCACTTTTCTCTCCTTCTAACATCTTTCACATCTAGAAAAGGTATCTCAGTCAATTTTCTTTTGAGGTTTAGCTAAGAAGACCTGTAATTTCAATTGCCTCAGGTGTCTCCCCTCTCTTGTCTAACTTCCATAACCTCTTCATCAGTTTGCTGGTGCCACAAGTTCCTATACGGAGAAAGAGGGAAATCACATTTATTATTTAATACACATCTCCACTGCATTAGGCATGCTACATTCTTTATCTGTACTACTCATTGATTTACTAGCAGCAGCTATTTTAAATTTTATAAATGAGAAAACAAAGTCTCAAAGAGATTAAATGTCTATTCCAAGGTGTCTCAGCCTGACTTCAAACCTCATGCTCTTTACCCGTGTAGATTACAGAAGACAGTAAAAGAGACTACTGGATTTGCCTATTGGGTAAACCCACTGGGATTTTCCTACTGGGATTCTGTTTCTTCTGCTAGGATATTGCTGACAAATGCCAGATCTTAAATATGATGATAGTCAAGATTGCAGGATTGCAACACCAGAGCAAAATGACAAGATTACTATCACCGTACATGAGTGAGCTATGTCACCACCATCTTCCACAACTTGTCCTCAGATGCTCTCATACATACAAAAAGAGCAGGGTCCAGGACTGGGCATTCTCTATTCCTGAGGCTTTATTCTCTCCAGGTAGAGAGCCTATGCTTAGAGAAGAAGGTCTTGATTAAAATAAGTTATCCTAGGACTATAGCAGAGTTGGGCCCTGAGAAAATGAATCTGACTCTGGAAAACAAAAGGGCAGGAGTATTGAGAGAAGGCAGCCTAAGACAGGAAAGGTGGTTAGGCTCCCCGGGAAGGACAGGAATTAGACCTGACACTTCCTCCTAATTCTCCACCTTCTTCCCCAACTCCTTTCCTAATTCCTCCCACCCACACCCCCTCTACCACTACACATATTCACTTTCTGTCCACCCTCCACCTACTTCCCACTCTCTCTACCCTGCCCCGCCATCCTGCATTCTTAAAGGACTCCCTCTAACAGAAACAGGCTTAGAGAGAAATACAAATACTTAATCAAGATAAGAAAAGCTGCCAAACCTCTCTGGAAACCTAGGAAATGGAGATTTAAAACAAAGCTAACAAACCTTAGAAGAGTTTTTAAACAGGGAAGGGATGTGGTCAGAACATTTTTTAAAATACACCTTTGTTCAACTTTAGATTTTAATGCAGCATATAATTCCTTGAATACATTTCAAAAAATGAATGATTCCATTTCATGTTTAAAAAAAATACACCAACAAATACACTGATGTTTTGGTATTTAAAAATACTGTGGTATTCTTGTATATGGAAAACTAGTTTTGCAATTACTTGTTATCTTTCTTCTTCCATATCTGAAGAACTTCTCTTAAACTTCTCTTACCTTGGGACTTATAGGACAAGCAAAGAAACAAAATGGTCACTAATGAAGAAGCAAACGACAGCACACACTCTAACAAGATCAATTTACACTTCATAAATATTAATTGAAATATGACGGTTGAGTATCCCTTGTCTGAAATGCTTGAGACCAGAAGAAGTGTTTTGGATTTCTGGTATTTTCAGATTTTGGAATATTTGGATATACACAATGAGGTATTTGGGAGATGGGACCCAAGTCTAAACATAAAATACATTTATTTATTTATTTATTTATTTATTTATTTTGAGACGGAGTTTTGCATTTTCACCCAGGCTGGAGTGCAGTGGCGCTCTCGGTTCGCTGCAACCTCCGCCTTCTGGTTTCAAGCGATTCTCCTGCCTCAGTCTCCGGAGTAGCTGGGATTACAGGCGTCCACTACCACGGCTGGTGAATTTTTGTATTTTTAGTAGAGACTGGGTTTCACCATGTTGGCTAGGCTGGTCTCGAACTCCTGACCTTATGATCCACCTGCCTCTGCCTCCCAAAGTGCTGGGATTACAGGTGTGAGCCACCGCACCTGGCCTGAAGTTTATTTATATTTCATATATACCTTATACATATTGCCTGAAGGTAATTTCATACAATATTTTTAATAATTTTGTATGAGACAAAGTTTGTGTATATTGAACCATCAGAAAGCAAAGGTGTCACTGTATCAGCTACCACATGGCATTATGTGCCTAATGAATCCTGTGGGATCCTAGTGATAAATTCTTCCTCTTTAGTAATTCCTCTTTAGTAATTCAGCACTCAAAAAGTTTCAGATTTTGGGACCCTTTAGATTTTGGATTTTCAAATTAGAAATGCTTAACCTGTGTGTAGATGTGCATGATTTTTTTTATTTTTTTTATTTTTTTAGTTTTTTCTTGAGATGGAGTCTCACTCTGTCACCCAGGCTGGAGTGCAGTGGTGCTATCTTGGCTCAATGCAACCTCTGCCTCCTGGGTCCAAGCGATTCTCCTGCCTCAGCCTCCCAAGCACCTGGGATTACAGGCACAAGCCATCATGCCCTGTTAATTTTTGTATTTTTAGTAGAGACTGGGTTTCGCCATGTTGGCCAGGCTAGTATCAAACTCCTGATCTTAGGTGATCCACCTGCCTTGGCCTCCCAAAGTGCTGGGATTACAGGCATGTGCCACTGCACCTGGCCTCATAAATGTTATTTAATAGAAAGCATACATTTAGAGTGGTACTAGGGTTAACTGCATAACTCAGAAATCTTTGAAAAGTTTTAAAAATTGAAAGTTGGTGGTTTTTTGTTTCATTTTGTTTTGTAACTCATTCTGTGGCAAGACCTAACATAACCTGAATTCATTTAGTAGCAAAACCTGAACTGAGCTCACGTGTCATGTGGCTATATATATTCTTTATTCACCACTTACTATGAGTATTCTAAATTTCACTGCAGAAATTACATTTGATTATGATTACAAGTCTGCTTTATTGGAGTGTTACATAATATACTTTACATGCACATATTAACTTTCCTAAATCTGAAAAATTCTTAATTCTGATAAACTCTGTCTCCAAAGGTTTTAGATAAGGAATTGAGGATCACCTTTCTCTCACCTCAGGTATTAACAGCTGCTTAAAATGTCAAAGATAGAAACTATCTTACAGCAGTAAGTCCAACATTGTCCCCTGTTTAAAGGGAGAAAACTAATGTCAATAGAGAAGGAACATACACAAATGGTTACTCATAAGGCTGGGGCCAGCATCCCCATGTCACATATCTGATTCTGGAGAAACTCAGCCAGGGAGTAGCACCTGTGGTGTCTTGACCTAAATCATCTATTTTCACTGTCATGATTCTGAGCCTGGCTTTCCCCTACCTTGTCTTAGAGGCTGAGAGAAGCCCAGGCCATGTATGGGTTTTGAAAATCTTGGTGGCCGGGCACGGTGGCTCATGGCTATAATCCCAGCACTTTGGGAGGCCAAGGCAGATGGATCAGTTGAGGTCAGGAGTTCGAGACCAGCCTGGGCAACGTGGTGAAACCCCATCTTTACTGAAAATACAAAAATTATCCAGGCGTGGTGGAGCATGCCTGTACTCCCAGCTACTCAGGAGGCCGAAGCAGGAGAATCGCTTGAACCCAGGAGGTGGAGGTTGCAGGGAGCCGAGATCACACCACTGCACTCCAGCCTGGGTGACAGAGTGAGACTCTGGCTTAAAAAAAGAGAAAGAAAAAGAAAATGTTAATTGATAACACATTACAGTGGTGGGGTCCAGTAATGAAACACAAGTTTAAAATTGCATAATGAACATGATTTTCTTTCAATTCTGTAAGTATATCACTAGGACAAATATATAATCTCATTTGAAAATAACATCAAAAAAAACCAAGAATTACCCCCTTTGACTGCCATGGGATGCATGCAGATGGCTGAGAGTTTGTGTTTTATAAAGTGGGAGAAGGGATTGTATAAGGGAAAGTGGAGACTGAGAATCCCTATCACCTCATTTATCAGTGAGTTCTTAGTTAAAATAATTTTAGCAAAGAATACAAATGGAGCACACAAACTGGAATTAGATTCCCTAAAGTCATCCATGCCTAAGAGCCCTTGGAAAGTCCGTAAGTGGGCGGGCACAGTGGTTCATGCCTGTAATCCCAGAACTTTGGGAAGCCAAAGTGGGCAGATCATTTGAGACCAAGAGTATGAGACCAGCCTGACCAACATGGCGAAACCCCATCTCTACCGAAAATCCAAAAATTAGCTGGGCATGGTGTGCATGCCTGTAATCCCAGCTACTCAGGAGGCTGAGGCAGGAGAATCGCTTGAACCCCGGGAGGAAGAGGTTGCAGTGAGCTGAGATCTTGCCACAGCACTCCAGCCTGGGTGGCAGAGTGAGACTCCAGCTCAAAAAAAAGTCCATAGGTATTCTCAAGATATCTGTACTTTATTTTTAAGACTCACTAAGTGATGTGTTAGCTTTTTTCTCCAGAATATTTGCCTCCCCAATATATGGACTATGATCCTTTTGTTTACCGTTTATGGTTTCACAATGTTACCCTTAAATCTCCTATGGTGCCTACACATTATCTTTGCACATAAGAGGTTCTCTGCAAATATTAGTTGCAGTGGAAGAATCCATTGTATCACTTTAGGTGAGAAAAGACAAAAGGGCTGGGCGCAGAGGCTCATGCCTGTAATCCCAACATTTTGGGAAGCTGAGGCAGGTGGATCACCTGAGGTCAGGAATTTGAGACCAGCCTGACCAACATGGCCAAACCCCATCTCTACTAAAAATACAAAATTAGCCGGGCATGGTGGCACATGCCTGTAATTCCAGCTACTTGGGAGGCTGAGGCAGGAGAGTCGCTTGAACCCAGGAGGTGGAGGTTGCAGTGAGCCGAGATCACGCCATTGCACTCCAGCCCAGGCAACAAGAGCGAAACTCCATCTCAAAAAAAAAAACAGAAAGAAAGAAAGAAAGAAAGAAAGAAAGAAAGAAAGAAAGAAAGAAAGAAAGAAAGAAAGAAAGAAAGAAAGAAAACACAATTAAAGATAGCAAGCATTGTGTACCATAAGGAAAAAAACAAGTGTACATGGGAGGGCTTTGGATGGGAAGCCCAGGCCACAGGGCTCTCCTGACAGTCCTGTGTCAAGCCTCCTGGCTATCCCTGGATTGTTCGCTTTCCTGTTTTAATGCTGATCTGCCAACTGCACAGAACTCTCACTTTCTGAGGGTACCAGGTTTGGTCCTTCAAGCATGGGCTTCCCCTATATGACATATTTCTGTTGCTGAATTCATATTATTCTTATGTTTTGGGTCTGGACATAATAATAATAAATCAGACCCACATATATCAGGAGCCAGGATTCTCCCTCCAGTGAAAATCCTTCCAAAGGCTCTGTGGCTCTTCTCTGCCCTCAAGATCAGGCTGTTAGGACCTCAGTGCCCAGAGTCTATTGAAAAAAAAAGGCTATCTCCTGTGCCAAGTGCTGCCCGGAAGACTCTCCTCTTACTCAAAAACCTTTTCCTCTGGTTATTTCCTGCCTTTCACTGTAATTGTCTCCCTGGCAGAGAAACCACCTGCCCTAATTCTCTGGGGGCTGAACATAGCCAACTGACCTCAGGTTTTCCATTTAACTACTTCATGCCTACCCTATATGATCTGTGGTAGAGAGAGGTTATGTAACTTGCCCAAGTTCTTACCCCTAGCAAATAGCAAAGCAATGACATCAAAATCCATACTCTAGTCCATTATGCTGGATAGACCAGGTAGTATACTTCTTCTGACTCTTACAAAGCATTGGCAACTGACTGTTGAATCAATTACAAATCACCTAACTTTACTATCCTGTGACCTATATCTCTCTCCTTTTCTCAAGGAATTCATGAAATGCTATGCTAAATGCCATTAATTCTTTATGAAATGTGCGGTGACTCCATCAAAGAAAAAAATACGTTTAATTTGTGGAGCAAGTATTTCTTGAATACCTACTTTGTCTACCATGATTTGTTCCTAATGAATCCATGTGGGATCCTAGTAATAAATTCTTCCTCTTTTAGTAATTCGAAAACTATTCCCTCAACATGCTGTTCCAGAATCTAGCCCAAGATGTACATTGAAGTAACTAAGCTATAGTTTGTAGATTCCAACATCTTCACCTCTTAGAGAATCAGACTATTTATGCATGCACAGGATGGTCTCCTTGATGCCTCAGAGAGATAACCAAAGTAGTTTACTCCATCATTTTTTTTTTCTGTTTTTTTAGATATGGGGTCTCTCTATGTTGCCCAGACTGGAATATAGTGGCTATTCACAGGGGTGATCGTGGTGCACTACAGCTTCAAACTCTGGGTTCAAGCCATCCTCCTGCCTCAGCATCTTGAGTAGCTGGGGCTATAAGCACACTCAACCATGCACAGCTGTTCACTTCCCCCTTTTTTTTTTCTTTTTTTTTTTTTTGAGCTGGAGTTTTACTCTGTCGTGCAGGCTGGAGTGCTGTGGCACAATCTCGGCTCACTGCAACCCCCGCCTCCCAGGTTCAAGCAATTCTCCTTCCTCAGCCTCCCAAGTAGCTGGGACCACAGGCATGCGCCACCAAGCCTGGCTAATTTTTTTTGTATTTTTATTAGGGATGGGGTTTTCCCCATGTCGGCCAGCCTGGTCTTGAACTCCTGACCTCAGGTGATCTGCCTGCCTCGACCTCCCAAAGTTCTGGGGTTACAGGCGTGAACCACCACCCCTGGCACACTCCCAATTGTTTTTGTTTGTTTGTTTGTTTTTGAGCCAGAGTTTCGCACTTTCACCCAGGCTGGAGTGAAGTGGCGCAATCTCGGCTCAGTGCAACCTCCACCCCCCGGGGTTCAAGTGATTCTCCTGCCTCAGCCTCCTGAGTAACTGGGATTATAGGCGCCTACCACCATGCCTAGCTAATTTTTGTATTTTTAGTAAAAATAGGGTTTCACCATGTTGGCCAGGCTAGTCTCGAACTCCTGACCTCAGGCATCCCAAAGTGCTGGGGTTACAGGCATGAGCCACCACACCTGGCGCACTCCCACATTTTTAACTTCTTTCTATTGCACCAAAAAATCTATTGCAGAGTACAACTTTATTCATACTTTGACTTTTATTTTTAATGGTAATGTCTCATCCTTAGCTATTTCTGAGGAAGGTATATAGCCTGCCTTCCTCTCCTAGGGTCTGCCCAAATGGGAATCTCTCTGATTCCAGGAAGGTCTTACTTCTGGATCTGAGATTTATGTGTTTCATTGTGTAAAATCAACCTCATTGTATGTATTTGAGCATAGGGTCC
Source organism: Homo sapiens (assembly GCF_000001405.40). Lineage (NCBI taxonomy): Eukaryota > Metazoa > Chordata > Mammalia > Primates > Hominidae > Homo > Homo sapiens. The sequence continues at coordinate 67,445,332 of NC_000001.11, read as the reverse complement.
CTTCATGGACTCACTGCTTTTAGCATTTTTCTGATTAGGACTACCAGCATCTGTCTTGTAGCAATGTTATGATTATCTATTGCACCATAACAAATCACCCCAAAACTTATTGTATTAAAATAACAGTTTATAATTGTCTCTCATGGTTCTACAGGTTGACTGGGAATTCTTTTTATTTTTTCTTTTATTTATTTATTTTGAGACGGAGTCTTGCTCTGTCACCCGGGCTGGAGTGCATTGGCACGATCTCGGCTCGCTGCAACCTCTGCCTCCCAGGTTCAAGCGATTCTCCTGCCTCAGCCTCCTGAGTAGCTGGGATTACAGGCACCCACCACCATGCCCAGCTAATTTTTGAATTTTTTTTTTTTTTTTGAGACAGAGTCTCTCTCTGTCGCCCAGGCTGGAGTACATTGGCACGATCTCGGCTCGCTGCAACCTCCACCTCCCAGGTTCACGCCATTCTCCTGCCTCAGCCTCCCCAGTAGCTGGGATTACAGGCGCCCACCACCACGCCCAGTTAATTTTTGTATTTTTTTTTTTTGAGACAGAGTCTCGCTCTGTTGCCCAGGCTGGAGTGCAGTGGCACCATCTCGGCTCACTGTAAGCTCCACCTCCCAGGTTCACGCCATTCTCCTGCCTCAGCCTCCCAAGTAGCTAGGAATACAGGCGCACGCCACCACGCCCAGCTAATTTTTTGTATTTTTAGTAGAGACGGGATTTCACCGTGTTAGCCAGGATGGTCTCAATCTCCTGACCTTGTGATCTGCCCACCTCGGCCCAAAGTGCTGGGATTACAGGGGTGAGCCACCTCACCCGGCCCTTAATTTTTGTATTTTTAGTAGAGACGGGGTTTCACCATGTTGGCCAGGTTGCTTTCAAACTCCTGGCCTCAGGTGATCCACCCGCCTCGGCCTCCCAAAGTGCTGGGATTACAGGCGTGAGCCACCGTGCCCAGCCCAGAACTTCTTAGAGTCTTTTGACTTGTTGTGGTCAATGTCTACTAAAGCCAGGGTTGCTTTGTGACAGGTAACCTGTGCAGTCACATAGGGCCCCATGCTTAGAAGGGGCCTCATGCTTGGTTCAATGCTGTGCTGTTGCTGTCTTGAATCCTTAATACTTTTAGTTATTTCGTTGTTGTTGGTTGGTTTTGTTTTTAATTTAAATGTTTAAAAATAATTATTACCTGGGAGCAGGGACATGGGCATGGCCTGCAGCAGCCTCACCCACTCCCACTCAATCTTATTTTTTGAACATGGGGCCCCAAATTTTCTTTTCTTTTTCTTTTTTTTTTTTTGAGCCCCAAATCTTTGTTTTGCACTGGTCCCTGCAAGTTATGGAGCTAGTCCTTGCTGAGGCTGCGGTCATCTGAAGGCTTGGCTAGACTGGACATCCAAGATGCCTCACTCACAGGCTGGCACTTGATGCTGGCTGTTGATGCAGAGTTACACTAAGGCTGTCACCTGGAGTCCCCACATCTAACTTCTCTGTTTGGTCTGAACTTCTCAAAGAGAGTATCTCAAAAGCAAGTGTCTCAAGAGATCCAAGCATGGACATACTTCCTATTACTCTACTTCAGGAGACCCAGAGCATCACTTGCAACACATTCTATCGGTCAAGCAAGAGATTAAGAGCAGCATAGATTCAAGGGTAAGGGAATTAGACTTCACCTCTTTTATTTATTTATTTATTATTTTTTATTTTTTTGAGATGGAGTCTTGCTCTGTTGCCCAGGCTGGAGTGTAGTGGCGTGATCTCAGCTCACTGCAACTTCTGCCTCCCGGGTTCAGGCGATTGTCCTGCCTCAGCCTCCCGAGCAGCTAGGATTATAGGCGCCTTCCACCATGCAAGGCTAATTTTTGTATTTTTAGTAGAGACAGGGTTTCACCATGCTGGCCAAGCTGGTCTCGAACTCCTGACCTCAGGTGATCCACCCACCTCGGCCTCCCAAAGTGCTGAGATTACAGGCATGAGCCACTGCACCCAGACTCTTTTTTTTTTATTTAATTGACAAATAAAAACTATATGTTTTAATCATATACAAACATGTTGTTTTGAAATAGGTACACATTGTGGTATGGTTAAATTGAGCTAATTAATATATGCATTGCCTCACATACCCATAGACTCCACCTCTGAATTGGGGAGTTGCAAGATCACATTGCAGAAGAGCATGTGGGCTGAGACATATCTGTGTTCATCTTTGGAAAACACATTCTGCTGCAGGGATATTTGGGGTGCCTCATTGCTTTGATTGGGTGCTCTGCCTCTTTCAGGTTTCCCTGCAAGCCCTACCCTATTGGTAGGCGTTCATTACCATGTGTGGATGAATAAGGCAGCTTCAGTGTATGAACCCTATCTTTTGGCTTATTTCTAGTAGGATTAAAGATAGGTCCTCAAAACAAGTATGTGCCTATGAGAAGTGTGCTTAAGGAGGACTCTGATCTCAACATAGTGTCAGGGGATACTGAAACAAATGACTTTTTGAGCCCTTGTTACAGGTTCATGTTCAGTAAAAATATTGAGCTTTTCTAGATTACACTGCTAAATCTTTAAGATTTCAGCTCTAAGACCTTATAGGGGAGACAAAAGAAAGCTTGGAGTTTGACAATCCTAGAGATAAATCTCAGTTTTACCATTTACTAGGTAGGTAAGCCTCTGAGAGCCTCCATTTCCTTATTTATAAAGTAGGATTAATGATACTCCCATATGGGCCATTGTGATGATTAAGTGGGAATAGTGGGCTGGACACGGTGTCTCACGCCTGTAATCCCAGCACTTTGGGAGGCCGAGGCAGACGGATTACTTGAGGTCAGGAGTTCAAGACCAGCCTGGCCAATGTGGTGAAACCCCATCCCTACTGAAAACACAAAAATTAGCCAGGCATGGTGGCACATGCGTGTAATCCCAGCTACTCAGGATGCTGAGGCAGGAAAATCCCTTGAACCCAGGAGGTGGAGGTTTCAGTGAGCCGAGATTGTGCCATTTTACTCCAGCCTGGACAACAAGAGCGAAACTCAGTCTCAAAAAAAAAAAAAAAACAGTGGAATAACGTATCAGGTGCTTGAAAGATAATAGGTGCTATGATATTAATAAGTATACCACTTGTTCTTGATTCTTGATTTCTAGGGCAAAAAAAACATGGGAAGTACAAGTGAAGGGAAGGAAAGAGAACTGTACAAGGGAAGTACAGTTCATTTTAGGTTTCTTTTGCCCTGGAAATTCATGGTCGAGTTATTAAACACACCCAGATTCTCTGGGGTGATTTATGAGCATAGACATAATGAAAATAAACTCAGACCAACAAAGTCTAAAAGCCTCCATACTAGGAGCTATAAGATGAGGCATTGGTTTCCACTTACAAATGTTGAGAGTTAGTGAAACTAGTAGTGGTAACTAACATATACTGAGCAGGGTACTTAAATGTGTTAGTAACTTTTGATTTGATTCTCACCACAACTCTGTGAGGTGGGTACTGTTTTACTCTTAATTTTAAAGCTGAAGAAATAGTAGTTTGGTGAGAATCAGCCATTCGCACAAAATTTCCAAGGTGGTTTAAGTAGTGGGCCAGGATCCAAACTGAGGTCTCTCTGGCCCCTGGGCCTGTGCTTTCTCCATCCTGAGATATGGCTTTCCAAAATCTGCAGGCCTCTCCATCCTGAGATATGGCCTTCAGATTTTTGAATCCTCTGCACGTAACCTGAAATCCTAGGCTCTTGCTTAGTGACTGATTTAGGCGCTTAAGGCCCTAATATTTTACCATCAACTTTGGTTGTAGGATCTCGTTGGGACAGAGTTCCTGAAACCATCTGATTTTCAGGCTGTTGGTGTAAATTTCCCTGGAGAGTTACCTAGTGGTGAGCCAGTCCCTCCAGCATATGTCTGGGTAGCTTTCAGTAAGGCCTCTGACATTTGGCATTTTTCCTGGCAGGCAGCCAAGGGACTGAGTATTTCTCTGTTTTCTTTTACTTTCATCCTTAACCGTTTTCTTCTCAAACAAAAAGGAACTCAAGGATTTTACCAGCGCATTTTAAAAAGTTGTTTGTGAGGGAAAGTTTGTAGCTGGAGGGGAAAGGAGGGAAAAAGATGATTGAGAGAAAGGTGAAAACAGGCTCTTGAAATTGTTCACAGAATTTAGAATGCTCTTGAGCTAGGAAGGTTCTGTCTAATTTAAAACGTTACTTAGATTCCTCAAAAGAGAGGTGTTCTCTAAGTATAAATATATGATCAGACACTCTCAGGAGCTGTGGAGAATCCCTAAAGTTATTGTTTATTTGTGTTGTCCCCAACATTTCCTTTTAGCAAACATTTACAATGGCCTTGTCTTTCCTAATGTTAAATTCCCAAACTTGTGGAAAAGTAGTAGAAGTGGTTTAAATTTGGATACTTTCTCTTCTTGCTTCTACTCATTTGGAAAAGGTGCTGGCAGCTATTCATAAACCACTGATATGATCATTTGGATCTGGTCCCCCTTTCCAAGGGGAAAAACTTTTTCCTTCTTATTTTTTGAGCACTTAACTGCATGCCCTGCCCTGTTTTAAGTGTTGTACATGTGTTAACTCATTGAATCCTCAGTCCTAAGAGATCCCGAATAACTATATTCCCATTTAATGGTTAAGAAAACTGAGGCTTATAGAGGCTAACAAATGTGCCCTAGGTCCCATGGCTATGAAGTAAGGTGATGGTTTGATGGGAGAGCATTTATTCTATAGCAACACATAGAAACAGGTTCATACAGCCCCCAGATCAAAGCCAGGCTCTGCCACCTCCGAGAATGATCAGCCAACTCACATTTTGAACCATTGCCAAGAATATCCATGACATTACTCCTATGAGAAATGAAGTGCATTCCAATTCCTAATACATCTTCTTTCCTCCTCTCATAAATGGTCTCACAACTTCTACTTCTGTCAAAGTAGGAAAGGATTCTATTTATTCATTTCTTCGTTTGACAAGCACTTACAGACACACAGGCAATAGGGCGTAATGTTAGGAGAGCAGGTACTGGAACCAGACTGCTTCCTTTGAATGGTGGTTTTGCCAATTACTTGCTCAAGTTCATACAGCTTGTTGTTTAACCTTTCTGTGCCTCAGATCCCATGGTAACATGGATTAATGATGACACTAACCTCACATAGGTATTATTATTTTAAATGAGTTAATCCATACGAAACACTTAAAACACTGCCTAGCACATAGTAAATCCTCAATAAGCATGAGGTATCATCAAACAGATATTTAGGAAATAGAAGTATACTAAGCATGAGGAAACAAAAGGACTCATAATCCAGTAGGAAGTACTGGATATTCATTCCTTCAATAGATATTTTTATGAGCTAAGCACTAGGCCCTAGGAGTATGACAGCTAAACAAAATACCCCACTACAAATATTTACAAACTACTAGAAGAGGTAAATAGAGGAACAAACAATGACAACGCAGTGTGATAAATTCTGCAAGTAGGGTGGAAGTAGGTAATGTTAGAGCACGTGTGGGCCATGAGGTTTAGGAATCAGGAGGAGGCATCTCAGAGGAAGGGAGCCCAAGGTGAGACCTGATGGATGAGAAGAAATTTGCAACATGAATCACTAGAACAGAATGTGAATTATAATGTATGTAAAGGGCACGGAGCATGTGCCTGTGCATGGGGCACATGCAGAAGCAGGAAGAGGTAGAGCAAGTAATCCTGTATGGCTTGAGGTACATGGGGCAGTGGTAGGAAGAGAATGAGGAGGCTGGAAGGAAAATGGCACCAGCTTGTCAAAGGCCTGCGGTGCTTTGTAGAGGAGTTTGGACTTGATCCTTATGTAATGGGAGCCATGGAATGCTTTACCTCTAGCAAAGATATGATCAGATAATCCAGACCAGAGGAATGCTGGAGTCAGGGCTCCAGTTACAGTAACCCCTGGTGAGAAATAAAGGCCTGCAGTGGTTTGCTGGCCATTGGAATGGAGAAGTTTGAGAGATAAGACGAAGAAGAATTATTAGAATGTGATGACTGATTAGAGCAGAGTGGAAGCGCAGTAGTATCTTACACTGCTTTCACAGGTTGTATCCTTCTAGCCATTATGGGTACTTTGTTGAAAAAGTCTGAGAAATACTGATAGCATAATGGAAAGTGCATGAGCTTTTGGAGCTCCTTGCAATTGAATTCAAATCCAGTCTCTACTATTTGTTGGTTTCAGGATTAGTATGGCTAATAAACCTTCATCATAGTTTGTTAGGATTCGTAATATATTAATAATACATGTAGAGTGCCTAGTATAGTGCCTAGCACATAGTAAACACTCAGTACATGATAGTTGTGAGTGTTGTGGGATTAGAAAATATAAAATGGACCAGGCACAGTGGCTCATGCCTCTAATCCTAGTATTTTGGGAGGCCAAGGTGGGTGGATCACTTGAGGCCAGGAGTTCAAGAGCCGCCTGGCCAACATGGCAAAACCCATCTCTACTAAAAATACAAACATTAGCCGGGTGTGTTGGAGGGTGCCTGTAATCCCAGCTACTTGGGAGGCTGAGGCAGGAGAATCACTTGAACCTGGGAGGCGGAGGTTGCAGTGAGCCAAGATCGCGCCACTGCACTCCAGCCTGGGGGAAAGAGCGAGATTCCGTCTCAAAAAAAATAAAAATAAAAATAAAAAAGAAAAGAAAACAGAACACGGTCAGAGGTTAATACTAAACAGCAGTGGTTCTTAGTCTTTTGAATGTCTTACACACTTTTATTTAAAAAAAAAACCTTTATTGAGATATAATTCACATATCATACAATTTACCCACTTAAACTTTACAATTCAATGCTATTTAATATATTCACAATGTTGTGCAACCATCACTACAATCTAATTTTAGAACATTTTCATCAACCCTAAAAGAAACCATTAGCAATCACTAGCTGTTCTTCCCCATGGCCCCTCCACAGCCCTAGATAAGCCCTATCTACTTTCTGTCTCTGTCAATTTGCTCTTAGATCCTTTTCATGATCTGATGAAAGTAAATTCTACTCTGGAAATATGAACAAATTTTGCATGCAATTTCTAGGAAGTCAGAGATCCCAGATTCAAATATACAAAGGAATATCCTTCATAAACTCAAACCCATTCTCTACAAAGTTGGCAATAAAGGGAGATTCTCCTAGTGGTGGTGCTGGACAGCAGGACCTCGTGACCCTCACTCCTGTATCTCTGTTTGACCTATGATCTCTGTGTACACACACGATTTACTCCAAAATTTCTACAGATAATCTTCACTATGAATGCCAGTCCTGGAGGCTCCATCTCTATTAAGCTTACCATTTGTTTCCTCTGGAAGCAGTAAAAACCTAAGAGATTCAAGCCAGCAATCAAGAGCAATATCTCTGGGGATTAGTCAAAGCTACTGAGATAATGGCTACCATTTATTAGGTGCTTACTATGGCTGAGTGTTGTGCTTAGAATTATCTCTTTCAATTTTTCAGTTCTAGGGACACCACCTGGACATGTTTTGTCCCACCTCTGTGGTAGCTCCTAGTAAATAATGTCATCACCATGAAGAAGGCTTCTGTCAGCACTATTTGTTATTCCTTCTAATCCACTTCACAGAAGCCAAAAAACAGAGTATGGAGAGGAAACTATTTTCTTAGTAAAAAAAGCAATGTTTGAAGTCAGAAGGCTAAGGCAGTAGGATCACTTAAGCCCAGGACTTCAAGACCAGCCTGGGCAACACAGCAAGACTTTTTCTCTATGAAAAAAGGAAAAAAGCAATGTTTGAGCTCCCATTGGATACAACAGAAATGCCTTTGCCCTCTCAGTACCTAAGGTATCAGGTTAGACCTTCAAGAATGGGTTGAGCTGGCCTCTCAGAATAACATGAGAATTTTGCTTACAGAATAGTTCATTGGTTGAAATGAAATTTTAAACTTTATTACTGTGTTAGTTGAAGGATTCTTCTTTATTATTTATTTATTGAGATTGAGTTTCGCTCTTGTTGCCCAGGCTGGAGTGCAGTGGCATGATCTTGGCTAACTGCAACCTCTGCTTCCTGGGTTCAAGCAATTCTCCTGCCTCAGCCTCCCGAGTAGCTGGGATTATAGGGGCCCTCCACCAGGCTAACTTTTTTGTATTTAGTACAGACAGGGTTTCACTGCATTAGTCGGGGTGGTCTCAAACTCCTGACCTCAGGTGATGCACCTGCCTCAGCCTCTCAAAGTGCTGGGATTACAGGCGTGCACTACCGTGCCCAGCCAGGATCCTTCTTTAAAAGGAAAACTAGAAGCAACTCGAAAGCACACACAGACTTAATTACTTTTGCATTCACCACAGGTTCTGTTTTCCAGCTCACTCCCCTACTTCATGTTCATTTGGCTAAGGACATACAGAGATCTTTGGGTTTGGTTTGGTTTTTTGTCTTGGAACTTGTAAGCAACTTCCTACCTCATGCTCTCTTGCTTACTGTTTCTTCAAATCTTCGCAAGGCTAGTTCCTTGTCATGATTCAGGCCTCACTCACCTCTAAGGGTTTCTGACCATACAATATAAAAAAGTTGTTCCCTATTCACAGCACATTCTCTATACTTATGACTCTGAAAATGATCTTGTTTACTTATATTTATTTACTTCCTTATTCTTTGCTTCTCTCTGCCAGCTCGTAAACTCCATGAAAACAGAGGGGTTGCTTGTTTTGTTTACCACAGAATCCTCAGGGCTCATAACAGTGCTCGACACACTGGCGGATATTCAATAAATAGATATTGAACTACATGTTTATTATCAAGGTGGATAAATAGTAGTAAGTGTGAAATATATTTTCCACATTCAGAATGTCATTGGATGTATTTAAATTTAAAAACTGGAGCTCTGTTGTAATGTCTAAAATAAAATATTTTTAAAAGAAGCATAAGATGAATAACAGTATCTCTTCTATTTCTTCTGAAGTTTTTCTTTTTGGTTTTACTATTCAAAATTAACTTAAAAAGAAGGGGAATATACTGAACACAAAATTTTTTTCTTTTTTTTTTTTCTGGAGACAGAGTCTCACTCTGTTGTCCAGGCTGGAGTGCAGTGGCGCCATCTCGGCTCACTGCAAGCTCCGCTTCCTGGGTTCGTGCCATTCTCCTGCCTCAGCCTCCCGAGTAGCTGGGACTACAGGTGCCTGCAACCACGCCCAGCTAATTTTTTTGTATTTTTAGTAGAGACGGGGTTTCACCATGTTAGCCAGGATGGTCTCGATCTCCTGACCTCGTGATCCGCCTGCCTCGACATCCTAAAGGCTGGGATTACAGGCGTGAGCCACCGCACCTGGCCCATAAAATTAATTTTTAAAGATTAAGGCCTAGCTATAAGGCCTAAAACTATTTTTAAAAAAATCTATAAAACTTTTTTTTTTTTTGAGACGGAATCTCGCTCTGTTGCCCAGGCTGGAGTGCAGTGGCACCATCTCGGCTCACCACAAGCTCCACCTCCCAGTTCACACCATTCTCCTGCCTCAGCCTCCCGAGGAGCTGGGACTACAGGTGCCTGACACCACGCCCGGCTAATTTTTTTTGTATATTTAATAGAGATGGGGTTTCACCGTGTTAGCCAGGATGGTCTCGATCTCCTGACCTAGTGATCCACCTGCCTCAGCCTCCCAAAGTGCTGGGATTACAGGCATGAGCCACCGCGCCTGGTGTAAAAATCTATAAAACTTTTAGAAGAAAACATAGAAGTAAATCTTTGTGACCTTAGATTAGGCAAAAGCTTGTTAGATATGACAATAGAGGGCTGGGTGCAGTGGCTCATGCCTATAATCCCAACACTTTGGGAGGCGAGGTGGATGAATCGCTTGAGCTCAGGAGTTTGAAACCAGCCTGGGCAACATGGTGAAACCCCATCTCTACAAAAAACACACAAAAAATTAGGCGGTGTGCTAGCGTGCACCTGTCATCCCGGCTACTCGGGAGACTGAGGAGGGAGGGTCACTTGATCCCAGGAGTTCAAGGCTACAGTGAGCCTTCATCAGCCCGCGCACTCCAGCCTGGGTGACAGAGTGAGACCCTATCTCAAAAACAAACAAACAAAAAACAAAACAAAAAAAGACAATAGAAGCACAAGTGACCAAAAAAATAGATAAATTGGATTTTATCATAAAGATCACATCAAATTAAAAACTTTTATGCCCCGAAGGATACTATCAACAAAGTAAAAAGTCTTATGATGTTGGCTATGGGAGAAAAACAAAAGAATAAAAGAATTAAAAAGAGAAAAACAAAAAAAGAAAGTGAAAAGTCGATCCCCAGAATGGGGAAAAAAAATATCTGCAAGTCCTATATCTGATAAGAAACTTGCATCTAGAATATATGAAGAACTCTTACAATGTGATGATAAAAAAGAGAGGTACACCAGTTTTTAAAAAGGTAAAGGATCTGAATAGACACTTCTCCAAAGAAGATACAAAAATGGCTAATAAACATGTAAAAAGATGCCCAACATCATTAGCCATTAGGGGAACGCAATAAAAAACCACAAGCAGAACCACTTCACACCCAGTAGAATGGTTATAATAAAAAAGACAGACAATAACAAACATTAGTGAGGACGTGGAGAACTTGGAACTCACATAATTGTTGGTGGGACTGTTAAATTGTGCAGCCTTTTTGGAAAATAGTTTGGCAGTTCCTCAAAATGTAAACATAGAGTTACCATATGACCCCAGCAATTCCATTCCAAAAGAATCAAAAACATATGTCCACCCAAACCCTGCAAACAAATAATCCTAACAGTATTATCCATAATAGACAAAAGGTGGAAACAACCCAAATTTCCATCAACTGATGAATGGATAAATAAAATTTAGTTTATTTATACAGTGGAATATTATTCAGTTACAAAAAAAAAAGAAGTAGTGATAAATGGTACAACACGCATGAACGTTGAAAACACTGTGATAAATGAAAGAAGCCAGTTACAAAAGACCACACATTGTAAGATTCCATTTATATGAAATGTCCAGAATAGGCAAATCTATGAGACAGAAAGTAAATTAGTGATTGCCTAGGGCTGGGGGTAGAAGGAATAAGGAATGACTGCTAATGGGTATAGTTTTCTTTCAGGGGTGATTAAAATGCTCTAAAATTAGATAGTGGTGATGGCTGCACAACTCTGTGAATATACTAAAAACCATTAACTGGTATCCTTTAGGTGGGTGAATTATATAGCACATGAATTATATCTCTATATAGCTATGTTCTCCTTTTTTTTTTTGAAGAGCATAACACAGAAAAAAAAAAGGAAGTTTAAAACCAAGAAGCCCAACTTTCAAAGTGAGTTTGAGGTGGAAAAAGGAGTGTAACATTTCTATTTTTAGCTCTGATATTCTAACTTTAGCACGAGCCTAGACTTGCAATATTATACTTAGCATTCCATTGTCAGACATAGGGGATTTGTCCTTTTCTTCACAAGGAGCACCTTTAGTGGTTTTGTTTTAAAAATACATTATACATTGAATACGCTAAAAATTAATCTACTTACATTGATGTGATGCCTATATCCTCTGTCCCCAAACTGTTAGAATAGTTTGATTTTGCTACATATGGTAGCAATGTAAAGATGAAGGACTTTTTCCTCTTCCGTGTTACCACTGGGTGCCCAGGCTGTAAGGTCAGACTGCCAGACTCTTTCAGTCAATGTGAATTTGGGAGGGGCACTTAACCTCAGGTTCCCTATCTATAAAAGGGGGATAGAGGTAGTAATACCTTTTACTTCATAATGTCATTCTGAAAATTAAAGGAAATAATGCATGTAAAGTATTTAGTACTTAGCAGTGTCTAGTGCATAATAAATGCTCAAACTGTAGTACAGTAGGCCCAGTGCAGTGGCTCACGCCTGTAATTCCAACACTTTGGGAGGCCAAGATGGGTGGATCACTTGAGGTCAGGTGTTCAAGACCAACCTGGCCAACATGGTGAAACCCTGTCTAAATACAAAATTTCAGCTAAATACAAAAATTTAGCCGGGTGTGGTGGCACAGGCCTGTAATCCCAGCTACTCTGGAGGCTGAGGCAGGAGAATCAACTGAACATGGGTACAAAAAAATGTAGTACAGCAATTGTTAGTCATTGCTACTATTTATAGCAACAATAACGGGGTTGAGATTATCAAGAAATGGATGAAAGCAGATTGTAATGTGGCTGAGAATTGAGTACTGTATTAGCATCCTGAAAGTAAATGAAGGCAGGAAGGAAGGAGATACAATATTGTTTCTCCATTTTGTTAACATTAGGCAACTCTATCAGATATTTAATCATGGTTTTCAGCATTTATTGCTAGAAAATCCTTGTAGATAAGACTGTGAAGTTTCATGAGTATTTTTCAGAGAAGAAGATGTGATTCAAATATTGCTACAGAGAGATGACATTTTAGGCCACATGTCTAGTGATATCGTCTGACACTTGTTGCTTTCATAAATCATTTCTTTAATTTGAATAATAGTGTCTAGGAAATTTCTCTTCCCTTGAGGTTTATTTGGCTGATGTTCTCCTATTGAGAGTAGCAAGAACTTTTAGACATTTTAATATTTAATATTAAGAAATTAATATTTCAATTTTGTAGAATAAAGGAAACATTAGTGAAAATAACTAGTTATAAAATAACGATTGAGAGATGTAAAAGACCACCTTGAGCTTTATTTGTATACTTTAAAAATGGGCTTCAAAACTTTTTGGAAATATAGAAGATTCTCCCCTTTTCTCCAAATGCTT